>NC_000002.12:88719911-89025295 GCF_000001405.40 Homo sapiens
GTTTGATTTATAGTGAAACTGAACTTATTTTATCTCTCAAAATTGGCCCTTACAATCTCACACACCCACCTGTTCCACAGTAGTCCCTTGGCGTTGAGGAGTTGAATAGCTTTAATTTCTGGCCTGTGTCTCAGGAATGCAGTTTATTTTGATTGGCATCTTCTATGGGGCCTGATGATGAGGCTTTAATTACTGTCAGTATTTAAGATTTTACAGGACTTGGTATCCTTCTCAGACCCAAGAGTCAAAGCCCTGTAACTTAATGTTACAAGAACTTCAAAAGCACATACAAAAAGATACGTGGATGTAATAACCTTAATTTAAAAAAAAATTTGTCTCAGTTTTTTTTCGTAAGCAAATCAAAACTTAATGCCATAGGAATTATTTCCATAAAACGTAAAATCTGTTAGGCCAGTTACCAAAAGGCAAAAGGAAAGACCTTCTGCAGTGTACAGAATATTATGTTGGAAGAAAACATTTCCTTTAGACCTTTAAGAAATTATTGTTAGCATCAGGCCACAACAAATGGAACTTGAGGGGAAAAAAACTTATATGAGCTGAAAATGAGTTGGAGAACATTATTACTTTGCTCCTTTTAAAAGGGGAGAAAAAACTGAAAATGGTGAGATGTAATAAATGTCAAACTTCTAAAACAAAATTAAAAAATAATTTAAATTATTTTAAAATACATTATTAAATATAGTTTAAATATATATTATTTAAATATATAGAAATATATTTAATAGTTATGAGATACCATCTCACACTGGTTAGAATGGCTATCATTAAAAAGTCAGGAAACAACAGATGCTGGAGAGGATGTGGAGAAATAGGAATGCTTTTACACTGTTGGTGAGAGTGTAAATTAGTTCAACCATTGTGGAAGACAGTGTGGCAATTCCTCAAGGATCTAGAACCAGAAATACCATTTCACCCAGCAATCCCATTACTGGGTATATACCCAAAGGATTATAAATCACTGTACTATAAAGACACATGCACACGTATGTTTATTGCAGCACTATTCACAATAGCAAAGACTTGGAACCAGCCCAAATGCCCATCAATAATAGACTGGATAAAGAAAATGTGGCACATATACACCTTGGAATACTATGCAATCATAAAAAAGGATGAGTTCATGTCCTTTGCAGGGACATGGATGAAGCTGGAAACCATCATTCTTAGCAAACTAACACAAGAACAGAAAACCAGACACTGCATGTTCTCACTCATAAGTGGGAGTTGAACAATGAGAACACATGGATACAGGGAGGGGAACATCACACACTGGGGCCTGTCAGGGGGTGAGGGGCTAGGGGAGGAATAGCATTAGGAGAAATACCTAATGTAGATGATGGGTGGATGGGTACAGCAAACCACCGTGGCATGTATATACCTATGTAGCAAAACTGCACGTTCTGCACATATATTCCAGAACTTAAAGTATAATTTAAAAAAAAGAAAATAAATTTAATAATTATACTTTAATACTTATAAATATATTACTAATATAATCATATTTAATATAATTAGTATAATATAAAATACAACATATTAGTATATTGTTTTATTATTATAATTAATATATGTTAATATAAAACATAATAGATATATTTTAGATATATATTATACACACACACACACACACACACACACACCCCCCCCCCCACATGCACACATGTTTTTTGCAGCACTATTCACAATAGCAAAGACTTGGAACCAGCCCAAATGCCCATCAGTGATAGACTGGATAAAGAAAATGTGGTGCATATACACCATGGAATGCAGCCATAAAAAAGGATGAGTTCATATATATTATATAATTATAATTATGTATTGAAACATATATTAATAGCAAATATATCTTTAAATACATATATTTATTTAAAAACATAATTAAAATCTCTAATAATTTATTAAGAGTAGATCCCTTAAGAAATCAATCCCTTACTGTTCTAATAAATTCTTTAGTATATAAATGGTTTTTTTTAAATATCAAACCCAATCTCCAGAAAGACCATTATAATTTGTGTTTAATTATAGACAGCTTGATCTATAAAAGTTTTTTTTTTTTTTTTAATCCTTTTATTGTGCCTTAGACTCTTCATGACGTGCTTGGACTTTCTGGTTTGTCCTGAACATACCTCTTTCTTAAACAACCAGTCATTTTATTCTAGGCCCAAATTAACCATACAAGATTTTTTCTCATACAAAATTATTTCTCTTTAAGCTTTTTCACCAAAAAAACCCTTTTTTTTTATAGCTTTCTTTACATCTCTCTTATTTTGTGGTTCCTTTTACAACTTGTTTTATACATAACCTTTAAAAAAGCTTTGAACCAAACAAAAATTGTTCACCTTTTTAAGGACACTTATTTTTGAAAGAATATTTTCCTACAATATATTTTTATTGGAAAATACCCAAATAATAAAATATCTATAATTTAACTTTAGATTCTAAATTATGACAAGTTTGTCTACAAGTATTTATCCCATTACATTTACTTATTTTAATTGTTTAGATTATTTATGAAAAGTTTGATAGTCATTATTTAAAGTTATGAAACTTTCCATTGCAAAATTCGGAGACAGTGAAGAAGATAGGACCTAACGGACTCCATCTTGCTTCTAACCTTTACGGTGTCCTTGTTCATTCCTGGTCTTTGGGAGGAACTTAGTTTGTAGTTTAGCTTTGAAACAAAGACGTAACAGTCCTTTGTCTCATTTGCCATTATACATGCCATGGTCAGATCCTCTCACAGTACAAGGTGATCTCTGGTGCCCCCACAGCCAAAGAGGTCAGGTCACCCAATACAGGAAAACAGAGCTTTAGACCTAAGAAGAATCTGCCCATGACTCTTGAAACTCTGCAAAGAAAACAGAACACCCCAACTGCGGTGAGTGGCACCTTTGTTCTGAATTCTTTAAAGGGGTTCAACTCATTATAAACCTCTAGACTGTTTTTGGTACTGCAGATGGCAAAGGGGGAAGAAGGAGGTATAGGGTGGAAGAGAAGTAAATGAAAGAACATTTGTTTGTTTTTTTAAGACAGGAAGCAAACAGAAACCAAGTGCATAGTTTTTTGTTTGTTTGTTTATTTTTCCCTCTTTTGCAGCTGCGAGGAATTTTAGCGAAATTAGAAAGGGTTTGTTACCCATAATTTGGAATTCTTGCTTGGATTTGATCAAGTCAGGTAGAGTTGGTCAAATCTGTTGGGAGAAAGACTGCAAAAAACAACAACAATAAAAACCCTAACAATATGATCACCGAGTGCTCTAATGGTAAGGAGAGATTAAGACCAACTAGTTATTAAGCTTTAGACAAGAGAAAACCCCAATTCAACTACTTACCTAGGGATGGGTCTCAGGCTAAAGACTGCTTTCTACCGCTCTAGAAGCAGGAGGAAAAAAACAACAAAAAATGTTAAACTCATATTCCCTGCTGGGAGTGAGCTCAAACTCCATAAAGGAGTTACCTGCCTTCCATCGTCATGGAAACAGGAAATCTTGCATTCCTTGTTGGAATCAAGTAAAACTCCAAAAAACAAAAAGGTGGGGGGAGTTCTACAGCAAAATAAACTTTAGATTTTGACCAGATTTGGGGAGATCAGGGATTCTCTGGAGGGTGTACTCCCAGACCTCAGCAAATTGTCCTGTTGGTTTGAGCCATAAAATTAGCTCATGCTGGTACTAAGCACTGATAGATTTGTCAAAGGTCAGGGGTACCTCTACTCAGAATCCCTCTGTGGTTACCAAAATGTCAACCCTGAAAATCTGAGACAGGTTTCAGGTAATTTAGAAAGTTTATTTTGCCAAAGTTGAGGACACGTGCCTGTGACACACCTCAGGAGGTCCTGACGACATGTGCCCAAGGTGGTCAGAGCACAGTTTGGTTTTGTACGTTTTAGGGAGACATGAGGTGTTAATCAATATATGCAAGATGAACATTGGTTTGGTCTGGAAAGGTGGGACAACTCAAGCAAAGGCGGGAAGACTTGAAGCTGGAAGGGAGCTTCCAGGTCATAAGTATATAAGAGACAAATGGTTGCATTCTTTTGAGCATCTGATTAGCCTTTCCAAAGGAGGCAATCAGATATGCATTTATCACAGTGAGCAGAGGGGTGACTTTGAATAGAATGGGAGACAGGTTTGCCCTAAGCAGTTCCCACCTTGATTGATTTTGGGGCCTCAAGTTTTATTTTCCTTTCACAGTTTTATGTCTGGCTTTGGGGAAAAGGGAAAAGGAAAGTGGTTGTTGTTTCTGTGACCTGCTTTGGGGAGGAGGGATTCTAGTTTCTATGGCTATCCTCAGGAGCATGAGAGGCCAGAGTCAGGAGGGCAGAATAATTGAAAGAAACTTTTGCCTCTGAATATGTTTCTTTCTTTTTTCTTTGTTTTGTTTTGTTTTTTTTGAGACAGAGTCTCACTCTGTCACCCAGGCTGGAGTGCAGTGGTGTGATCTCGGCTCACTTCAACCTCCACCTCCCAGGTTCAAGTGATTCTAATGCCTCAGCCTCCCTAGTAGATGGGATTACAAGCATATGGCAACACACCTGGCTAATTTTTTTGTATTTTTACTGGAGATGGGGTTTCACCATGTTGGCAAGGCTGGTCTCGAACTCCCGACCTCAGGTGATCTGCCCACCTCGGCCTTCCAAAGTGCTGGGATTACAGGAGTGAACCACTGTGCCTGGCAGCTCCTGAGGATGTTTCTGAGGCTTTTATTTTGGGGTATCCTGAGCCCTAACAGTTTCATGCCCTACTTTTTAAACAAGTAAACCTGTAGGGATTTAAATGATTTTGGTGGATTTGCTCTTTAAAATTAAAGGCCTTTAACTTTAAAGGTAGAAGGTAAAGAAGAAGGTAAAGTACCTGAAAGCCAGAACTGGTTTAAACCAAAAACAGCATTTATTGCTCACTCTGCCTTCGGTTCTACCTTGATTAGGTAGTAGAAGGGAAAATGTTTATGCTTCTACTATGTAAGCACCATAAAACCTGAAAACCACATTTTGTGAAATAATAAAACTACATTTTCAGGTTTTATTGTAAAATGAAGGGAAAACAGAAGTACCAGTAGCCTGCCAAGTGCCACTGTCCCTAATCATGAGACGTTTAGAGGTACCAGCTGTGGGGTTTGCTTCTTGCCTTTCTTCAGAATCACAAGCTAATCATTAGCTTTCCTGCTCCTTGCACTTTCCAGAACTCTGGCCAGAAGAGGCAGGCAGGGGTGTTTACTCTACACGCTCCGGAGACCCTTTTGCTTCCCTGTTAGAAGCTTCTGGTGTCTAGCAGATGCAGATCTCAGTGGAGCACCAGAGGCTGCATATGCTCACTGAGCCAGTAGTGGGTCAAAACCCTTATGCTGTTTGTGGAACTCCATGCATCAGTTTGCCAAGGCTGCCATAACAAGGTTCCACAGACTGAATAGCTTAAAAAAAAAAAAACAGAAATGTGTTGTCTCAGAGTTCTGGAGGCTAGAAGTCTGAGATGAAGGTGTTGGCAGAATTGGTTCTCTGAGACTGTGAAGGAGAATCTGTCCTGTGCCTTCCTCCTAACTCTCTCGGTGGGTTGCTGATATCCTTTGGTGTTCCTTGGCTTGTAGGCCCATCCCCTGATCTCTGCCTGCATGTTCACATGTTGTTCTCCCTGTGGGCCTGTTTGTTTCTGTGTCAAAATTTCCGCTTTTAATAAGGACATCAGTCATACTGATTTAGAGCTTACTCTAATGGCCTCATTTGAATTTGATTACCTCTCTAAAGACACTGTCTCCATAAAACATCACATTCTGAAGTACTGAGGCTTAGAACTCCAATAGATCTTTTTTGTGGGGAACACAATTCAACCTAACATTCAGGAAGGATGAGGCTCACACCATTTGTAATCAGGACTTCTCTGTAGAGCTGCTGGACCACTCCTGCGGGGAGGCAAGTCACAGGTTGGGAGAAGGGAGAGTTGGAGAACTTGCTGATGGGAACAGGCTTAAAGTGTTCTCTCCTAGTGGGATCTTGAAGTCATTGTACAGGGGCCCAGACTTCAGTTGACCATTTTAACAAACCGGCAGAATTCCTGAGCCTCGTGTTGTGAATTGGGGCACAGAACTGTTTTAAAGGGAGTACAGATGCTCCCCTTGTGTTGTTGCTTATTGTCTGTTGGGGAAGATGGGAGAGTCTCAGGGCTTGCAGAAGTTGAGGGTGGAGTATGGGGGTATGCAGGGGAATCACAGTGGGCCCCCCAGCTGCAGAAACAGACAGTGCTCACCGACCAGGCCCTTCTCATGTGCCAGGCTTTGGTCAGGTACTGGGGTGGGCGGCTGGTGGTTGTGGTGAGGAGGCATAGCTCAGTTGGTTGTCGTGATCATTTAAGGCAAGCTTGTCCAACTCGTGGCCCAAGATGGCTTTAAATGTGGTCCAACACAAATTCATAAACTTTCTTAAAACATTGAGTTTTTTTGTGATTTTTTTTTTTTAAGCTCACCAGCTATTGATAGTGTTAGTGCATTTTATGTGTGGCCCAAGACAATTCTTCTTCCAGTGTGACCCAGGGAAACCAAAAGGCTGGACACCCCTGATTTAAGGTATATTCATTTGTATAAGAATAGAGAGGCCCTTGTGCATGGAGAATGTGTGTTACTATCTTCAGTGTCTGGTGTGGTGCCTGGCACTCCACAAATATTCAAAGAATTAATGCTACATTCATGTATGCAATATTTTATAAGTATATGGTAGAGAAGAAGTAGAGATAATGTGCCTTTTAGGGGAAGGAGAGCCAACTCCTTGTCCAGGACATGACAGCTATTTTTAAAACGTCCTTATCAGTTAGCAGTGTGGGGTTTTTTTTGTTTGTTTTTGAGAAAGAGTCTTGCTCTCTTGCCCAGACTGGAGTGCAGTGGCACTATCTCGGCTCACTGCCACCCTCCACCTCCTGGTCTCAGATGATCCTCCTGCCTCAGCCTCCTGAGTAGCTAGGGTTACAGGTACCATGATGCCTAGCTAATTTTTGTATTTTTAGTAGAGATGGGGTTTCACCATGTTGGTCAGACTGGTCTTGAACTCCTGGCCTCAAGTGATCCACCCACCTTGGCCTCCCGAAGTGCTGGGATTATGAGCATGAGCCACCGCGCATGGCTGTTAGCGATGTGTTAATGATTGGTTTAATATCTCTTGTGTGCGTGCGTGTGTGTGTGTGCGCGCGCATGTGTGCGCGTGCATGTGTGCGCATGCGAGAGAGAGGAGCATGCCAGTCTGCAGCCTTACCCCTGCCCTCCCTCTGCAGCGTTCTCTGTAAACTAATCTCAGAAGTGTCATATCATCACCTCCGCTTTGTGCCATTGGTCACTCACACAGACTAACTCTGGGACAATGGGAAGGGATGATCCAAAGGGATGAATGTCAGGAGGTGAGGATTATTGGGGCCCTCTTTGAGGCCACTTTCCAATGTTTTTGTAGTCTCAGATCTGAAGTTAGGATGGTTTCTCTAATACTACTTTTACTTTTTTAAACTTTAAAGTTCAGGGGTACATGTGCAGGTTTGTTATGTAGGTAAACATGTCATGGGGGTTTGCTGTACAGATTATTTTGTCACCCAGGTGTTAAGCCTAGTACCCATTAGTTATTTTCCCTGATCGTCTCCTTCCTCCCACCCTCCACCCTCTATCCTTCAGTCAGCCCCAGTGTGTATTGTTGCCCTCTGTTAGCTCCCACTTACAAGTGAGAACATGTGGTATTTGGTTTTCTGTTCCTGCGCTAGTTTGCTAAGGATAATGGCCTCTGGCTCCATCCATGTTCCTGAAAAGGACGTGATCTCTCTCTCTTTTTGTTTTTAACGGCTGCATAGTTCTGATAGTACTTTTGGAGAAATCTAAGAATTAAGAAATAATCTAGCAATACTATTTTTGCTGTTTTCCTTTTCAGCATATATTTCTCTTTGATAAGTTCAAAATCATAAGGTTTTTTTTGAACTTGCTTATTCAGCCAGCATTTTATTTTAGCTTTTTATTATGGCAAATTTCAAAGTTCAGAAAGGAGAGAGAACAATAAAATGAACTTCCATGTACTCAGCATCCAGTTTCAATAATTATCAGTTCACAGCCAATCCTATTTCATCCATACCTAAATATCCCCCTGAATCTTGTTATTTAGAAACAAATTCCAGGCATAATATCATTTCATTGTATATATTTCATATGTCTCTCTGGAAAATGGGGAGTCTTTTAAACACCACAACAATACTAAAAAGAGCAATAATTTCTAATAACATCAATAATTTTTAATAACATCAAATCTGGGGTTCAAAGTTTTTTTATTGTCTTATCCTTTAAAAGTATATTTTTTAGTTTGTTTGAATCAGGATCCAACATTACAATTTTCAAGATCTTTACGTTTTAGCCTTAGAGTCTTACGATTTTAGATTAGAAGGTTGGCCTCGGTCATTTCATCTGTCCCTACCTTTTTATAGATGAGAAAAATTGCCAAGGGTCACAGGGCTGGCTCATTTAAGATTAGAACCTGGACCTTCTGATTCTTAATCTCAGGTGCTTTTTGTTTTTAGCAGAAAACGTTGTGAAGGCTTGTCTTTACAAAAAAGTTTTCCATCCTTTGGTTTCTGTGCATTATAAGCAATGACATGAACATAAACTCACATCACTGGGACTTGGGCATTCAAACATGAAGGTTTGAGGTATCTTTATTCCAGCTACGAATCCTGCTCAGAGCCAAAATTTGATGGCTGTAACCACTGTTCTCCCTTTTGTCACCTTTTTAAGAAGGTTAGCTCTGAAGCTTGACTATAACGTCAGTGGTGCTGACTTTCTCACAAACATCCTAAATCTCTCCCAGTCTAGTGTGCTAAATTTGCTGACTTCCTCCCTTAGTCTTTCTGAATTCTGGCATTTTTAAGTGTATATATTCTTTTCCTCATATTTACTTAACAGTGTGGGCTGGAAACCACTCCGTGTCCATTCATAATGATCTTCCTCAGTCTGTTTTTATACCATTGGATTGTTTTAAAACCTTTGTAGTAAGTTGTGGATTTGGTTCTATGTTAGGAATTTTTTGTCGCACTTGTTTTGCCAGAAGCTTTAGGATGCCGTGGCATTCTCTTTCATCACAAGTCACTGACGAGGAGCTCTTAGCTTCGCATTGGAACAGGGTCTTTGCTGTGCTGTTTGCCTTTTCCCAGCTCCCAGGTTGAATCAGCAGTTAGTTTTGCCATTCATGGGGCTAGATCTCCTACCTCATGGTGGGCCATGCTGGGCTTTGGGAGAGAGCCTGGGTAGGACTTGGGACACTTAAATCCAGAAGAATTCTGAGAATCCTTGTCATGAACTCAAGTAAATGATCGTGGTTGCTCTTCCCTGTCCTCCGCAGGCCCGCCAGCTCATCCTGCAGTATGGCTTGACCCTCAGTGATCTGGATCGACACCCAGAGGTAAGATTGCCACTCAGAGGCAGACCACTGCGTATTTCTTTCCGCTTTTTTATGGCTGTCACTTGTTCATGGGCTCCAGATATCTTGTAAAATCTAGGGAAGATGTCAGTTAGTTGTACCAAGTTTTCTCCTGGGACCTTGAGTATTAATTTTGGCTGAGGTCACAAGTGCCGAGGTGGTTCCTTTCCACCACATTCCTTGTGGTTTAACCGCAAGGGCTCAGTGTGAATGTAGTGAAGGGAAGTGGGCAAGCCCAGGGCTATATCCAGGGCTTCCTGAGGTCTTTGTGCAGAGGTATAAGAGTGAGCCAGCTCATGGAGCTTGCCACTAAGTGGAAATAAGGAAGAATCATCTGAGGCAGCCATGGACATTTGAAAATATTAAAACTAAGCAGAACTGAAGGAAATAGAGACACAAAAAACCCTTCAAAAAATCAATGAATCCAGGAGCTGGTTTTTTGAAAGGATCAACAAAATTGATAGACCGCTAGCAAGACTAATAAAGAAAAAAAGAGAGAAGAATCAAATAGACACAATAAAAAATGATAAAGGGGATATCACCACCGATCCCACAGAAATACAAACTACCATCAGAGAATACTACAAACACCTCTACGCAAATAAACTAGAAAATCTAGAAGAAATGGATACATTCCTCGACACATACACTCTCCCAAGACTAAACCAGGAAGAAGTTGAATCTCTGAATAGACCAATAACAGGCTCTGAAATTGTGGCAATAATCAATAGTTTACCAACCAAAAAGAGTCCAGGACCAGATGGATTCACAGCCGAATTCTACCAGAGGTACATGGAGGAACTGGTACCATTCCTTCTGAAACTATTCCAATCAATAGAAAAAGAGGGAATCCTCCCTAACTCATTTTATGAGGCCAGCATCATTCTGATACCAAAGCCGGGCAGAGACACAACCAAAAAAGAGAATTTTAGACCAATATCCTTGATGAACATTGATGCAAAAATCCTCAATAAAATACTGGCAAACCGAATCCAGTTGCACATCAAAAAGCTTATCCACCATGATCAAGTGGGCTTCATCCCTGGGATGCAAGGCTGGTTCAATATACGCAAATCAATAAATGTAATCCAGCATATAAACAGAGCCAAAGACAAAAACCACATGATTATCTCAATAGATGCAGAAAAAGCCTTTGACAAAATTCAACAACCCTTCATGCTAAAAACTCTCAATAAATTAGGTATTGATGGGACGTATTTCAAAATAATAAGAGCTATCTATGACAAACCCACAGCCAATATCATACTGAATGGGCAAAAACTGGAAGCATTCCCTTTGAAAACCGGCACAAGACAGGGATGCCCTCTCTCACCGCTCCTATTCAACATAGTGTTGGAAGTTCTGGCCAGGGCAATCAGGCAGGAGAAGGAAATAAAGGGTATTCAATTAGGAAAAGAGGAAGTCAAATTGTCCCTGTTTGCAGACGACATGATTGTATATCTAGAAAACCCCATCGTCTCAGCCCAAAATCTCCTTAAGCTGATAAGCAACTTCAGCAAAGTCTCAGGATACAAAATCAATGTACAAAAATCACAAGCATTCTTATACACCAACAACAGACAAACAGAGAGCCAAATCATGGGTGAACTCCCATTCGTAATTGCTTCAAAGAGAATAAAATACCTAGGAATCCAACTTACAAGGGATGTGAAGGACCTCTTCAAGGAGAACTACAAACCACTGCTCAAGGAAATAAAAGAGGACACAAACAAATGGAAGAACATTCCATGCTCATGGGTAGGAAGAATCAATATCGTGAAAATGGCCATACTGCCCAAGGTAATTTACAGATTCAATGCCATCCCCATCAAGCTACCAATGACTTTCTTCACAGAATTGGAAAAAACTACTTTAAAGTTCATATGGAACCAAAAAAGAGCCCGCATTGCCAAGTCAATCCTAAGCCAAAAGAACAAAGCTGGAGGCATCACACTACCTGACTTCAAACTATACTACAAGGCTACAGTAACCAAAACAGCATGGTACTGGTACCAAAACAGAGATATAGATCAATGGAACAGAACAGAGCCCTCAGAAATAATGCCGCATATCTACAACTATCTGATCTTTGACAAACCTGAGAAAAACAAGCAATGGGGAAAGGATTCCCTATTTAATAAATGGTGCTGGGAAAACTGGCTAGCCATATGTAGAAAGCTGAAACTGGATCCCTTCCTTACACCTTATACAAAAATCAATTCAAGATGGATTAAAGATTTAAACGTTAAACCTAAAACCATAAAAACCCTAGAAGAAAACCTAGGCATTACCATTCAGGACATAGGCGTGGGCAAGGACTTCATGTCCAAAACACCAAAAGCAATGGCAACAAAAGACAAAATTGACAAATGGGATCTAATTAAACTAAAGAGCTTCTGCACAGCAAAAGAAACTACCATCAGAGTGAACAGGCAACCTACAACATGGGAGAAAATTTTCGCAACCTACTCATCTGACAAAGGGCTAATATCCAGAATCTACAATGAACTCAAACAAATTTACAAGAAAAAAACAAACAACCCCATCAAAAAGTGGGTGAAGGACATGAACAGACACTTCTCAAAAGAAGACATTTATGCAGCCAAAAAACACATGAAGAAATGCTCATCATCACTGGCCATCAGAGAAATGCAAATCAAAACCACTATGAGATATCATCTCACACCAGTTAGAATGGCAATCATTAAAAAGTCAGGAAACAACAGGTGCTGGAGAGGATGCGGAGAAATAGGAACACTTTTACACTGTTGGTGGGACTGTAAACTAGTTCAACCATTGTGGAAGTCAGTGTGGCGATTCCTCAGGGATCTAGAACTAGAAATACCATTTGACCCAGCCATCCCATTACTGGGTATATACCCAAATGAGTATAAATCATGCTGCTATAAAGACACATGCACACGTATGTTTATTGCGGCACTATTCACAATAGCAAAGACTTGGAACCAACCCAAATGTCCAACAATGATAGACTGGATTAAGAAAATGTGGCACATATACACCATGGAATACTATGCAGCCATAAAAAATGATGAGTTCATATCCTTTGTAGGGACATGGATGAAATTGGAAACCATCATTCTCAGTAAACTATCGCAAGAACAAAAAACCAAACACCGCATATTCTCACTCATAGGTGGGAATTGAACAATGAGATCACATGGACACAGGAAGGGGAATATCACACTCTGGGGACTGTGGTGGGGTCGGGGGAGGGGGGAGGGATAGCATTGGGAGATATACCTAATGCTAGATGACACATTAGTGGGTGCAGCGCACCAGCATGGCACATGTATACATATGTAACTAACCTGCACAATGTGCACATGTACCCTAAAACTTAGAGTATAATAAAAAAAAAAAAAAAAAAAAAAAAAAAAAAAAAAAAAGAAAATATTAAAACTAAGTTTTGTGGTAAAGACTAACACAGGGGCAGTCCAGAGGAGACTGATGTTGGTGAGGGTGAGCAACATCACAAACCCTACCTGGCATTTTCTGAGCCATTATTATGTACCAGCTTTTGTGCTAAGTGCTGTACCTGTATTAAACTGTTTTATTTCCAGTATTCTTGAAGATAGGATACCACAATTTTCCCATTTTATAGATGTGAAAAAGGCACAGAGAGGGTAAGTCATATGGCTAATGCCACAGGTTTTAAGTGGCAGAATCAGAATTTGAACTCAGGCACATCTTTTCTAGACTAATGCTAGTTTGAGTTTTTTGGGAAGAGGTAAAGTTTGAATTGGGCTATAAAGGCCAGGTGGCAGGGGCAGGAGAGAACATTCCAGAGAGTGGTAGACGGGAACCACAGGAACAGCTCCATGTGGGCAAATGGACACTGCTCGGACTGGCTGGGGTGATAGGACAGAGTGAGTGTACTGCGTTGGTGCATAGTGGGGAGAGGGAAAGCAAAGCTGGATAGGAAAAGTGGGGTGGTTTTATGGCACCTGGAAAACCAGGCAGGTTGAGACTTGATGGTGATCTGGTAGCCCATGTTTCTGTCATACACATGGGCCTCACAGGGGTTAGTAAGAACTATGGGAAGGACTTGGGGATTTCTGTGGGCAGAGCCAGGGGCACAGGCTGATCATGTGTTCAGCAGCTGTGAAGAGAGTGGTTTGGGCTGAAGGTGGGCCTGGAGCCCAGACAGAAAAGGTTGCCACTTTCCATACCCCTGAGAATTGCCAGAGTGCAGCCTGGCTCTGGGGTTAATGCAGGCCTGGGGAGAGCAGTGCCTGCTGTAACTTCAGACAAAGGCTGGAATCTGTAAAAGGCTGGAAGCAAGCATGACCCATATGAAACTGTATTTTTTATACCTGTGCCATGCCAGCCATGCCAAGCAACTTAGTAACTGCACCATGAATAGAATTTGTACCCTGCATACTACTTGCTGTCTTTAAAAATATACTCGGGGTTCCTACAATGTCCATGCAGAGTACCATGAGTGATGAGAAATGTGTAACTTTCTTGATTTTGATTTTTAAAAGCTAGATGAACCCATTTGCCCCTCAACTGCTTTTGGGGCTTGTGGTGGAGCTTCCTAATAGAGGGAGCGGGCAAGCCCAGACAAGTGGGGTCTTAGTGGCAATGCCCCAGTAATTTCCAGTTCGGGAACTCATCAGCTTTCTTGTGTATCTCTTCATTTGATCCTCATGTCCACTTAAAATTGCCTGTGAGGTTGCTCACAGTTAGTACAGAGACTTCTGAATCAGTTTTTTTTTTTTGCATTTTTCCCACCCCCAGTGGAATTTAGTAGCACAGATATTACTGTATTGGCCCTTTGGTGGGACAAAACTCATTGTAATGTCTAAGATTTTTTATTCCCCCACCAAAAACTAATTTTTGCCTCTTGGGGGAGGTGATAGCACCCACACTGAGAACACGTGCTCTAAATAACGCCAGCTTGTCCACAGAGAAGCCCATCAATGAGAAAAGGGAACATAGTCTTGTGGGTAAGAACTGCATCCCGGTTAGAGTCCCAAGTCCTGTGCTGTTTCCCTTTGATCCTAGTGGAGCAGCTTAACCTCTTGTAGCTCAATTTCTTGATTTGCTAAATGGGAGTACTAGAATTAGCTAACAGGGCTGCTGAGTATCTGATGAGCTATCGCATGCTCAGGCAATTAGCAGAGGCTCCCCTCGAGTGGTTTTTGTATCTTTACCTTTCCCCCAATACAGATCGACCTTGCCATCGATGGTGCTGATGAAGTAGATGCTGATCTCAATCTCATCAAGGGTGGCGGGTGAGTGTTGTGGGGGCTTCTGTGCTAAAGAGTATCTGCCAGTTAATCCTTAGCAAAGCAAGATGGATACAGAATAAACAAATTGCCACTGTGACATATGCAAGTTTGTCTTTCTCCTAGGATATTGATAGCATATGGCCTTAGACCCAACTCAGCATTTCTGGTCATTAGCAGCAATTTACTGACAAGGAACCTGGGCCTCTTTAGTGAGATCATTCATCGTAATGGATTCTCTGTGGATTTGTGTTCTTTTGTTGATTCAGACTTTAAAAACTTAAGGCCAAATCAAAATAATACTGGGCTAGATTGTTAGGTCTGTGGGCACCAGTGTGTGACTTTTGCTTTAAAGCTGTGCTTACTTCTGTGAGCAGTTAGGGATATTATTTGTTCCTTTGGAAAACATTAATTGGGTATTTCTTAAGTGCTGATTTGGGGAGTGGTGGGAATGGTGAGTTGAAAAAGGTGAAATCCTGTTCTGCTGGTTCTTATAATCAAGCAGACTATTGAGTGATGCAGCATTTGTTTAAAATCACACTTTACTGTTTATTAGATTTTCTTACGTGTTACTTAATCCTGTCAACTGCAGATGTGAGATAGTTTAGCTGCTAAACCCTAGAGGTAGACCTGGACCCAAATCTGCTGATTCAGTGCTCTGGGCTCTCTCCACTTCATCACCCTCATTGGCAAGTAGTCGACTGGGCGGGTTGTTCAAAGCGTGCCCTCCTCAGCTTCTAGACCCTCCCATTCATGCCATGTCCAGATGACATCTCCCTGAACACAATGCTCCCTCTCAGACACATTTGGATGGAATTATGCCTGGCCTGAATGGGAACCTTGTCTGCTTTCTAGGTTTCTCCCAGACAGGGGTAATGTTTCTAGAGTCCATTTACTAGGAGCAGCATGATGGGACTGGGGATGTCCCTTTAAAAATTAAAAGTTAAGTTTCTCTTTAAGTGCCAGGATTGAGTGGATTTGGGATTCCTGTATTTAACCTTAGTTCCCAAACTGAGATTTTTGTCTTACTCCTGTGTTCCTTTGCTTCTTTCCTGCAGAGGCTGCCTGACCCAGGAGAAGATTGTGGCTGGCTATGCTAGTCGCTTCATCGTGATCGCTGATTTCAGGTACAGTTTCTGGTGTCTGAGCTGCCAACTGAGGAGGTAGATTGGATCCCCAAGCCGCATCCCCATTTTTGTGAAAGAGGAAATGGAGAGCTGCAGGGACTGTCTGACTTTCTGAGACTGATGGCTAGGACTTAGTACAGTGTCTAGGAGACCTTATGTTCTGCTTGTAGGCTGAAGGTAGATGTTGCTAATCACAGCACTGTTATCCGCAGCCAGGATCTCTAGCATCGTTTCATGTGTTCAGTGGAACGGGGAAACAGCTTGTCACCCTGTTAGCAGAGCATGCTCTCATGTGTCATGTCACTCACTGGATCCTCACAGGGAGCCTCAGAGGAGGCAGGGTGTGCCCTGCCCACGGGCAGTGACTCAGCATACCCTGCTTCTTCTCGGGTCAGGGTTTGCCGCAGGTGACTGGTGTCATTGATAGTCTTTGACCAGGCTCTCAGATGCTCCTTCAAGGAATGTAGTCAAAAGCACTTGTGCTGAGCATGTTAATTTCAAATATGTGTATGTGTATATTTACTTGTGAAATATAGCCACAGGACGAGCATAAATATTAAACACCTACATACCCACAAGCCAGCAATATCAGATTTTAACATTTTTGTCATATTTATTTCAAATAGCTCTTTTCCTATATAGTGAAACAGCTAATTCATTTGTAGCCCCATGTATATTGCCCTTGATCACTTTCCTTGCCTTCCCACCATCTCATTAACCCTGTTCCTGAATTTGGTGTTTGCCTGTACTGTTGAGCTTATTTACTTTTATTGTACTTTCTGACTCCTTCTTTCCAGGAAAGATTCGAAGAATCTCGGGGATCAGTGGCACAAGGGAATCCCCATCGAGGTCATCCCAATGGCCTATGTCCCAGTGAGCCGAGCTGTGAGCCAGAAGTTTGGGGGCGTGGTTGAACTTCGAATGGCTGTCAACAAGGCTGTGAGTGGCCTGGTTGGGCCGGGGGTGTGCTGGGTGCACTCAGGTTTTCAGTGTGGTGTCCTCCCTTCTGTTGCAGTTAGGTCATGTGTGCTTCCACCAGGCAATTGGCTTTTATTTATTTTTAATTGATGTATTTGTTTATTTTCGGAGAATTGGCCTGTTAGTTTCTGCATTCAAACTCGTGTAGACAAGACCACACTTAATACAGTGCATCTCCTTTGTACAGATAGGGGAATGATTCTTTCTCTGTGCCTCAGGTTCTGACATCCCACAGGTGATCTGACCTTTGTGCCTGAGGCCTGGAACACCCTGATTGGCAGCTGTGAAACCCTGGCTTTGGGAACTGCTTGGAACAGAAAGTTTTTTAGGTTCCATGGTGTAACTTCTTTTCTCCCTCTTCTTTCCTCTCATTCTGTGGTTAAATGTGACAAGAAGTAGAATTTCTTGGGGTGTGTGAACTCTTCCCAAGGAATACTCTCCAGATGGTCCAAATTTTTCGTGTTTCTCTTTAGCTTCTAAAGTGGATTGCGCATAACTTTTCCCTCTTTTTATACTTAAGTAAACAAATAAGCAAAGACAGCAATCCAGAAGCTAACCACAGTTACATATGTAACTACGTAAACATTTTGGAGGATATCGAAAAGATCTGTCACCCTACCCTGATACATTTTTATTTTGATATATTTTGTCCCCACTGTTTCTGTGACTTTTAAAAAAAAACCGTAGTTCTGTTCCTAGTGGTTGTACAGTGCTCTGACTGACGTTCAGATTGTCGGCACATGAAAGAAATGTAGCACAAAATGGAGAAGTCGTTCAACCTTGACCCTGTCAGAGTTCTTATTTGAAAGCCACATTGCTGCTAGTGTTCTTATTGTGTTTTGGATTCTGTTTCTTGCCCTTTTTCTTATTAGCCAAGTAGTAACTTAAGGAAGCAGATAAGAACAATGAATTTTGGACTAAAGGAAGTAAGAACAATGAACCAGAAATCAGATAGGAATGTGGTGATAATTGTGACATGGTCACATAGTCATAGTGGGAGCTCATGTGAGTAAAAATAGCTTGATACATTTGTTAAGAGGCTTGTATCCTCTCTCTCTCTCTCAAAAAAAAAAAAAGACTACAATCTAAGTCTTTCTGATTTCAAAGCTCCTGCTTATTACCACTTCACAGCACACCTAGAAAGCATAAGGTGGGAGCAGGTTAAAATGCATACTTGTCTTTGGTTATCCCCTCTACTTTCCTGTCCTTCTCTGCCTACCTGTATCTGCATCCTTGGTCACTGTGGAAAATTATCTTCTAGGGTCCTGTGGTGACAGATAATGGGAATTTTATCTTGGACTGGAAGTTTGACCGGGTACACAAATGGAGTGAAGTGAATACAGCTATCAAAATGATCCCAGGTAACATGAGTGGTGTTCACCAGTCATATACACACCCATGGCCTTCATAACTGGCCCCTACATCTGGCCACAGAAGGCACAATGGACATGGGCTTTGTAAGGCTTGGTTGGAAAGAAGAATTCCCTTTATACCATGTTTGGGTTTTTAACTTCACCTCCTTTGCCGTATTCCCTTCCCCCAACAATTGTTGCTTACCTAGCAGCTTTGTTGCTTGTGCATTTCACAGCCTGTTTGAGTTAAGATAGTCCTGAAGCTGATGGAAGTTCAGAGGGGACTTGCCTTGAAATAAGGCCATCGTCTCTGGGTAGAACCTTTCCTTCCAGGAGCTGGACTACAGCCTTTTTTTGTGGGTTCTCTTCTTAAGTAGCGGGGAAAATGACTCAGTTAATCCACATTCATTGGATGCATGCCAAAGGCAAGATGTTGTGCTGTGTGTTACAGGGGATACTTCGATCTGGAGGACTTGTAATCTGTCCTCAAGGAGAATTGATGTAAACCTGGGGAAATCTGTGTGTGTGTGTAGAAGCCATGCCTACAAATAAGATAGAATGTGCTCAATTCTACTAGAGGAATACCAAGAGTCTAGAGTGCACAAAAAGTTTCTTTTTGGGAGAATGTGAGGATGTTCTATGGTGTAGAGGTGGTTTTTCATCCATGCCTTGGCATAACATAAGTTAAACACGGTGCTAAACGTCTAAAAATATTTCCTTTGATTCCCACTTTGATGAGGTAGTTACAGAGGAGGGCACTGGCTGAGAAAGGTTAAGCCATTTGCCCAAAGACAGCACCAAGATGGGCACCCTAAGTTGTCTGCCACTAGACCCTGAATGTTTAATGCTTACTTGCTGAAGCACCAGGCGAGGAGAGGCTGTGTGAAATGAACATTTAGAGCCTTGGGGAGCTTCTAATGCAGCTGTGCCAGGGAATGATGGAATAAGAGCCAGGA
This sequence comes from Homo sapiens, assembly GCF_000001405.40. Taxonomy (NCBI): domain Eukaryota; kingdom Metazoa; phylum Chordata; class Mammalia; order Primates; family Hominidae; genus Homo; species Homo sapiens. The sequence goes on from NC_000002.12 coordinate 88,739,024, forward strand.
TGGCCCTGCGTGAAGGATGGGTGGGCAGTGTAGAGATGAGTTATGAGGCTGGAGTCCTGGTTGAGGCTGGAGTCCTGGTCCAGGCTAGAGGAGGTATCAAGGGCTCGTACAGGGGGATTAAAAGGAGGAGGCAGTCTTGAGAGGTATCAGCTTCTTAGGATATTGCGAGACTAAGAGGCTAACGGAATATTCCCTATCATGGAGTATTCTTGGGCCAGAACTGGCTGACAGGACCTTTCAGGCCAGTTTAATGGAGCAGACTATTCTGGATAAGGATCCTAACCCAGCTGTGCTCTGGCGTGTTACCTTTTAGCAGTTAGTTAACATCTCTGTGCCCGAGTTTCTTCCTATGTAGAAGGGGCTAGTTAATTCTAGTGCCTACCTTATAAGGTTGTTGGGTGGATTAAATGAGTTAAAACCGTGCCCATTGCAGAAGGGAAAGTGTTTGTTGAATGAATAAATCCCTTGAAAGAAAGGTACTATTGTTATTTTTAATTAAATATACTAAGATTCTAAGATACACCTGTGCTAGTTGGGATTTAAAATAGTGTGAATATAAGCTGTGTAATGAAAAGCTAGTTCTTCCAGTTCTACTTTATTTATTAATTTTTTGAGATAGGGTCTCGCTCTGTCACCCAGAGTGGAGTGTAGTGGTGTGATCATGGTTTACTGCAGCATTGACCTCCTGGGCTTAAACAGTTCTCCCATTTCAGCGTCCCCAGTAGATGGGACTGCAGACACACACCACCAGGACCGGCTAAGTTTTGAATTTTTTATAGAAACGGGGTTTCACGATGTTGTCCAGGCTGGTCTTGAACTGGGCTCAAAGTCTCCCTTGGCCTCCCAAAGTGCCAGGATCACAGGTGTGAACCGCTGTGCCTGGCCCCAATTCTACTTTAGTTTGTTATTTTAGTTTAGTTTGTTATTGATAGTCTTTTACCACGTTAAGTCAAAAACATGAGTTGGCTTATACTCATTTTCTTGGTTAGTGTTCCCTCTTTAGTGGAAGAACTAAACAGCCAAGAAGGTAGGAGGAAGAGAAGATTTGCAAATCACTGTTAGTAAAATGGGAGAACTTGCCCTTGGTGATAATGCAAACAAACCCAGGGCCCCAGGAGGAAAGGGCTCACCAATGTGGCTGCCGTATAGGTGGAGTTCTTGCAGTGCCCACTAGGTGTCACTCTTGCTCCTGGTTAGACCTTGGCTGCTTAAGGTTCTGAAATGTCCTTTGTAAGGAAATTTCCCTCATATGTGATTCTTCAAAAAAAAGTATGTAGAAGCTGCGTCCTAAAGACGTTCAGAGTTTTGTTAGGAACTTAAAGTGAGGAAAATGATAAAAGAGGCTAGCTATTAAATCATATAATGTGATATCTACAGGACAATCAGAGTGGTTTGCTGTATCTTTTCTCATTTTTTCTTTTCCTGATTGAGTCCATTAGATTCACGGCTGGACCAGTATCAGGAGAATAGAAGTAGGGCGAGTTTCCCTGTTTATCTCTGTTACCATGTGCATTCGTACACAGTATGTGAGGACGCTTAGAAAACAACTCCCTTTGATGTTTTGTTGTGTTCCACCCAGAGCAGAGTGACTGAATTGAAGGGCCAGGGCTACTGGAGTTCTTTCCCCTAGGTTCACATTTAGCATCCTCTGCTCTTTCCACTATATTTTATCGGGGAGTTGGGGGAGGTCAGTCACACCCAGCATCTCAGTAATTGAAAGAGAAGTTGCTCTAAAGTCTTACCTTAGACTGCTGCCCATTCATCTCTGCTCTTTCTTTAAAGCCTTTTCTGAACCTGATTTAACTGTTTTTTGGATCAGTGGATGCTTTCTCCTTATATTGCAGACATTTTGAAAACGGGTCTTGAGTGGCTACTTTGCTCATCTTTGGAAGGATCCAGTTGCATAGGCACAGTTTGGTGCCAGGGACCTTTATTTGTGTTCAGCAACTCTTTGCTCTGCCTGTTGGCTTTTCGTCACTCGATCACTACTCCGTTTCATTTGTTTATTGGGAGCTGTCTTTGGGAGTTTTTTTTTAATTTTTAAAATTATTTCAATAGTTGTTGGGAAACAGGTGATGTTTGGCTACATGGATAAGTTCTTGAGTGGTGATTTCTGAGATTTTGTTGCACCCATTACCCAAGCAGCGTACACTGTACCCAATGCATAGTCTTTTCTCCCTTGTCCCACTCTCACCCTTTCCCCTGAGTCCCCAGAGTCTGTTGTATCATTCTTACACCTTTGCGTCCTCATAGCTTAGCTCCCAGTTATAAGTGAGAACATACGATGTTTGGGTTTCCATCTCTGAGTTACTTCACTTAGAATTATGGTCTCCAACTCCATCCAGGTTGCTGTGAATGCCATTATTTCATTCCTTTTTATGGCTGAGTAGTATTCCATGGTGTGTGTGTGTATGTGTATATATATCACATTTTCTTTATCCACTCATTGGTTGATAGGCATTTAGGCTGGTTCCATATTGTTGAAATTGCAAGTTGTTTTGCTATCAACATGTGTGTACAAATGTCCTTTTCATATAATGACTTCTTTTCCTCTGGGTAGATACCCAGTAGTGGTTTTGCTGGATCAAATAAATGGTAGTTCTACTTTTGAGTTTTTTAAGGAATCTTCACACTGTTTTCCACAGTGGTTGTACTAGTTTACATTCCCACCAGCAGTGTGAAAGTATTCCCTTTTCACTGCATCCATGCCAACATCTATTATTTTTTTATTCTTGCGGGAGTAAGGTGGTATTGCATTGTGGTTTTGATTTGCATTTCCCTGATCATTAGTGATGTTGAGCATTTTTTCATATGTTTGTTGGCCATTTGTATATCTTCTTTTGAGAATTGTCTATTCATGTCCTTGGCCCACTTTTTGATGGGATTTTTTTTCTTGCTAATTTGAGTTCCTTATATATTCTAGATATTAGTCCTTTTTCAGTTGTATAGATTGTGGAGATTTTCTCCCACTCTGTGGGTTGACTGTTTACTCTGCTGACTGTTCCTTTTGTTGTGCAGAAGCTCTCTATTTTAATTAAGTTCCACCTACTTATCTTTGTTTTTGTTCCATTTGCTTTTGGGTTCTTCGTCATGAAATCTTTGCCTAAGCCAGTGTCTAGAAGGGATTTTTCAGTGTTGTCCTCTAGAGTTTTTATAGTTTCAAGTCTTCAATTTAAGTCTTTGATCCATCTTGATTTGATTTTTTGTATAAGAGATGAGAATCCAGTTTCATTCTTCTATATGTGGCTTGTCAGTTATCCCAGCACCATTTGTTGAATAGGGTGTCCTTTCCCCCTTGATATTTTTGTTTGCTTTGTTGAAGATCAGTTGGCTGTAAGTATTTGGCTTTATTTCTGGCTTCTCTATTCTATTCCATTGGTCTATATGCCTGTTTTTATACCAGTACCATGCTGTTTGGTGACCATGACCTTATAGTGTAGTTTGAAGTCAGGTAATGTACTGCTGCCAGATTTGTTCTTTTTGCTTAGTCTTGCTTTGGCTATGTGGGCTCTTTGCTTTTCCATATGAATTTTAGGATTTTTTTTCTAGTTCTGTGAAGAATGATGGCGGTATTTCGATGGGAATGGCATTGCATTTGTAGAATGCGTTTGGCAGTATATGGTCATTTTCACAATACTGATTCTACCCATCCATGAGCATGGGATGTGTCCCATTTGTGTTGTCTGTGGTTTTTTTCAGCAGTATTTTGTAGTTTTCCTTGTAGAGATCTTTCACCTCCTTGGTTGGGTATACTCCTAAGTATTTTATTTTTTTTGCAGTTGTCATAAAAGGGGTTGAGTTCTTGATTTGATTCTCTACATGGTTGCTGTTGGTGTATAGCAGTGCCACTGATTTGTGCACATTGATTTTTGTATCCTGAAACTTTACGGAATTCATTTATCAGATCTAAGAGCTTTTTGGATGAGTCCTGAGGGTTTTCTAGGTATATGATCATATTATTAGTGAACAGCAACCGTTTGACTTCCTCTTTACTGATTTGGATGCCCTTTGTCTTGTCTGATTGCTCTGGCTAGGGCTTCAATAGTATGTTGGATACTGGGTATGTGAAACGGGGTATCCTTGTCTTGTTCCAGTTCTCAGGGGGAATGCTTTCAACTTTTCCCCTTTCAGTATAATACTGGCTGTAGGTTTGTCATAGGTGGCTTTTATTACCTTTAGGTATGTCCCTTCTATGTTGATTTTGCTGAGGGTTTTAATAATAAAGCAATGCTGGATTTTGATAGATGCTTTTTCTGCATCTATTGAGATGATCGTATGATTTTTGTTTTAGATTGTTTATGTGGTGTGTCACATTTGTTGACTTGCATATGTTAAACCATCCCTGCATCCCTGGTATGAAACGCACTCGATCATGGTGTATTATCTTTTTGATATGCTGTTGGATTTGGCTAGCTAGTATTTTGTTGAGTATTTTTGCATTTATGTTCATCAGGGATATTGGTCTGTAGTTTTCTTTTTTTGTTATGATCTTTCCTGGTTTTGGTATTAGGGTAATACTGGCTTCATAGAATGATTTAGAGAGGATTCCCTTTTTTTCCCATCTTTTGGAATAGTTTCAGTAGGATTGCTACCAATTCTTTGAATGTCTGATAGAATTCAGCTGTGAATCCATTTGGTTCTGGACTTTTTTTGTTGGCAGTTTTTTTAATTACTGTTTCAGTGTCGCTGCTTGTTATTGATTTGTTCATAGTTTCTGTTTCTTCCTGCTTTAATCTAAGAGGCTTGTATATTTCCAGATTTTCTAGTTCATGCACATACAGGTGTTCATAGTAGCCTTGAATGATCTTTTGTATTTCTGTGGTATTGGTTGCAGTATCTCCCATTTCATTTGTAATTGAGCTTATTTGGATCTTCTCTCTTCTTTTCTTGGTTAATCTCACTAATGGTCTATCGATTTTATCTTTTCAAAGAACCAGGTTTTTGTTTCATTTATCTTTTTTGTATTTTTTGTTTCAATTTCATTTAGTTCTGCTCTTATCTTAGTTATTTCTTTTCTTCTGTTGGGTTTGAGTGTGGTTTGTTCTTGTTTCTCTAGTTCCTTGAAGTGTAACCTCAGATTATCTGTACTCTTTCAGAGTTTTTGGTTTAGGCATTTAAGGCTATGAGCTTTCCTCTTAGCACTGCTTTTGCTGTATCCCAGAGGTTTTGATAGGTTGTATCACTATTATTATTCAGTTCAAATAATTTTTAAATTTCCATCTTGATTTCATTGTTGACCCAGAGATCATTCAGGAGCAGATTATTTAATTTCCATGTATTTGTATAGTTTTGAGGGTTCCTTTTGGAGTTGATTTCCAATTTTATTCCACTGTGATCTGTGAGAGTACTTGATATAATTTAGATTTTTTAAAATTTATTGAGACTTGTTTTGTAGCCTGTCATGTTGGAGAATGTTCCAGGCTGAAGAAAAGAATATATATTCTGTACTTCTTAGGCGGAAAGTTCTATAGATATCTGTTAAGTCCATTTGCTCCAGAGTATAGTTTAATTTCATTGTTTCTTTGTTGACTTTCTGTCTTGATGACCTGTCTAGTGCTGTCAGTGGAGTACTTAAGTCTCCCACTATTATTGTATTGCCATCTATCTCATTTCTTAGGTCTAGTAGTAACAGTTTTATAAATTTGCGAGCTTTAGTATTAGGTGCATATATATTTAGAATTGTGATATTTTCCTGTTGGACTAATCCTTGTATCATTATATAATGTTCCTCTTTGTCTTTTCTAACTTGTTGCTTTAAAGTCTATTTTGTCTCATAGAAGAATAGCTACTCCTGCTTGCTTTTGGTTTCTGTTTGTGTGGAGTATCTTTTCCCACCCCTTTACAGTAAGTTTATGTGAATCCTTATGTGTTAGGTGAGTCTCTTGAAGACAACAGATACATGGTTGGTGGATTTTTATGCATTCTGCCATTGTGTATCTTTTTATTTTTTTGAGACAGAGTTTCACTCTTGTTGCCCAGGCTGGAGTGCAATGGCATGTTCTTGGCTCACTGCAACCTTCACCTCTCAGGTTCAGGCAATTCTCCTGCCTCACCCTCCTGAGTAGCTGGGATTACAGGTGCCCGCCACCATGACTGGCTAATTTTTTTGTGGTTTTAGTAGAGACGGGGTTTCACCATATTGGCCAGGCTGGTCTCAAACTCCTGACCTCAGGTGATCTGCCTGCCTTGGCCGCCCACCAAGCCTGGCCCATTGTGTACCTTTTAAGTAGAGCATTTAGGCAGTTTACATTCAGCGTTAATATTGAGATATGAGGTATTATTTTATTCATCATGGTAGTTGTCTCCTGGATACCTTGTTTTTTTGCACTGTGATATTGTTTCATAGGTCCTGTGAAATTTATGCTTTAAGGAGGTTCTATTTAGGTGTATTGTGAGTTTTGTATCAAGATTTAGAACTCATTTTAGCATTTCTTGTAGGACTGGCTTGGTAGTGGCGAATTCTCTCAGCATTTGTTTGTCTGAAAATGACTGTATCTCTTCCTTATTTATGAAGCTTAGTTTTGCTGGATACAAAATTCTTGGCTGATAATTAATTTGTTTAAGGAGGCTAAAGATAAGACCCCAATCCCTTCTGGCTTGTAGGGCTTCTGCTGAGAAATCTGCTGTTAATTTGATAGGCTTTCTTTTATAGGTTACCTAATGCTTTTGCCTGGCAGCTTTCAAGATTCTTTCCTTTGTCTTACTTTAGATGACCTGATGACTATATGCCTAGGTGGTGATCTTTTTGCAATGAATTTCCTGAGTGTTCTTCAAGCATTTTTATTTGGATGTCTAGATTTCCAGCAATACCAGGAAAGTTTTCCTCAATTATTCCCTCAAGTAAGCTTTCCAAACTTTTTGATTTCTCTCCTCTCCTTCCTCAGGAACATCAGTTATTCTTATGTTTGATTGTTTAACATAATCCCAAATTTCTTGGAGGCTTTGTTCATTTTTTTGATTCTTTTTTTCTTTGTCTTTCTTGGATTAGGTTAATTTGAAAGCCTTGTCTTCGAGCTCTGAAGTTCTTTTTTTCTACTCGTTCTAATCTGTTGTTGAAATTTCCCAGTGTATTTTGCATTTCTAAAATGTGTCTTTCATTTCCAGAAGTTTGATTATCTTTTCTTTATGATATCTGTTTCTCTGGAGTCCTTTTAAATTTTCTTTAAGTTGGTTTTCACCTTTCTCTGGTACCTCCTTGAGTAGCTTAATAATCAACCTTCTGAATTCTTTATCTGGCAATTCAGAGATTTCTTCTTGGTTTGGCTCCGTTACTGGAGAGCTAGTGTGATCTTTGGGAGGTGCTGTAGAACCTCGTTTTGTCGTATTACCAGAATTTGTTTTCTAGTTCCTTCTCATTTGAGTAGACTGTTTCATTGGAAAGATCTGGAACCCAAGGGCTGCTGTTCAGATTCTTTTGTCCAATGGGGTGATCCCTTGATGGGGTGTTCTTCGCCTTCCCCTAAGGATGAGGATTCTTGAGAGCTGGACTGCAGTGGTTATGCCCTTCTGGGGTTAGCCACCCAGTGCGGCTACTGGGCTCCAGGCTGGTATTGGGGAATGTCTGCAGAAAGTCCTGTGATGTGATCTGTCTTTAGGTCCCCGAGCTGTGGATACCAGCACCTGCTTCGGTGGAGGTGGCAGGAGAGTGAAGTGGACTCTGTGGGAGTCCCTGGTTGTATTTTTGTTTAGTGCACTGGTTTTCTTGAATGCTGGTTTATGCTAGCAGTGAAGTTGCCATGTGGACAGACTCAGGATCTCTGGTTAGCCAGGATGTTGCAGGCGGTGGAATTAGCTGTTGTTTTTCCCTTTTTGGAGCAGGGTTGTTCTGTTACGAGTTTCTGTAGTGGCTTGAGTTGGTTGGCCTTCAGCGAGGAGGTGGTGCTTTCAAGAAAGCATCAGCTGTAGTAGTATAGGGGGGATACAAGCTTGTCTATGTAGGCCAGGATAAGTATTTTGGTTTCTTAGGTAATGGGCAGGGCCATAGAGCTCCCAAGAGTTTATGTCTTTTGTCTTTGGCTACCAGGGCAGGTAGAGAAAAACCATCAGGTTAGGGCAGAGTTAGGTGGGTCTGAGTCAGACTTTCCTTGGGCAGGGCTTGCTGTGGCCACTGTGTGGGGTTGGGGAGTGGTTCTCAGGTCAATGGAGTTATGTTCCCAGGGGGATTATGGCTGCCTCTTCTGCGTCATACAGGCTGCCAGGGAAGTAGGAGAAAGCCGGCAGTGACAGACCCCCACCCAGCTGCCACACAGCCAGCAAGGCCAGTTTCACTCCCGCCATGCCCCACCATGGTGAGCAGGGCTGAGATCTTGCCCCAGACTACAGGCCTCCCTACTGAGAAAGCAAGCAGGCCTCTCAGGCCTCGCCCCTCCCTGCCTGCCTGCACCTTCGGCTGTGGGTTCTTCATTTGTATCTGCACTTCCCATTTGTCCCCCACCGGATTCTGCTCAGGAAAATTTGTGCTCAGTTGAAATTATTACGAAGTTCAGCTAGAAGCTTCCTTCATCCTGTGGCCCCTCCCCAGTTCTGCTGGCTGCCTTTTTTTCCCGAAGGACCCCTGTGAGATAAAGCCAGGGATGGCTTCCCTGGGCTCAAGCTGGGGACTGGAAGTGTCTACAGGGCTCTTCCTGCTGCTGCTTCTACTTTTATAGTTTGCTCAGCTCTCTAAATCCATTTCAGCTCTAGGTAAGATTAAATCCGTCTCCTGTGATCTGGATTTTTCAGGTTCCCCGGTGGGGATGTATGTTCAGAGGCAGACTTTTCCCCCTCTCACACTTTGGGAACTCACAGTTTTTTGGCTGTCTTATGGAGTTTGCAGCAGCAAGCCACTTCTTTCAAAGGGTCTGTGAATTCTTTTGGTTTTCCTGGTATGTTCCTGTGGTGGTTCTTGGAGCAAAAGTTCACAATGTGTGTCTCCACACACTGTTCTGTCTGTCCAAGTGGGTGCTGCACATTAATCCTGTCTTCTATTGCCATTTTCCTGCAAGTTTTCATTGTATTTATCCTTTTGAATTTGTGTAGTTTAAAATTATGAGTTAAACAGTGGCAAGTCCTCTTTGCCACTTTTCCAACCAACTAGTTACCCTATCTGGAGGCAGCCAGTGTTACCAAAATTGTGTGGCCTTTGAGATAGACTTTCATAAACACACAAATTGCAACTCCTCCCGCCCCACCCCTTTTTACACTAGCGGTAGCCTGCTTTATACATGTTCTGTTTCCTGCCTTGCCTGTCTTGGAGATTATTACACATTGGCTTATAAAAGAGCTTCCTTGTTCCTTTTTTTTCTGAATACCTGCATGTATTCCACTTTACCTATGTAACATTATGACTTAACTGGATCACCACTAGTGGTCATTTATGTTTGCAGATTTTTGCTAGCAGGGAATCACTGGATGAAAGGATTAATGTGTCTGTGATTTTTGTTAGATGGTTTCAGATTGCCGTCTGTAGCTTGTATTCACTTAGCCTTCTACCAACAGTGTGTGCAGGTATCTGTTTCCCTGCATACCTGGTCCATTATACCTTTTCTCTTACAGTTAAAGTGTTATGTCATTGAAGTATGTGTGAGTATATGTAAATATTCTTGGTAAAGGTTGTGTGTAGTTGTTAATTTTCACTGCTGAATCATATTCCATCATCTGTATGTGTGTGAAAAAAAGTTTATATCTATTCTACTCTTTTAGTTTTTTCTCTTTCTTTCTTTTTTTGGAGACAGGATCTTGCTCTGTCACCCAGGCTGTAGTACAGTGGCATAATCATGGCTCACTGCAACCTCTGCTCCTGGGCTCAGGCGATTCTCCCACCTCAGCCTCCTGAGTAGCTGGGACTGCAGGCATGTGCCAGCATGCTTGGCTAATTTTTGTATTTTTTGTAGAGCTGCCATCTCTATGTTATGTTTCCCAGGCTGGTCTCGAACTCCTGGGCTCCATCAGCTCCATCTGGAGCTCCATTGAACTCCTGGGCTTCATTCCCAAAGTGCTGGGATTATAGGCATGAGCCACCATACCCAGCCTCTATTCTACTCTTGATGGACATTTGGGTATTATCAGTTTTTAGCTAATAGGAAAAGTGCCACTATCAACATCTTACACATGTCTTTTGATGACCAAATGTATGCCTAACAGTTGTATATCTAGGAGTAGAATTGCTGAGTGGTTAGGTGTGAATCCATCAGCTTGGAAGATGAACATTTCCAAAGTGCTTTTGCCAGCTCAGCTTTCACCATCAATGCGTATGAGTGTCTTTGCATCCCAGCAGAATTTCATTACACTGACTTCAGTGTGTGTGTAGTGATATCTTGTAATATTAATTTGTATTTCCTTTCAGTGAATGATTTTGAGCATCTTTTAAAATGTTTATTGGCCATTTTGGGTAGCTTCTTTTGTGAGGTACTTCTTCAAGTCTTTTGCCCATTTTTCTATGGGGATTCTGTCTTTTTCTTGATGATTTATAAATTGTTTATATTTTTGATATGAGTCCTTTGTCAGGTATATGCTTTGCAAATATCTCCTCCCATTCCGAGGAAATCTTTCAAGGCTGGTGGTATGATTGAAAATAACTGGTAGTGGGGCTCCTTGGCTGGAGTAGTCATGGAGGGTCTCTAGAGGATGACTTGCCATCTGATATGTCTGAAGGACAGAGCTGAGCCAGCCCCTTGAAGTGCTTGACAATGACTGGCTCAGGCAGAGGGAACAGCATGAACAAAGGCCTCAGGGCAGGACAAAGCTTAGCATGTTTGGGTACAGAAAGAAGGCCAAAGTGGGAGGGGAGAAAGAGGTGGCAAGAAGAAATTAAGATAATCAGAATCTCTTTTCATTGCTCTGTGGGAGAAAAAGGCTTTAGATTTGTCATTCGTCCAATGCTGTGTATGACAGTTGCTTCTAGTGACCCTGCAGTCTTTGAGTCTCTTTTTGCTTTGGGAGGCTGAAACAATGTTTCTTTCTGTCCTTTGTCCTGCAGGTGTGGTGGACACAGGCCTATTCATCAACATGGCTGAGAGAGTCTACTTTGGGATGCAGGATGGCTCAGTGAACATGAGGGAGAAGCCTTTCTGTTGACCCTGCAAGGAGCAGAGTGTGTTCACCTTGAGTCTCCAGCCCACAGCCAAGGTGGACGTACCTCTCCAGGAGCCTTTGCCTTAATGTATCTCTGCCTGGACAACTTGTGGTGGGGGGTGGGGGGAAGAGTGGGAGGGGGAGTTAAATCCAGTCTTATGAAGTATTGTTATTAAATGTCTTTTTAAAAAGAGAAATATAAACATATATTTTTACTATTAAAATATTCAGTTTTTTAAATGAAGTAGAACTTGAGTTCATGTTTTATATGAAATATTTACCAAAAAAAAAAAATGAGGTAAACTGTATTTAAAACCTTTGACTTGAGTCTGCTGGTAAAGCTTCTGAATATTGAGTTTGCTGAGAAATAAAAATCAAAACTTCTTTAAGCTGGTAAAGTGAGGGGCCCACCAGCAGTGATCTCCTGATGCCTTACTGGAAACTTTGTTTACTTGTCTGCTACCCTCTGATTTGTTTTTAGTTAGTTTTTATTGTGAGCACACATAGTACCTAGTTACATCTTAAGATCAGGTTTATAAAACTGTGGAGTGGAGCGGTATGGTATGGAATGACTTGGAATGTAAGCTGTCAGGGAGAAAATGTTGTTACACTTTTGCTAAGATCTGGGGGTTTCTTCATATTCCTGCTGTTGGAAGCAGTTGACCAGAAATGCTTGCCAGTACTGCCAAAGCACTGCTGTGAAATGTGAAGTACTTTGTTTTTTTATTTTTAATGATTTTCTTTTTGTTATTAATATTTTTCTCTGTTCCTTTGTTATTACTTGCATGGTTTGGCGTCAGAAGTCCTTACCTCTTTATATTGTTTGCAGGTTTAAATAAAACAGTGTGGTGCCATTTTGACTCTTTTGTCTTTATTGTAGAATTTAAATTTAAATGGCCACAGAAGGAAAGCCAAGATGGGAGAGGAATCAGTTTTGCCCACCCAGCGTACATCAGATCTGTGATAAGGGGTAGAATTCACTCAAGAAATCTTGAACCAAAGAATAGGTAAATACTTTCATTATTTCTGGGAGAGCTATCTTCCAGATATGTCAGTTATCTAAGGAAATATGCCATAGCCCTTTGTCAGGCAAGGTATTAATTTTCTTCATGCATGAAGGGTAACACAGATGAACAAAAGTCACAAATTATCTCCACGTTTTATATTAGTCAAACCTTCTTTAGTCATGGAAGCTGATACGCAGCAAATCATATTGCTGCATTTCCTCATTAGCACCCCCAACCTGAATTTCCTCATTAGCACCCCCAACTCTGTAATCTGCAGACAGTCTGCTTAATAAACAGTTAGCTCTCCAGAAAAGAGCCTCATAACAGGGAAAGGAAAGGCCTGACCAGCTCAGTGAGCATTCTAGACAAGGCTCAAAGGAATCCATCCTGCTGTTAAAGGGTCTTGATGCTGAGAACTCTGATTTCCCCTTGCTAACTTTGCACAATACTTGGAACAGTCATTTCCCTCATTTTACTGTCTATTTTGATGCTTGGATAATAATGATCAGACATGTTGGCATCTAAATTCTTGCTAAATCAAGTTGTAGAATAAAAGTTAATCAGGAGAGAAGGCATTAAAGATGCTTATTTCTTTCAGAATTCCCTCTTCACTCTGGAGGTGCTCTTTAAAAATAGTTGCCTCACATATTGTTAGGAAGCCTATTGTTAGGAATACTTTATTTTCTTTTAATTTGGGTTATAATTTTTGCACAAAACGGGCACTACATCTTAGCTGAGATCTTGATAGAACTAATTTTTGACATAATCCTTTGAAGCTCTTGTGGCATTGATTAAATTTAGGAATAAAGATAAACAACAAAGTTAAGCTGAATTTCTGAAAAACACCTGCATGCACCACATCACATGTAAATGTTCTGTGGGTTTCACAGGCATTCGCACCTGTGATGGATCTGTAGTTTCTTTGAATGTCGATGTTAGGGTTTTCTTCTCTTGAAGAAAACAAAACACCTGCTATGCTTTAGGCACACATACAGCAAGGTACATTTTGACTAAAGAGTCTTCATTAAAGCTCATTAAATGTGATCTTTCTGGGGAGTTAGATGGAATAAATTAGATGGAAAAAACAATTTTTTTCCTGTGACCCACATGCCAGTACATGTGATTAATGATGAATCTCAGGGGCAAGGGTGAGCTGTAAGTTTGGTTTTTGGGAAACGGTTATAACGAAGGTAAGCAGTCACAATTCTGGAAGGTATCAAAGGAGGAAAATCACTCTGATTTGAATAAAATCTATTCAGTTTGGTTTCAGCTACAACCTCTCATTAAGTTTTTATATTCTTCATTGATCAGACTGTTTGAGCTCCCATCATGGGCCAGTTCGGGAGAGGGTGGGACACAGATGAGTAAGATCCTCCTGTGCTCCAGAGGCTTCCAGCCTGGTGAGCCTGACAGGCACCTTGACAGAAGAATGATGTAGTGGAGGAACATGGTGGGCAGGTGGGCAAGAGATGAGTCATGGGTGGGGAAAGTGGCTGACAGGTGACTCTGGCAACAGCTTCCTATGTGGAGTCTTTGCTGGCTTTGACTCCATTAAAGTGCTTCTAATTAAAGTTAAATAAGCTGTCAGTTTACAGAGGAGAAAGAGGCCTGAATAGCCTAAGTCACTTGTCACAGACAGAGCTGGCTAGTTAGCCAGCCCTGGAACCCCTGGTCTTCAGGTTGGGGGTTTTGTAGTATCTGGGAGGATATTCTTATGTTAGTCTCAAGAAGTGCCAGAGATGGCGTGTTGTGACTTTTTATGGGAAAATTCTAATGGAGACAGGCAAGTTCCACAAAAAAGCTAAGTTTGGAGTAATCGTTCCAAGAAGCTACCTTTTATTTCAGGGACTGGGCTTTGCTTTGATGTACTATTTTTATTGAACTATTATATTTCAGTAGTTTCAAATTTTATCCTAAAGTGGCAAGGAGGGGAAGCAGGGAGCTATCATATTTGAACCTGAATGTGTGCCAGGCACTATTTGGGTTTTTGCCCTGTTAGCTTATGGCATCTTTATGGTGTTTGTTCTTATAATTTGCTGAGTGAGAAACTGAGGCTTAGTTTAAGTAACTTGTTCAGGTCACCCACTGGAAAGTGGACCAGACTTCTCTGGCTCTAGGCCTTGTTCCTACTTCAAGGTGGTTATAGGGCTTTGAATAGTTTGTGTTCCTTAATTGTGTCCATAAGTTGTAACTTGCGTGACAAGTAATTTGTTAAAGTACTGGAGTTAGTGAATGGTTGGGTTGTGTGTGTAGGCTCATGGTTAATCCTATAATAATCCATTTCTGTCTTCTGCTACGCTTTCTTTGGTAGGAGGAAGGAGGAGAACATTGCATATAGCCTCGGGTGGGCCACAAGAAAGTGCCCTTTGTAGAAGTCATCTTTATTTGTCACTCTGGAATGGAACTTGACAACCATTGATTTCTCTCTCTCGTTATCTGTTTCCTTTTTTCCTCCTTTCTACCTATGATTTAGGCACAGTGGCTACCAGAGGCACTGCTAGCCTGTGAAGGGGCATTTATGGCTGAGGACTGTTAATTCCTTTTAGCCAAAGACCATTCAGGAACACAGACACAGTTGAACAAAGTTGGATTTATTTACCCATTGAATAAGGGAAATCACACGCCATGGGAAGCTGCAGTTATCTCAGCATTAGGACTTAGAGGGTTTAGGCCCAAGGAAGCAGAGCTTAGCTCTGGATTGGATACCTTCAGGAAGCAGGGCTACTTCTATAACTGGATATCTTTAACAATTCTTACCTAGAAAGTAAGAAGAATGGAGTGAACCTAAAGCTACCATTGGTAAAGAAGGGGCAGTTACTCATTAATGATGTTGGGCAATTTTTGTGATGTGGACAATATGTTTTGTCTGTGCGATTATAGTCTTGGTTTTGTCTTCATCATGGTCACGGAGTGGCCTTGTCTGATGTTGATACTGGTGAAATTGTGTTTCACATGAGAACATCATGGCCTGGCTGTCGGTGCCAGGCCAGCTTGTAGCAACACTAAGGCCTGACTGATAGAGCCAGGCCAGCTCCCAGCCATCTGGGGCAACATCTCTGTCTCTGAAGATATTGCAGAAGCCCCTAGGATCCAGAGGGCCTGAGCATTCTATAATCAACTCTTCCACCCTTTGACTAACTGATACTGAGTTTGTCAGTTCCTTTGACTAACTGATATTGAGCAGTTGTGTGTACCTGGCACTGGGGTGCAGGAGTCAGGTCCCAGATACCCCAAGATGTCACTCCAGCCCTCAGACTTCACTGGTGCCATGACAACCATTTCTTGTGACTTGCTTCTCAGATGCCTGACTTTGCTCACTTCCTGTTGCACCTGGTAGCTGAAGCTGCCAGATTTAGGATTGCATCAGCCTTCACTCTCCACTAACACAGTAATCAGATGAGCTGAGGTTTTAAACATAGGTTCAATGCCTTTGCTTTTTTAGTAACCGGGTTGTATTGCAGGGCAGCAAAACACTCCAACATAGCTTAGTATTCAAATGTGCCCAAGTTGGCCTCAGCAAATAAACATCTGTAATGGTGTTTTGAGAGGAATGGAAGTGTGACAGTTCACGTGGCCAGTGCAGTGGAGGCAGAATCCAAAGAGGGAAGGAAAAGACTTCCCTGGAAAGGAAAGCCTGGTGTCTGTAGACAATGCATTATGTAGACAGATGAGTAAAATCATTGCTGAAGCCCCATTCTATTATGTCTAATCACTGAGAAACATCTGCTCAGCAGCAAGGTGGGAGAGGAAGCAGCTCGGAACTGAAGTCCTGGCCGGTTGCATCTCTGTCAGCCTCAATGCAGTGGCAATAATATCTCTGAATGCTCTCTGATGGCAGAGCAAATACATTTTGAGAGTACTCAGGTTTGGGGGTTTTCCAGCTTGAGTTTCAAATAGGAGAATGGCGTGCATCCTCATTTATTTCAGAAGCTGTTCTTAGTGGAGGGTGAGACCAGTTTCCAGTCACCGATGAGTTCTGAAGGCTCCAGGGCTTGGTTCTCTGGGCTTAGCTGCATCTGGCCCCTGTTCCTCTGTGCCAGTGATGCTGCCACTGGTTTCTTTGTGAACCCATGAGAAGCACTCACGAGGCAAGAGCCCACAAGGAGCTGGACCCAGAGCAGCACAGGTGTGAATAGAAACAGCACTGCCTGAGAGAAATGCCAGCCACATAATCTTAAATGTTCTGGTCTCCACACTGGAAAAGTTAAGAGAAACAGGTAAAATTAAGTTTAGTAAAATATTTTATTTAACACAAAATATCTAAAATATTACTATTTTAACACATAAGGAGTATATCATATTTTTTCTTTGTACGAAGTCTTCAAAATGCCATGTGTACTTAACTTCGGCACATCTCATTTTGAACTGACCACTTTCCAAGTGCTCCATGGTCACTCATGGCGAGTGGCTACGGCATCGGAGAGCATGGAGCTAGAATTCAAGGGGTACACGCGTAGCCCCTGTTCTGGCTTATTTAAGGCTCTGATTTCTTGGAGCAAGTCTGGAGTTCTATAGCTTTAAGATGTTTCTAGAACCCACAGAGAGTTGAGTCTAGTGGAAAGCTACCCCAGGGAGGTCCACTCAGTACCCTCAGTTTGAACTGAAACCTTCATCTGTGCTTCCAGCAGATGAGCCCTTCATTAGGCACCAAGTCACTTAGTCCTGGTTGATGGATTGCCTGCTTTGCTGTCCCCAACTGACCACCAGTCTATCTATGACCAGACCCTGAAAGGCAGGGACCAGACCATGTCACCTCCTCTAGGAAGCCACCCTTGACTACCAAGCCCCCAGCATACCTCCCTTAGGGTCACTCTCCACTTTCATTGTCTCTTTTTGTCTCTTCCCTGCCTCCTGTTGGAACTCTGAGTTCCTGCAGGCAGGACTGTGCCCTGAGGTCTCTGTCCCTGGAGTAAAGCACGGAGCCTGGCATAAAGCAAGTGCTTGGTACATGTCACTGACTCACTTGAGAAAGGAGGAGAGGGCTGCTGGACACACCACTCACTAGCTGCTCACAGCCTCAGCTTCCTGGGACAGATGCCCATGAAGGTGGCACCGCCTGCTGCCTTCTGGGCCTTTCACTGTGGCCCAGCCACAGACCAGCATTCCTGCCAGGAGCCTGAACCAAATGGTGACAGACGTGTATTTGTTTCATCCTCACCTATTTCCTGCTCCATCACCTCCCAGGCCCCAGAAATTCTCCCAGTAGGGTAGGGAGCAACCTTCCCTCAGGATTCCCCGGGAAGGCTTTTCCCACCACCCTGCCTCCTCCCTGACCCCACTGGCACCCCTTGTCATCCTGAGATGCCCCACTGCCCTGGTACATAGGACACACTACTAAAATATGTGCTGTCAGAGAGGATGGTGCTCAAATTAATACACATGCCCCTCCGTACCTCCCCCAATATCACTGGGGCAGAGAGAGAGTCCAGATGGGCAGTGTTGGGGGGAGGCTGGTGGGGGGATCTGTGAATAGTGCCGAGGTGAAAAAGCAAAGCTCAAAGAATCCAGCCTTCTTTGAAAGAGGTCTGAAGACTGGAGTCCCAGACCCATGATATTTGGCCCCTCTGGATGGGGATCCCACTGAGGCTGTATTCTGGGCCCCCGCTGGTATCTTCTAGGGACAGTTTGTGGCCAGGGGACAGGAAGTGGTGCCACAGGGAGCTAGTGCTGTGGAACGTGGTACAAGGGCTGGTCCTGTCCAATGAGGTGGGCCCTGTGTGGGGCCTGAGCAGCCATCCATTCTGGCTGAGATGGGGGAGCCTGACTAGGTGGTGACTGAGGGACAGGCTGGTCTCTTCAGGAGGCAAAGGGGGCCCGAGGCTAGGGGCTGGCTGGCAGGGATGGATGAGGCAGGGGAGGGGCTGGAAAGAGATGAGGGGGCAAAGGCCAGGGTCCTTGAGCTCCTCCGCACTAGGGCCCTTTGCCCTGAGTGTTGCCAATCTGGACAACGCTCTAGGAGCCTCTCCTGACTCCCACACATCTGCCCTGCCCAGGGGAAAGTTCTCCAGGGAGACAGCTCCTGGGAATGGCAGAGACAGCCAGCACTTCTACTGGCAAGGCTCCTTATCTGGGGCTCGCCCTGGGTCCAGTGGGTCAGACTGCCCAGGGCCTCTCTGTTAGGCTCCATGTCAGCAGCCGGTGGCTCCTTCAGGGCAGCCGTCAAGTCTGTGGACCCCTCTGGGTGGGCTGGCCTTCTGAAAGTGTGCTTGGTTGTTTGTCTTGGCCGAGTTGAGAGAGGCCACTGGTTCAGGGACGGCTGCTCATGGTCCTGCTGGACGGCCAGGGAAAGACCAGGGCTGGAAGTTCAGACAGGGGCCGGAGTGGCCAGGGATGCAGGGCCAGGCCAGGTGGTTCCCAGCATCTCTCTGCTATGTGGTGTGGGCTCCCTTGGCGGCTGGGTGCTTGCTAGGTTCTGGCAGGGGAAGACTTGGAGGGAGGCTGGGATGTTAGGAGAGAAGTGGGGGCTTCCTGCTGCCTTTTCCAGGCCTTGCCATTGTCTTTCCAGAATCAGCAGCAGCAGCTGGAAATGAGGGTCCCAGTGCCCTTTCTTTAGGGTGACCACTGTCTCCCAGCACCCCCACACTGGTCTGAGCGCTGGCAAGGCAGGGACAGCTTCATCTATATGTTTGAGCATCAGCATCGCTGCCCCTCTGTCCCTGATTCTGGGGGTGGGTGGCAGCTGCTGTGAGTTCTTATTATTCTCTGGATTGTTCAGTGGCCCCTTTCTGTTCATCCAGCCTTCCAACAACTGTGTCAACAAGTCCTTGTATTGAATGCCCTCCATATGAAGCACCTATCATGGTTTCTGTTTCTTACTGGACCATGACAGGCATGGCACCTTTACAGATTTCCTTGGCTGTTCTCCACCGCCCTCATTACGCATCAGGCTCCATAGGCAGGGGCCATGTCTGTCTTGTTTATTTTTGTATCGCCAATGCTTGGCAGAGAGAGAGTAGGTGCTCAGCTTGAATGAATACTTGGGATTTAATTTTTTGAAATGTTTTCTAGAGATAGGATCTCACTTTATTGCCTAGGTTGGCCTTAAATGCCTAGCCTCAAGCAATCCTCCCATCCAAAGTGCTGGGATTACAGGTGTGAGCCATTATGGCTTCAGTTCTTAATGCTGGTTGATAATCTGCTAAATGGAGTCACAGTCCATGAATGAGTCTCACTCACAGTTTGCCAGTCCCAGGGCTGGGGGAACTGATGGAGGCTTGGCTAACATGGTGACACCCCATCTCTACTAAAAATACAAAAAATTAGCTGGGTGTGGTGGCAGGCACCTGTAATCACAGCTACTTGAGAGGATGAAGCAGGAGAACTGCTTGAATGCAGGAGGCAGAGGTTGCAGTGAGCTGAGATTGTGCCATTGCACTCCAGCCCAGGTGACAAGAGCAAAACTCAGTCTCAAAAAAAAAAAAGAAAAAAAAATGCTCAAGTGACACACAGAAAGTGATATGGTTTGGCTGTGTCCCCACCCAAATCTCATCTTGAATTGTAACTACCACAATTCTCATATGTCATGGGAGGAACCTGGTCAGAGGTGATTGAATTATGGGGGCAGGTCTTTCCTGCACTGTTCTCTTGATAGTGAATGAGTCTCATGAGATCTGATAGTTTTAAAAATGGGAGTTTTCCCTGCACAAGATCTCTTCTCTTGTCTGCTGCCATTTGAGACATGCCTTTCACCTTCTGCCATGATTGTGAGACCTCCCCAGCCACATGGAACTGTAAGTCCGATAAACCTCTTTTGTAAATTGCCCAGTCTCAGGTATGTCTTTATCAGCACGTGAGAATGAACTAATACAGTAAATTGGTACCAGGAGTAGGGTGTTGCTGAAAAGATACCCAAAAATATGGAAGCAACTTTGGAACTGGGTAACAGGCAGAGATTGGAACAGTTTGGAGGGCTCAGAAGAAGACAGGAAAATGTGGGAAAGTTTGGAAACTCCTAGAGGCTTGATGAATGGCTTTTTGACAAAAATGCTGATAGTGATATGAACAATAAGGCCTAGGCTAAGGTAGTCTCAGATGGAGATGAGGAACTTGTTGGGAACTGGAGCAAAGGTGACTCTTGTTATGTTTTAGCAAAGAGACTGGTGGCATTTTGCCCCTGCCTTAGATATTTTGGAACTTTGAACTTGAGAGAGATGTTTTAGGGTTTCTGCTGGAAGAAATTTCTAAGCAGCAAAGCATTCAAGAGGTGACTTGGGTGCTGTTAAAGGCATTTAGTTTTATAAGGGAAGCAGAATATAAAGCTTTGGAAAGTTTGCAGCCTAACAATGCGATAGGAAAGAAAATCACATTTTCTGAGAAGAAATTCAAGCTGGCTGCAGAAATTTGCATACGTAATGAGGAACCAAATGTTAATCCCCAAGACAATGGGAAAAATGTCAGAGGTCTTCACGGCAGCCCCTCCCATCACAGGCCGGGAGGCCTGGGATGAAAAAAATGGTTTCATGGGCCAGGCCCAGGTTCCCCATGCTGTGTGCAGTCTAGGGACTTGGTGCCCTGCATACCAACCACTCCAGCTGTGACTAAAAGGGGCCAAGATACCGCTTGGGCCGTGGCTTCAGAGGGTGCAAACCCCAAGCCTTGGCAGCTTCCACATGGTGTTGAGCCTGTGGGTGCACAAAAATCAAGAGTTGAGGTTTAGGAACCTCTGCCTTGATTTCAGAGGATGTATGAAATGTCTGGATGTCCAGGCATAAATTTGCTGCATGGGTGGGGCTCTCATGGAGAACCTCTGCTAAGGCAGTGCGAAAGGGAAATGTGGGGTTGGAGCCCTCACACAGAGTCCCTACTGGGGCACTGCCTAGTGGAGCTATGAGAAGAGGGCCACCGTCCTCCAGACCCCAGAACAGTAGCTCCACAGACAGCTTGCACCATGCTCCTGGAAAAGCTGCAGACACTTAACATCAGCCTGCGAAAGCAGCCAGGATGGGGGCTATACCCTGCAAAGCCACAGGGGCTGAGTTGTCCAAGACCATGGGAACCCACCTCTTACATCAGTGTGACCTGGATGTGAGACATGGAGTCAAAGGACATCATTTTGGAGCTTTAAGATTTGACTATCTGGCTGGATTCTGGACTTGCATGGAGCCTGTAGCCCCTTTGTTTTGGCCAGTTTCTCCCATTTGGAACGGCTGCATTTACCCAATGCCTGTACCCTCATTGTATCTAGGAAGTAACTAACTTGCTTTTGATTTTACAGGCTCATAGGTGGAAGGGACTTGCCTTGTCTTAGATGAGATGTTGGGACTGTGGACTTTGAGTTAATGCTGAAATGAGTTAAGACTTTGGGGGACTGTTGGGAAGGCATGATTGGTTTTGAAATGTGAGGACATGAGATTTGGGAGGTACCAGGGGTAGAATGATATGGTTTGGCTCTGTCCCCACCCAAATCTCATCTTGAATTGTAACTACCACAATTCTCACATGTCATGGGAGGAACCCAGTGGAAGGTGATTGAATTATGGGGGCAGATCTTTCCTGCACTGTTCTTGTGATAGTGAATGCATTTCACGAGATCTGATGGTTTTAAAAGTGGGAGTTTTCCCTGTACAAGCTCTGTTCTCTTGTCTGCTGCCATGTGAGATGTGCCTTTCCCCTTCTGCCATGATTGTGAGGCCTCCCCAGCCATGTGGAACTGTAAGTCCAATAAACCTTTCTTTTGTAAATTGCCCTGTCTCGAGTATGTCTTTATCAGCAGCATGAAAACAAACTAATACAGGAAGATGGGAAAAAGAAAACAGAGGAACAAAAAAGAGAGAAAACAAAGAGAAAAAAAAATAAAGCAGTGGACTAAAGGCTTGAGGCTCCTCTACAGTGTCTGCCCACTTCTGAATGCTCTGCAGTGCCTTCAGGTAGTTGCTTTTTATTTTGCCCAGAGTTTACAGTTGCTATCTCTGGGCAGGTTGGTCCAAGAGATGCTGACTCAGCCATTACTGGAAGTGGTGTCTTATTAGTTAGTTTTAGCAACAATGCTTTTTATTCATAACTAGGTTTAGATTTATTAAAGAAGCACTCTTCCATAAACAGCATGCATATCTGTGCAGCTACTAAATATGTTCCATAACTTTCAATTTGGAAATTTGACATAAATTTGTTTCATGAAGTACATTTCATTATTCTGATATATTATTCAAAATAAAATTCCATTTTTTTATGTTCTTATATATGAGAACAAGGAGAGGTACAGGAAAAAATATCAAACCAGGTAGTGTGATGCCTCCAGCTTTGTTCTTTTTGCTTAGGATAATCTTGCTATGCAGGCTCTATGTACGAAAAAGAAAGCAATTCAGCTCTTCTTGGTCATGGAGGACACCTACTGACTCATTTGTGGCAGTGATTTTGTGCAAAATGTATTACAGAAGTGAGGGAGGATCACTATCATAACATAAGTTCATTTATCCCAAGTTCAGATGAAATAAAGGCACTTTCTTCATGCTGGGTGTTAGCAGTATACTCAGCATGAGCAAAACCAAGCCCACGTCAACTCCTCCAAACCTAATCTTCTTCCAATATTCCCCATCCTACTGAATGTTGCCACCATCCATCCAGATGTGGAAGTCAGAGACTTGGTGTCATGCTTATACCCCCCTCCCCCTCCCCACTCCATATCCAATCCATCACCAAATTTTGTTGATTTTTACTCCCAAATATCTTTATCCACATCTCTCATCTTCACCTCCACTTCTCTAAGTTATCACCACCTCTCATCCACTCTTCGAAAGTACTTACTGTGTTCTTTCTATGTATAACATCATTTTGATAACTTCCCTTACATTAACTCATTTAATCTCACATTGACCATTATCAGCTCAAGCAGCACTGCCTTCTCAGGAAGGAGCTTTGACTGCTGATTTGAGAATTCTTTTCTAATGTAAGCATCTAGTGCTATAAATGTCCCTGTAAGCAATGCTTTAGCTAACATCCCACAAATTATGATATGTTGCATTTTCATTTTTTGTTCAGTTCAAAATATTTTCTAATTTCCCTTCAAATTTCCTTTTAACCCTTCAGTTATTTAGAAGTTTTTAAATTTCCAAGTATTTAAGTGTTTTTCCATTTATTTTTCTATTACTGATTTCTAATTTAATTCCATGTAATCAAGGACCATATATTGTATGATTCCAATTCTTTTAAATGTATCTAGGTTTGTTTTCTGACCCAGGACGGGCTATCTTGGTGACTATTCCATATGTACTTAAGAGAATGTATATTTTACTATTTTGAGGTGAAGTGCTATGTGAATATCAATCTAATTTAGTTTGTTAACATGTTATACAGTTCTCTTACATCCTTACTAATTTTCTGTCTGCTTGTCTTATATTACTGAGAGAGAAGTGTTAAACTCTCCAACTATAATGGAGGCACCAACTACAATTGTGGGTTTGTGGGTTTCTCTTTTCAGTTCTAACCATTTTTATTTCATATATGTTAAATTTCAGATGTTAGGTATGTGCCCACTTAGAATTCTTATGTCTTCTTTTTAAAATTTTTTTTAAATTGTACTTTAAATTCTGGGATACATGTGCAGAATGTGCAGGTTTGTTACACAGGTATACACGTGCCAGGTGGTTTGCTGCACCTATCCACCCATCATCTACATTAGGTATTTCTACTGATCCTATGCCTCTGCTAACCCCCCACCCCCCCATCCCCCGACAGGCCCAGTTTGTGATGTTCCCCTCCCTGTGTCCATGTGTTCTCATTGTTCAACTCCCACTTACGAGTGAGAACATGCGGTGTTTGGTTTTCTGTTTTTGTGTTAGTTTGCTGAGAATGATGGTTTCCAGCTTCATCCATGTCCCTGCAAAGGACATGAACTCATCCTTTTTTATGGCTGCATAGTATTCCATGGTGTATATGTGCCACATTTTCTTTATCCATATCCAGTCTATCATTGATGAATATTTGGGTTGGTTCCAAGTCTTTGCTATTGTGAATAGTGCCACAATAAACATATGTGTGCATGTGTTTATAGTAGAATGATTTATAATCCTTTGGGCATATACCCGGTAATGGGATTGCTGGCTCAAATGGTATTTCTGGTTCTAGATCCTTGAGGAATAGCCACACTGTCTTCCACAATGGTTGAACTAATTTACACTCCCACCAACAGTGTAAAAGCATTCCTATTTCTCCACATCCTCACCAGCATCTGTTGTTTCCTGACTTTTTAACGATTGCCATTCTAACTGGCGTGAGATGGTATCTCATTGTGGTTTTGATTCGCATTTCTCTAATGATCAGTGATGATGAGCTTTTTTTCATATATTTGTTAGCTGCATAAATGTCTTCTTTTGAGAAGTGTCTGTTCATATCCTTCACCCACTTTTTGATGGGGTTGTTTTTTTCTTGAAAAGTTGTTTAAGTTCTTTGTAGATTCTGGGTATTAGCCCTTTGTCAGATGGATAGAGTGTAAAAATTGTCTCCCATTCTGTAGGTTGCCTGTTCACTTTGATGAGTTTCTTTTGCTGTGCAGAAGCTCTTTAGTTTAATTAGGTCCCATTTGTCAATTTTGGCTTTTGTTGTCATTGCTTTCGGTGTTTTAGACATGAAGTCTTTGCCCGTGCCTATGTCCTGAATGGTATTGCCTAGGTTTTCTTCTAGGATTTTTATGGTTGTAGGTCTTACGTTTAAGTCTTTAATCCATCTTGGGTTAATTTTTGTATAAGGTGTAAGGAAGGGGTTCAGTTTCATTTTTCTGCATATGGCTAGCCAGTTTTCCCAACACCATTATTAAATAGGTAATCTTTTCCCCATTGATTGTTTTTTGTCAGGTTTGTCAAAGATCAGATGATTGTAGATGTGTGGTGTTACCTCTGAGGCCTCTGTTCTGTTCCATTGGTCTATATATCTGTTTTGGTACCAGTACCATGCTGTTTTGGTTACTGTAACCTTGTAGTATAGTTTGAAGTCAGGTAGCGTGATGCCTCCAGCTTTGTTCTTTTAATATATGTGCTTAATTTACATTTAATGAAATTATTCACATGGTTGCAATTATTCACATGGTATGAAGTCAGGCAGTTGGTGTGTCAGTGGCTTCACCCCAGGAAACCACCCCTCAGCCCCATGCGCATGGCTGCAGAGTGCCCAGTGCCACCGTCCATGCTCCAGGCAAGGGTGGAGTAGGAGTGGACTCTTAAGCCAGGTTGGCAGTACACTCAGCCACCCAGAGGCCATCCCAGGGGAGCCCTGCTAGCCTGCTCTTGCACCTATAGTGCAGCTGCCACCTGCATGTCTCCCTTGGGCTGCAGTGGCCAGGCAACCACCATCTGCCCACCCCTTCCCCCAACCAGGACCCTAACTGCGGACTCTGGCACCAGACACTGCCACCGCTGTCAACCAGGCCCTGCAGAGGCAGGAAAGCTGAACTGGCTGCTGATCCCCTTCTGGTTGGCCAGCAGTACCCACGCCTGTGGCCCCTGGACTCCTAGTGCGGGCTAAGGTGTAGTGGACCCTCGGGCTTGGCCACGGCACAATGGGCCACCTGGACAGCATCCAAAAGAGAAGACCTACCAGCCCGTGCCAGCGCCCTAGGTGCAGCTGCCACCTGCACGTCAGGCACCAGCAGCAATGGCCAGACCATCCCTGATTCTCCACGCCCTCCCCACCACTGCCCCAGCAGCAAGGACTCCCTGACAGGACACTGCGGTAGTGGCTGTCGGGAAGTCGGCTGAGTAGGTGCATAAGGATAAAGATAGACTCTCAGCCCCATCCCGATGGCCACGACGACATGCTCATCCCCTGGCGGCTCCTCAGCCCTATCCTAGTGGCCACGGAGTGGCATGCAGGCAGCAGCCATAGGAACCCCGATTGCCCCTCCTCACACGTGCCCATCACACGACCTGGGCGACTGGGTGGTGAAGTCAGGTTGTGGCCCCAGCGGCGCCACGAGGCCGAGAACCGGCGCTTAGCCTCATCCCTGTGGCTGCAGAGTGCCAAGCCCCAGGTCCTGCGCTCAGGGCAGGGGTCAAGAGCAGCTGGCAAGGGCGGCGCAGCCTGTGGGGCCCTTGGGCGCGGCGGGCCGCAGCTCCGGGAAGCCACGTCAGCCCACCGGCGCTGCAGCTGCAGCCGCCACCAGCACACGGACCAGGGGTCGCCGAGGATTGGGAATCCCCGACCAGGACTGCGCCTCCAGCCGTGCGGACCCCGGGGCCAGCGGGGCAGCGGCAAGTCAGGCAGTCTGCAGCAGGAGCGCTGGGCATGGGCTTCGGCCCGGGTTGCAGGAGGCGTGCACCCTCCGGCCGGATAGGCGGCGCACTCAGGGACCAGGAGGCCATCCCAGGTGAGCCCCGCCAGCCCCAGCCGGAGCCCGAGCTGCAGCTGCCACCTGCAAGTGGTGCTCTGGCTGCAGCGGTGGCAACCCCGGATCCAGTCCTTCCGCCTCGCGCCCATCAGCGCGGACCCGGGGGCGACGCAGTGGCGAAGTCGGGCTGTGGGCCCGGCGGCGGCACCAGGCGGAGAAGCGCCACTCAACCCCATCCCTGGGCTGCAGAGGGCCCAGCGCGGAGGGCTCCGCGCGTCGGGAGCCGGTGGAAGAGGAGAAGAGCGCGCGGGCGACAGTCATACAGGCCTTGGGGCAGGGCGCGCCTCGCGCTCCAGGGAGCCACGCCAGCCCGCTGCGCCTCCGCAGCAACCGCCGCCTGCACGTGGCGGGGCGAGAGAGCTGCTAGGGCGGTTTCTCCGCCTCGGGCCTGTTGGGCGGGGCCGGCTAAGGTGCGCGTGCTCGCTGGTCCTAACGGTTCTGTTGGGCGTTTCTGCTGAGAGGCGGGAGGGGCTGAGAGTCTGTGCGAAGGTAGGTGGACAGACTGCATTGCTTGTTGTTGCGCTTCGGAGGCGGCGATCCCCGAAGGCGAGCTGAAATACGGCTGGAGCGTTCCCAGGCTACAGTTTGTAGCCGACGATTGTGGAAGACTAGGAGCCGGAGAGGTGGCCCACCCTCAGGGAGCGCTTGTGCTCGGAGGGCTTCTCATTTCCCCAATACCACATTAAATCGTCTCATCTGAGGAGGATCCACAGAGCTGTCTTCTATGGTAATCTGGAGAAACTGGAGTACCTTCTGCTCACGTATCATGACACCAATGAGAGAGACAAGGAGGAAAGGTAATGGGGGCCGGGAGCCGGGGCTGCGGGAGGAGGCCTGTGGATGTGGAGAAGTACCCCCTTCCAGGCTGAGGGCTGTGGGGCGGATGGTCCGGAGCTCGGGGTATGGACGGGGGCTAGGGGGTGCCTGGCTGGGGTGGGAGTGAGTGGAACGGGGCCTGGGGAGTGGGGGTATATGGGGTGGCGGGGTGTGGAGTGAGTTGGGGGATGGGAGTGGGGAGTAGGGGGTGCATGGGGTGGGGGTGTGAATGGGCTGAGGTGGATGGAATGAAGGCTTGGGGGGTAGGGGTGTGGACAGTGTGGGGTGGGGAGATGGGGTGAGGGTTCAGTGGGATAGAGGACTGGAGGTGGGGGTGAGGTGTAGGGGTGAATGGGGTGGGGGAAAGGGGTGCAGAGGTGAGGGGGGCGAGTCCTGTCACCAAAGGGGCTGGACTTTCTTTCCTGGCAGGCTCAGCCGCACCTGGGATGTGGAAACCTTGGCGGGGGTGAGCACCCAGGCCATTTTCACTAGCAGCAAAACAAAAACAAAACTTCAGCTGGTTTCCAATCACTCACCATGCTTCTTCTTTATAAATCATTTTAAAGTGATTTCGCCAATAAAATTCAGCATGTACAGCGTTTTATTTTTAATGTACACATTTTAAAGCATAATGTTACATACATTATGGAAAGTTGCATAATGAGAGAAATCATTTCCATAATATATCAACTCCCTGACTAAAAATTCTTTGGATAAAAATGCAATATTTATTTGATATCAATGGACACCTATGTCAATGTGGTTTTCACTGAGGGACCTTAGAGGGAAACTTTGAAGTGGGAAGATGGTCTGTGTTCTTGAATAGAAAGACACATTTTTCTAAAATTCTGAGCTCTTTCTGTGTTTATAAATTTTACATAATCCCAATAAAGTTATTAAAGTGTTAACATTTTTGAATTACTCATGCTGTCTTTTACTATTGTGATGACATTAAGAAAACTTTTGAAATGGAGTCAAAAAAGACTTGCCTTTCTAGATATGAAAATGTGCTGTTAATTTCCACAAGGTATTTACTAACAGCTGAAACAACAAATCAGTGAACGGAACAGGTTAGAAAATCCAGGAACACACCAATATGTGTAAGAATTTATTAGGTTGGTGCAAAAGCAATTGTGGTTTTTGCCACAATTACAAGGAATGGCAAAAACCGCAATTGCTTTTGCACCAATCTAATAGAATTGGATAATGGTGACATTTCATATTAGTAGGAAAAGATGAATTACTCATAAATGAAGTGCCTGCTAACTACTTGGATAAATCTGGCTAGATTTTTATGTCACAGAAATAAGTTCGTTATGGAATGTAGATTAAAAATTTTAAATGCACAAAATAAGAAAGATAACAGAAAAAAACACAAATGCCTACTTATACATGTTTATATTCCTACAAATATCACAAGCACACATTCTGAAGGTTGATTTAGCAAAATAAAAAAAATTCAGTTTATAAGAAAAAATTAACAAAAGACAATATGTGTATATACATATTAGATAAAAAAGTGATTTTCATTTTACAGAGAATTCTTCAAATAAACAAGAACTCTCATTTAAAATAGAGCAAAGCATTTTTTTTTCAGATATTCAAGCAACCTATGCACATAGGAAAAAATATTTAGTGTTCCTGGGAGGAGAAGGTATTTAAGTTAAAAAAGGAATGAAATACTGTTTTCTATCCACAAGTTTGTGAGGGTAAAGAGTAGCAGTACATATACTGCTGTTTAAAGTTTACGTTTCTGATGACTTTTCAAATAGTCACTTTGTTGGTAAGTATCACACTTTAAAAATGTATGTGCCCTTCACCCATCAATTCCATTATACTAAAATATCTCTAGGAAATAGAGATACATGCAATTTTTTTTCTCAGCACTGCTTAAAATAGCAATGTATTTGGAAAACCCCTTATAATGGATTTTATAAATTTTATAAATCTATCAATAAATTTCAGTGCATCCATAGGATGGAACAATATGGGACCTTTGCAGATGTCAGTAGATACAGATGTATGTTGAGGTGTGAAGATGTACTTTGAAAAAAAGTTGGTTTGATTATACATACACACAAACAGTCTATGGTGTTTGTAAGCCAAATATGTGTACAAAATATAACATTTCTTCTTTTCTGGCAGGTGTATTGTGTTATTTTTTCTTATCTGTGATGTATAAATGATCAGTATGTTTAAAACTTCTAGTAAATGTTTTTTTATTAATGAAATTATGCTTGGGAAAAGAAGAAATGTAAATCTTGCAAAGAAAAAATAATTCTTACTTCCTATTTTATTTTATTATTTATTTATTTGTTTGTTTGTTTATTTTTGAGATGGAGTCTCACCCTGTCACCCAGCCTGAAGTGCAGTGGCATGATCTCGGCTCACTGCAATCTGCCTCTCAGGTTCAAGTGATTCTCCCACCTCAGCCTCCTGAGTAGCTGGGATTACAGGTGTGCGCCACCATGCCCAGCTAATTTTTGTATATTTTAGTAAAGATGGGGTTTCACCATGTTGGCCAGGCTGGTCTCAAACTCCTGACCTCAGGTGATCCCCCCGCCTCGGCCTCCCGAAGTTCTGGGATTACAGGTGTGAGCCACTGTGCCTGGCCTTATTTTTATTTTTTTGTTTATTGGTATCTTCTGTGAACTTTTAGCCTCTTCAGAGGCAGAGGGAATATTTTTATTTGTGCTTGATTATTTTATTATGCATAGATTTTAGTATATAAATAGGTTTTTATTATAGTTTTATTACATATATGCAAACAATTTTAAATTATTTTAGTTTATCAGTGTCCTCATGAAAATGAAAACGAGCAAATATAAGTGATTATCACTATTCTAAAAGCACTGCTTTAATTTATAGTTTTTTTCATAATAAACTCCCCAACTGTATGTATGCATTCTTTCAATCCAGTTATTCATCAAGCATAACCTGAATACCTATTATGTAGCAGACACATTCCACCATCTCTCAGGACTCTTCCACCCTTAACAACTTCATGTTTACCTGCCCAGCGTGAGCAAGCTGAGAGATTTAAAATGGAAGCATTAGGACTGAATCCCAATTGGATCTTTTATTCCTTTTTTTTAAACAAAAGCAATTCTGAAGTTAGAAAATAGTAAAAGATAACCTTCAACTGCCATTTCAAAAACTTATGACAGTCTCAAATATTACTATTAATCATTGCAAATACCTAATTTACATAACATTCTGTAAGTATTGAAAAAAATGAGCCATACCTATTCATTTGAATCCTGAGTTTTCTTTGGATTATTTTTTTTTTTGAAAATTGAAGTAAGAATTACTTTGTTTTAAAAATTTGTTGTTTTATTTTTGCCTTCTTTTTCCACAGTACTTTATTTATGTGCCAATTATATGAGTAGAACTGCCTGTTCTATGTATTGTATCCCACTTAATGTAAGGCATCACGGATTGTGTGATGCCACATTACTTTATATATCAATAAGATAACGTTTAAAATGTTGCCAGTTATAATTGTAATAAATAATGAATTGTAAACAGTATTCCAATGTCAGGAGATGTTAATATATAAGAGAACAGTAGCTTATATAAGAGAATAGTGAGAAAATGAGCATCTGAGAATGACTGAAATACAATGATACATCTAATCTTTAATAGATACCTCAATGTAGATATGATTGTATCATTTTACTTAATTAAAATGTCTTTGTAAGTAGTAATATCTAAAAATTATTGAGCTGTTATGTTAGAAAGTGTTCTAAATGCTGTACATAGATTCTCATGTAAGCATCACAACAGTGTTCTGTGGGATAGCTACTATTCTCTTATATATTTTATTGATAAAGAAATTGAAGCAAAGAAAGGCTAAATAACAGCCTTAAACATGTTTACTTTGATCTAACTCATCTGCTTATGGCTGGATCCTCATTACGTGAAGGAAACATTTACATTCTAGCATAACCCTTATTTTGCGGTTTGGCCTGTTTCTCCCATTTTATCTCTTCACCCCACTTTCTCTGTCTGTGTCCAAGTTTTACCACGTTATTGTGGTATGTCTTATTGGCTATGCTGTTTCATGCTTTATTTTTTTGCACATGCTGCCCTCACCAGAAACACCTCACACTCTTACTCTTCACTTGTCTGTTTTAAAAATAGAACCCTAAATTTGCGGTGTCTCAGAAGCTTCCCAAGTAGGAATAATTGTTATTGCCTTTGTGCTGTCACTGTATTTTATTGACTTGAATTGCAGAAATAATGAATTGTGTCTTTCTGCTTTTGTTTTTATAAATTGCTTTTTTCACTTGATAAATAAAATTCATATTTTATCATATTATCAGATTTTCCAGGATAGACCTTATGAATTTATAGACACAGAAAATGTTTCTTGAATTACTGACTGATTGAGTAGTAAATATAACATTTTCTGAAGATTTCTTTTTGTTGTTTTTTTTTTTTTTAAATAGGAAAAGCACTACCAGCAACTGGACAAAAAGCAAATGGTATTGGTATTATAAAAAGTGCTCCATGAGAGCAATCAAATAATGATAATGCTATTTTTTGTGTACAAAAAAAAGGTGGTGAGGTAGTGAATATAGCTGAATAATTTTCTATGCTTTAATAAAATTTTTGAAAATAAATATAACTAATTTAAATATAATTTAAAATAAATTTGAAATTAAATTAATTGTTAAATTACATTAAATTATAAGCCTAATTTTAATTAAATTATACACCTAATTTTAATTAAATTATACATATAATTTATTAATTTTTAATAGTAAATATAATTTAATTTAAACATTTTTTCTTAAAACTTTGATGAACATTTAAACTTGTAGATCAAAATATAATATTCATTGTTGAGAAATGGACATTAGATTTACAAAAAAATGTGAGGCGGGATGGTGTAAATTAAGAAAGTAGCTGGCTAGGTAATTTGGAGGTTTCTGATGAGGAAACTTGAGGGAACTCACTTTATGTAGACTCAGTATATTCCCACTCAAAAAGAAGATTAAATTATTGCTGCTTTGGAGCTTACTGGAAGCAGAGGGTAGAAGAACAGCAGGAAACCACAGGAACTCATTTCTTCTCTCTATAGGGGTTACACATCAATCATATGTGCTTCATTCATGTTTGTTAGTTAACTGGGATGCACTTGGATATCAAAACATTGGCGGTTTTCTTTAAAAAAATGCTGTTTTTGATGAAATAGCCATTGTATAAAGGTACCTCAGAGGCTGCTATGCTATACCATATCAAACTGACTTTAGAAAAAACAAACGAGAAATTTATTTCTTGAATACTAAAAGTGTAACTGTCAATAATCATGGCAAAGATTTTGATATGTAAAAGTTGATTAAGCTGGGCTCAGTGGCTCACAGCTGTAATCCCAGCACTTTGGGAGGCTGAGGCGGGAGGATCATGAGGTCAGGAGATGGAGACCATCCTGGCTAACATGGTGAAACCCCATCTCTACTAAAAATACAAAAAATTAGCCAGGCGTGGTGGCATGTGTCTGTAGTCCCAGCTACTAGGGAGCCTGAGGTAGGAGAATCACTTGAACCCGGGCGGTGGAGGTTGCTGTGAGCCGAGATTGTGCCACTGCACTCCAGCCTAGGCAACACAGCAAGACTCCATGTCAAAAAAAAAAGTTGATTATTATGAAAAAAAGTCAATGGTGATTCAGAGATTTTTGTTTACATTTTGTAAATGAAAATCTGAATACTCATTAGTTATTCGATGTGTAATGCATACTTTTTTGCATAAGTGAATGAAAAGATGGCAAGAGAACTAAAGTTGAGAATCCAGAAGTTGAAAATATCAGAAGTCTTCATGACTGTGGATAACATGAGTATTTTTAGAAACGATTTTTCTCCAAGTAGATATCTAAAGTAATGATTGAGAGCACTTTCTGCCAGCAGAAGCGAATGATACATTTTCTTTTCTTTTCTTTTCTTTTTTTTTTTGAGACGGAGTCTCGCTCTGTCACCCAGGCTTGAGTGCAGTGGCGCCATCTCGGCTCACTGCGAACTCCGCCTACCGGGTTCACGCCATTCTCCTGCCTCAGCCTCCCGAGTAGCTGGGACTACAGGCGCCTGCCACCACGCCTGGATAATTTTTTGCATTTTTAGTAGAGACGGGGTTTCACCGTGTTAGCCAGGATGGTCTCGATCTCCTGACTTCGTGATCTGCCCGCCTCGGCCTCCCGAAGTGCTGGGATTACAGGCGTGAGCCACCACGCCCGGCCGTGAATGATACATTTTCATGCACTCTCATTGCAACTTCATAGTTTCTAACATTTATTCTTCTGGGGTCCGATTTGGTTCTCTCATTTGACATCACTTTTTTTGGCTTCATCCAGCAGATTCACATTGGTAGAAATACTTTTCTATGCTACTTGTAGTCATGTGAAACCTAATCTCACCCTTGCAATCTGAACTGCATGTTTTATAGAATCTATATTGTGATTTTTCATGTGTATATTCCTGTCATGTTTGTGTGCTAACCAAAACAAGAGCAAAGCAACCCAAAGCCTAATGGGTAACAATTTCAAGGGCAAGCACGAAGATTTCAGCTGGATACAAACACTGCATGATTGATGGTAGGCTGTGTCATATTTACCTGTAGTCAATTATGTGTTCCTTTTGCTTTGTAGTGTCTCCTGAGCAACCGCCTTTATTCACAGTAAACATATTTTCTTTAATTATTAACAAAATGTTCTGTGATATATACATGATATGTTAATCATTATGTTGTCAAACCCATTCAGCATCCGGTGAAAGACAGAGATCACATTTCAACTAGATTCTTAGGAAGTATGGATTCACTAACTTCAGCGAAGGTAAATTTGCCACTACAAATTTCATTCTAGAAAATGTAGATGAAAATATTGAAAATGCTCATGTTTTTTGATTCCCACTTTTTTTCCAAATGAGATGGAAGGATTTGATGTAAATATGCTGATGTTCTTGTTAATATCTTTGTTTATAAAATGATATTTAAGGCATAAGACAGACATTTTACACCTTAAGCTCTAGCCCAAATGCTTTTCCTTTAAAGTTGTCATCATCTAAAGATCCCAGTTTTGAATTCCTGTGCATGTTAGGGATTTGAGGAGGTGTATTTTGACACTAAATATTTTCAGTGCTTCAAAATTGATTGCAATATTCTTCTCTCTTCTTCATCTAGAGAAAAGCTATACCTGCTGACGTTACAATTGTTTTAGAACTTCAACTCCTTTATGTCAGTGTTGTTACATTGAGAATCTTTACTTAATCACATCTTCTGATTACCAGATTGAGTTTCTGCATGTGTGTGTGTATCTCTGATTAAAAATGAATAAAATGATTAATCATTCTTTTGTAACTCTTTGGTAGATACAGTGTTTTAAAACAATGATTCTGAGCTGTTTTGGCCTTAGAATATTTTCTTCTACTACAATTTATTGCCTACAGGTAACCAACAGCCTGAATTAACGTTTTTTCTTTTAAATCACTGCAATGCACATTAAAAATACTTTACAAGATACTTGCACTTTCATAGGTAATGTGTAGAATCTGTTTCCAAGTATCAAGTCTTCTATACGATTTCACACAGCGTACATAATAGCTGCAACTCGGCTTTTCTAATCAGTGGTATATATTTCAGATCTATTCAGGTTGACACAATTTGGTCATCTTTGATTTGTTGTGTGGTCTTGTGGTATGCCATTTTATGACTGCACCACAATTAATTAAAGTCTCTTCATGCTGATACAAAATGAACATAAATACGATGACATACCAACATAGATTTGCTTATGTGGTTGCGTTTATTGATTTGTACTATATAAGAAATTAAATAGAAGTATTTCAGATACCCTGAATATAGCTATGTACACTGCCATAGCTGTATTGACTATATTCATTACTCCTTAGAGCCATGTTTTTCCATCATGTTATGACTCTGAAAAACCCCAGAGTATGCTTTTCAGAGAATGACATTGGAAAGAAGAAATGGCCAAAGTATCATTTGGTACCTTGGCTTCCTTACATAGATGTTGAACTCCAGGAATGATCAAATCACAGTTTTAGAACCCCTTTGTTGGGCCCTATAAAGGGTTTCCGAATGTCAAATGATAAATAGTCTCCAGATGAAGAAATCCTCTGTAACGCCTCACTGCTGTGTTTTCTTGCATTTTGTCCTTTTCTGAAAACTTTAAATACACGATTTTTGGGTAGAAATGAAAATCTTTCTGTTTTATATATTTGTTTCTGTCTCATGGCACTCTGATCTCTTTGAATCTGGTAAGGATCTAGCCTTGTCTTATTTATACCAGCAAGCAGTGTTGTCACTTAATGCTCTCATTTTTCACGTAAATGACTGACATTTTCCCAAGTCTTCACAAGTGATTTCTGAAGATGTTGCTGCATTGAGCAGAGACTATGTCATTGTAATTGCAGAAGTTTTTAAATTAAATATGTTTAATAAAATTTTAGAGCCTGTTTCTCTGGAACACATAACACATAATTGTGTAATGTGTATTTAACCATAAATTAGCTTCATAAAAAGTTTGTGTACATAAAAGTGTTTATATCCAAAGAAATTCTTATTTACTGCTCAGTAACCTCTCATGTAGAAGAAAATACGTAACATAGTTTGCTGAGTCTTTGATAATAACCCCTAGTGTAAAATAAAGCCATAAAGATAAAATGAGAGTTGATATTCAATGAAACTGATGTGAGTGAATAGAAACTATGAAACAGTGTGTCTATGGGAGAGAGGAGGACATGGGGCTGCTATTGTGAAGAAGGAATTTGTACAAGTTAGTCCATTTTCTGTAACTTTTATATTCTAATAAAGGAAAACCATATCTTCATATTTATAAAAACAAGATTTTACTGGTTTAATCACAGGGGTGGTGAGAATAATGAAGAACAAAATGTGGAAGGCAAAGAATGAAGACCGGATAGTGAGATTAGATTTATCAACAAAAAAGAGTGCAAGTGGGGTGGGATGGTGTAAATAAAGATAGCAGCTGGCTAGGTGTTTGGGGGTTTCTGATGAGGAAACCTGAGAAAACTCACTTTATGTGGACCTGGTATATTCGCACTCGAACAGAATATTGGATTATTGTTGCTTCAGAGCTTACTGGAAGCAGAAGGTGGAAGAATGAGAGTCAACCACAGGGACTCAATTCTTCTCTCTGTAGGGGTCACACATCGACAATAGGACAGGTGCTTCATGTTAGCAAAATGCGATGCACTGCATGTCAAACTGACTGTGGAAGCAAAACAATCAAGAAATATATTTCTTAAGTATTATTTATTTATTTATTTTTAAATTTTATTATTATTGTACTTTAAGTTTTAGGGTACATGTGCACAACGTGCAGGTTTGTTAAAATGTAACTCAATAATCATGGCAAATATTTTTATATATAAAAGGTGATTAACATGAAGCCTCTGATGTTTCAAATATTTTGGTTAGATTTGTTTTATGGGAATCTAATTACACATTAGGTATTTGGAGTGTAATGTATACATTTTTTGCATAAGTGAATGAAGAGATGGCAGGAGGGCTAAAGTTGAGAATCCAGGAAATGGAAAAACACCAGAAGCCTGCATGACTGGACAACATGAGTATTTTTGTTAACTATGCTTCTGTATGTAGATATCTGAACTAATGAACTGAGAATACATCCTTCAAGCAGAAGTGAATGATACATTTTAATGAAATTGATAGTTTTTAAGTTAGAGGACAAAATGAAGAACAGGAGAACTATTGTAGTATTATAGTATAAATGGTTCTTGGGTGATTTCTTCAGGGTACACCATAGCGTTCTACCATGGGCTTTGACATATATCCTTCTGGGGTCCTATTTGGTCCTTTCGTCTGACATCACATTTTTTGGCTTCAGTTAAGAGGATCACATTGGTAGAAGTACTTTTCTGTGTTAGTTGTAGTCATGTGAAACCTAATCTCTCTCTTGAAATCTGGACTACATGTTTTATGAAACCTATATTGTGATTTCCATGTGTATGTTCCTGCCATGTCTGTATGCTAACCAAAACAAGAGCAAAAGCAACCCAGAGCCTAATAGGTAACGGTTTCAAGACCAAGCATGAAGATTTCAGCTGGATACAAACACTACATAGTGGATGGTGGGCTGTGTCATATTTACGTGTACTTAATTATGTGTCCCTTTTGCTTTGTAGAATCTTCTGAGCAACCTCCTTTATCCACAGTAAACAAATATATTTTCATCTTTGTGATATATACATGATATATTAATCATTATGTTGTAAAACCCATTCAGCTTACCCTGAAAGAAGCAGATCCCAGTTCAAAAGTAGCCATAAGAAGGAAGGATTCACCACCTCCAGGAAAAGGTAAATTTGCCAATACAAATTTCATCTGGAAAGAAGGACATGAATATATTGGAAATGTTCATAATCTTCTGATTCTTACTTCTTTTCCCCCCATAAGGTAGAAGGATTTGATCTAAATGATGCTGATGCTGTTGTTAGTGTCTGTGCTTATAAAATGATATTTAGAAGAATAAGGAAAAGAAATTTTAAAAATGTGAGCTCTAGCTCAGATGCTTTTCCTTTTAGGTTGTGATAAAGATCCCAATGTGGAATTTGTATGCATGTTAGGGGTTCAAGGAGGTGAATTTTGAAACTATAAATATTTTTCAGTGCTTCAATTTCTCGTTGCAATACTGTCCTTTACCTAGAGGAAAGCTATACCTGCTGACATTACAATTGTGTTAGAACTTTAACTTCTTTATGTCAGTGTTGTCACACTGAGAACCTTTGAATCTTCACCCAATCACATGCTCTGATTACCAGCTTGAATTTCTGCATGTGTATGTGCGTGTGTGCTTTCGTTTGTGAGTTTGGGTGTGTGTGATACCTCTGATTCTGGAAAATGAATAAAGTCATTAATCATTTTTTGGTGACTCTTTGGTAGATACATTGTTTTAAAGCAATGATTCTGAGCTGTTTTAACTTTAGAATCTTTTATACTACTACAATTCATTGCCTACAGGTAACCAACAACCTGAATTAATGTTGGTTTGTTTGTTTTGTATTATACCTTAAGTTCTGGGATATATGTGAAGAACATGCAGGTTTTTTACATAGGCACACATATGCCATGGTGGTTTACTGTACCCATCAACCCATCAGCTACATTAGGTATTTCTACTAATGCTATCCCTCCCCTAGGACCCCACCCCCCTGACAGGCCCCGGTGTGTGTTGTTCCCCTCCCTGTGTCCCTATGTTCTCATTGTTCAACTTCCACTTATGAGTGAGAAAATGTGGT
Source organism: Homo sapiens (assembly GCF_000001405.40). Taxonomy (NCBI): domain Eukaryota; kingdom Metazoa; phylum Chordata; class Mammalia; order Primates; family Hominidae; genus Homo; species Homo sapiens. The sequence continues at coordinate 88,777,513 of NC_000002.12, forward strand.
GGTTGGTTTTCTTTTCCTGTGTTAGTTTGCTGAGAATGATGGTTTCAGGCTTCATCCATGTCTTTGCAAAGGACGTGAACTCATTCTTTTTTATGGCTGCATAGTATTCCATGATGTGTATATGCCACATTTTCTTTATCCAGTCTATCTCTGATGGGCATTTGAGTTGGTTCCAAGTCTTTGCTATTGTGAATAGTGCTGCAGTAGACATGCATGTGCATGTGTCTTTATAGTAGAATGATTTTTAGTCTTTGGGGTATGTACTCAGTAGTGGGATTGCTGGGTCAAATGGTATTTCTGGTTCTAGATCCTTGAAGAATCACCACACTGTCTTCTACAATGGTTGAAATAATTGACACTCCCACCAACAATATAAAAGTGTTCCTATTTCTCCACATCCTCTCCAGCATCTGTTGTTTCCTGACTTTTTAACGATCACCATTCTAACTGGCGTGAGATGGTATCTCATTGTGGTTTTGATTTGCATTTCTCTAATGATCAGTGATGATGAGCCTTTTTTTCATATGTTTACTGGCTGAATAAATGTCTTCTTTTGAGCATATCCTTCACCCACTTTTTGATGAGGTTGTTTGTTCTTTTCTTGTAAGTTTGTTTAAGTCCCTTTTAGATTCTGGATATTAGCCTTTTGTCAGATGGAGAGATTGCAAACATTTTCTCCTGTTCTGTAGGTTGCCTGTTCACTCTGATCGTAGTATTGGAAGTTCTGGCCAAGGCAATCAGACAAGAGGAAAAAATAAAGGGTATTCAAATAGGAAGAAAGGAAGTCAAATTGTCTCTGCAGATGACATGATTGTATATTTAGGAAACCAAATCGTCTCAGCCCCAAATCTCCTTCAGCTGATAAGCAACATCAGCAAAGTCTCAGGATACAAAATCAGTGTGCAAAAATCACAAGCATTCCTATACACCAATAAAAGACAAACAGCCAAATCATGAGTGAATGCCCATTCACAATTGCTGCAAAGAGAATAAAATACCTAGGAATACGACTCACAAAGGATGGGAAAGACCTCTTCAAGGAGAACGACAAACCACTGCTCAAGGATATAAGAGAGGACACAAACAAATGGAAAAACATTCCATGCTCATGGACAGGAAGAATCAATATCACGAAAATGGCCATACTGCCCAAAGTAATTTATAGGTTCAGTGCTATAGACTACCATTGACTTTCTTCACAGAATTAGAAAGAACTACTGGAAATTTCATATGCAACCAAAAAAGAGCCCATATAGCCAAGACAATCCTAAGCAAAAAGAACAGAGCTGGAGGCATCACGCTACCTGACTTCAAACTATACTACAAGGCTATAGTAATGAAAACAGCATGGTACGGGTACCAAAACAGGGATATAGACCAATGGAACAGAACAGAGGCCTCAGAAGTAACACCATACATCTACAACCATATGATCTTTGACAAACCTGACAAAAAACAATCAATGGGGATAAGATTACCTATTTACTAAATGGTGTTGGGAAAACTGGCTAGCCTTATGCGGGAAACTGAAACTGGACCCTTTCCTTACACCTTATACAAAAATTAACTCAAGATAAATTAAAGACTTAAACGTTTAAGTAAGACCTAAAACCATAATAACCCTAGAAGAAAACCTAGGCAATACCATTCAGGACATTGGCATGGGCAAAGACTTCAAGACTAAAACACCAAAAGCAATGGCAACAAAAGCCAGAATTGACAAATGGGATCTAATTAAACTAAGGAACTTGTGCAGTTTTATTTGGGAGTGTGCATGAGGTACCTCTGAGTTTTAAAAATGAAGAAAGTAAGTGGTCATGCTTTCCTGACTCTTTGGTAGACACAGCCTTTTAAGACGGTGATTCTGAGCTGTTATGGTTTTGGGTTTTCTATAATACTAAAGCTTACTGCCGACATGTAACCAAAAGCTTGAATTAATGAAAAAAAAATTACCCAAATGCACGTTAAAAACCTCTTACAACATATGTGCACATTCATAGATAACATGTAGAACTTTATTTTGTGTTAAAAAGCTTGTAGAAAAGTTCAGGCAGTGCACTTAATGAATAAAACTTGGTCTTTGTAAAATCAGTGATATATATTTCAGATCTATCCACATTGACCCAGTGAGGTATTTCTTGATTTATTGTATAATCTCATGATATGCCATATGATGATTACAGCATATTATGCTGTCTTCATGCTGATACCATATGGACTTAAATATGATGACATACCAACATGGATATGCTTACGTGGTTGCTTTTATTGATTTGTACTATATTAGAAATGAAACAGAAGTATTGGAAATCCTAGCAAACATAGCTGTATCTCTCCCATGGCTGTGTTGATTGCAACTGTTTCCCCCTTAAAGCATGTCTTTTTGACATGTTCTGACTCTGAGAAAATCCATTATGTGCTTTTCAGAGAATAACGGTAAGGAGAGGAAATGGCCAATGGTCTCGGCTCCCCTTCATGAATGTTAAACTCTAAACTACTCAGATCACAATTTAGAACCCCTTTGTTGATCCCTATAGAGTGTTCCCGGATGTGAAATGACAAATAGGCCTTTGATGAAGAAACACCCTGTAAAGCCATATTGCTCTGGTTTTTGTGTGTGAATGTGTGTGTGTGTGTGTGTGTGTGTGTATTTTTTTCTCTTCTGAAAACTGTAAATGGAGGAATTTTCATTACAAATGAAAATGTTTCTGTTCCATATTTATTTCCTGTCTAATGTACTTTGCTCTTCTTGGATATAGTAAGGATCTCAGCTTGTCTTATTTATACCTGCAAAAAATTATGTCAATGCGTCATTTTTCATGTCAATTACTGACATATTTTCAAGTCTTCACAAGTTATTTCTGAAGATTTTGGTGCATCAAGGAGAGACTTTCATTGTAGTTAAAGAAGTTTTTAAATAGGTTATATTCAATAAAATTTCAGAGCTTGTTTCTCTGGAAAGCATAGACATAGTGGTGTTATGGGTAGTTAAACATAAAATAGCTCCACAAAGTGTTGTGTATATAAAAGTGTTCATATCCTGGAAAATTCTAATTTACTGCTCAGTACTGTCTCCTGGAGAGGAAAATAGGTAAGATAGGCTGCTAAGCCTATGATAATAACTCATAATATAAGGTGAAAGCATAGAGACAAAATGAGAGATGATAGATACTCAAACTGATGTGAGTGAAGAACAGCTGTGAAACAGTGTCTATGGGAGAGAGGAGACCATGGGGCTGCTTTTGTGAAGAAGGAATTTGTACACGTTAGTCAAGTGTCTGACACATTTAACATTTTAATAAAGCAAAACCTTATCTTCACATGTTTCAGAATGGGATTGTACAGATGTCACAATACGGTGGTGCAGAAAATAATGAAGAAATGAATGTGGAGGTCAAAGAATCAAGTCCACCAATATGGATATTAGATTTATGAACGAAAAAGAGTGTATTGCAAATTGGGCGGATGTAAACAGAGAAAGCAGCTAGCTAGGTAATTTGGAGGTTTCTGATGAGGAGACTTGTGGGAAGTCACTTAATGGAAAGCAGAAGTTAGAAGGATGAGGGTGACCCACAGGGTCTCATTTCTCCTCCCTAGAAGTTTTGCACATCAGTGATACATGCTTCGTTCACATCGGTTATCATATTGGGATACAGCTTAATCTAGAAAAAGTGTTTTTTTTTTTTTGAAAGCTGTGTTTGCTGAGGTAGTTATTTCGTAAAAGAACCTGAGAGACCCCTATGGTATATCATATGAAACTAGATTTAGAAAAAAGGAATCAAAGAATGCATTTTTAGAGTACTAAACAGATAACTGCCAATAATCATGACAATCATGACATATATATATATATATATATATATATATATATATATATATATATATATGTGTGTATGTCATATTGGTTGGTTATTTATAAGGAAAGAAGTCTCTAGTGATTTAGAAACTTTGTTTAGTTTATTTTCATAGGAATCTGATTACACATTATTTCATTGATGTGTATGTTTTTGCAAAAGTGGATGAAGAGACAGTGAGAAGGCCAAACTGCTGAATCCAGGAAGTGTAAAAACATCAGGAGTCTTCATGAGTATAAAGAAAATGATTTTTTAAATTATGACTCTAAGATTAAGTGAACTCACTTCAGATGCATTTAGAATATTTGCGTAAAGGATGATTTGATTTTTGGCTGCTCCAGGAATTACTGGAAGCAGGAAAGAGTGATAGAATTGGGATAAAGCACAGTGACTCATTACTCCTCTTTGTTACTATTGGGCACCAGAGGTATATGTTTTGTTGATATTAGTTATTCAAATGAGATAAACCTGAATATGCATACATTGGCTCTGTTTTTCAAGGAGCTAACTATTGGATAAAATAGCAGTTTAATAAAAATTCTCTAGAGAATAACATGATACTTCAACCAGACTATTTTAGAAGTGAAAATAATGTTGAATTCTTTACTTGACTCCCAAATGGTTATTTTCAATGAATATTGGAGTGATTTCCAGATGTAAAAGCTTATTCGTATCTAATGCTTGTAGCAACTTTATTTTGTATAAGTATGTCAAATTTGGTAATTTATTATACTTTTTGATGAAGTTTATATATTCTACCTTGTTGCCATGAGTGGATGAAGAAACTTTCGGAAGGCTAAACTAGAAGATACAAGAGATGTAGGCACATTATTACACCATATGGGTGTGAGAAATAATGAATATTACATACTAGAATTCACCAAACATATATCCAAGCTGATTAAGTTAGGACACTTCCACTGAAGAGATGTGAAGTGTACATTCAACTAAAGTGTCATTATATTTGTGTACCTTCTCACTGATCGATCAAGTTAAAGAGCATGATGAATGTTTGCAGTAAAATGTTCCAAATCATTCTGATATCTTGTGTGAAAGACATGCAGGTGCATGTATCACCTGCTTTGATGATTCCCAGGTGTATGAGTTGGACTCTGATTTTAGACATATGGAGCAAGTCATATCACATTTGATATTGTCAGTGTGTATTTCTTGAAGCCTGTATTCCTATTTTCTTCAGTGTATTTCCTTCATGTTTAGTCCCAAGAAACAAAGTGTAAAATATCAAAGCCTACAGAAATACAGGCAGGAGGATATAACTTGATGCTAGCATGCTATCTATGCATTAATGTATGGATAACATTATCATGTGTACATATGATTGATTATGTATCCCTTTTGCTTTTCAGTGTCTTCTCAGAAACAACCAGCTGAGAAGGTAATTAAAGTCTCATATGTTGAACTATTAACTGTATAGTCTATGAAACCTACTTCATGTATTGATTATTTTGTTTCAAATCCCATTCAGGCTGCAAGTGACGAGAAAGATTCTGTTTCGAATATAGCCACAGAAATAAAGGAGGGACCAATATCTGGGACAGGTAATTTTGCAAAACACATCTAATGTCATGTTCAATCAAGATAGAAGAGAACTTCCCTTCCCCAAATAAATCAGTGGGGAGTTCATCTAAGCTTCACGTTCTGATTGAGCACGCCTGAGATTCTTCATTTGTAGTGAGTTCTCAGGTGACCCTGATGCTGCTGGTCCTTGGCCGTTATCTGAGTAGTAAGATTATAGACTTCCCTACATTGAAATTGGGAAGAAGAACCATTGGAGAGCAGGTCAACACATACCAGGCTCAGGGAGCAGCATAATTTTGCTTTAATTTTACAGCATGTTTCCATCAAGAGGGGAAAGAGAACGAGATGAAGTAATAGATATTATAGGCATCATATCGTATTGTTTTAAACAGAGGGAAAAGTGATCCTAACAACTCCATAAACACTGTAGAATGAGAGCTAAGAGGACCACTGATGTAGCACTTATTCTCCTCAAGGAAGAGGGATTGTGAGGCAGGAAGGAGGAAAAAGAAGAAGGTATTTATGTAATTTTGGGGTTTCTGCTGAGGAAACCTGAGTGAACTCATTTCAGATGCATTTGGAATATTTGCATAAAAGAAGATTTGATTCTGGCTGCTCCAAGAACTACTGGAAGCAGGAAACAATGCTAGAATTGGGATAAACCACAGTGACTCATTACTCCTCTTTGTTACCATTAGGCATCAGAGATACATGTTTTGTTGACTTTAGTTATAAAAATGAGATAAACTTGAATATGAATACATTGGCTTCCTTGTTCAAGGAGCTAACTCTCAGATAAAATAGCTATTTAATGAAACTTCTTTAGAGAATAACATGATACTCCCAACAAGACTATTTTAGAAACAAAAATGATGTTGAAATCTAATTAACTCCTAAAGTGGTCATTTTCAATGAATATTGGAGTGATTTCTGAACGTAAAACTTATTAATATCTAATGCTTGTAGCAGTTTTACTTTGTAGAAGTTTGTTAACATTGGTAATTGATGATATTTTTATTGAGGCTAATATATTATCGTTTGTTGCCATGAGTGGATGAAGAAACTTTCAGAAGGCTAAACTAGTGGATACAAGAAACTTGGGCAAATTATTACACCACATGGGTGTGAGAAATAATGAATATTATCTACTAGATTTCAGGAAACATATATCCAAGGCGATCAATTTAGGACACTTCCACTGAAGAGACATGAAGCGTACATTTAACTGAATTGTCATTGTAATTGTGTACCTTCTAGTTATTGGGCAAGTTAAAGGGCATGATGAATGTTTGTAGTATAATGGTGTAAATCCTTCTGATTTCTTGCAAGAAAGACATGCGGGATCATGTACCACCTGCTTTGACATTGATTCTCAGGTGTGTGAGTTACTCCTCTGATTTGTCCTCATCACTCAGCATATCCACATTGATATTGACATGGTTTTATTTTAGTTTTAGATGTATCACAAATCATACCACGTTTGAAATTGTAGTGGTATATTTTGTGAAGCCTGTATTCCTTTTTTTTCAGTGTATTTCTGTCGTGTTCCAGTCTCCAGACAAAAGGTAGAAAACATCAAAGCCTACACTAGTACAGGCAGGAAAATACAACTTGATGCTAACACTGCATGAATGTTTGAATAAATTTATCATATGTACATATGAGTGATTATGTATCCCTTTTGCTTTTCAGTGTCTTCTCAGAAACAACCAGCTGAGAAGGTAATTAAAGTCTCATTTATACGTTGAACTAGTAACTGTATAGTCTATGAAACCTACTTTATTTATTGATTATTTTGTTTCAAATCCCATTCAGGCTGCAAGTGACGAGAAAGATTCTGTTTCAAATATAGCCACAGAAATAAAGGATGGACAACAATCTGGGAGACATAATTTTGCAAAGCAGATTTAATGTCATGTTCAGCCAAGATAGACAAGAACTTCTCTTCCCCGAATAAATCAGCGGGGGACTCTTTGAAGCTGCACATTCTGATTCAGCAGGCCTGAGATTCTACATTTGTAGTAAGTTCTCAGGTGACACTGATGCTGCTGGTCTTCGACATGAACTTTGCAGTAAGATTATAGACTTCCATACATTGAAATTGGGAAGAAGAAAGGTTGGAGAGCCATTAAAGACATAAGGAGTCAGGGGACAGCATAATTTTGCTTTAATTCTACAGCATGTTTTCACCAAGGGTGGAAGGAGAAAGAGATGAAGTATAGATTTTACAGACGTCACATCGTATTGCTAAAAACAGATGGAGAAATGATTGTAAAAACCCATAAACGCTGTAGAACGAGAACTAAGGAGACCATTGATGTAGCAATGACTTTCCTCAAGGAAGAGGATTGTCAGGCAGGAAGGAGGGAAAATAAGAAGTTATTTATGTAATTTTGGGATTTCTTCTAAGGAAACCTGAGTTCAGTTGCATATTCGAACATTTTCCTAAAAGAAGGTTTGATTTTGGCTGCTTTAGGAACCAGTGGAAGCAGGAAGGAGTACTAGAACTGGGACAAGCCACAGTGACTCATTACTCCTCTTTGTTACTGTTGGGCATCAGAGATATACATTTTGTTTATATTAGTTATTCAAATGAGATAAACATGAATATGCATATATTGGCTTTGCTTTTCAATTAGCTAACTTTTGGATAAAAATAGCAATTTAATGAAAATGCTTTAGAGAATAACATGATATTTTAAACCAGACTATTTTAGAAAGAAAATAATGGTGAATTCATTAATTGACTTTTAAAATTCTTATTTTCAATGAATATTGGAGTGATTTCCAAATGTAAAAGGTTATTCATATCTAATGCTTGTAGCAACTTTATTTTGTATAAGTATGTCAAATTTAATCATTTATTATACTTTTTGATAAGGTTTATGTATTATACTTTGTTGCCATGAGTGGATGAAGAACCTTTCTGTAGCCTAAACTAGAGGGCACAACAAATGTAGGCACATTATTACACCACATGGGTTTGAGAAATAAAGAATATTATATACAGGATTATCCCAACCTATATCCAAGCTGATGAAGCTGGGACACTTCCACTGAGGACTTGTGAAGTGTACATTCTACTAAAGTGTCATTGTCATTGTGTACCTGCTCAATTACCAGGCAAGTTAAAGAGCATGATGAATACTTGCAGTATAATGGTATAAATCCTTCTGATGTCTTGCATGAAAAACATGCAGTAGCATTTACTACCTTCTTTGACATTGATTCCTGGGTGTATGAGTTGCTCCTCTGATTTTAGATCACATTTCTTTTCATCATTTGGCATATCCACATTGATATTGACGCTTTTTATTTCAGTAATACACACATGACGCATAATACCTCTTTGTAATTTCTGACTGTATATTTTCTGGAAGCCTGTATTCCTATTTTCTTCAGTGTATTTCCTCATGTTCCTGTCCCAAAGACACAAACTATAAAACATCAAATCCTACACTAGTACAGGCAGGAGGTTACAGCTTGATGCTAACACTGCATGAATGTGTGGACGACTTTATCATATTTACATATGATGGATTATATATTTCTTTTGCTTTTCAGTGTCTTCTCAGAAACAATCGGCCTGGAAGGTAGTTACTCTTTCATTTATATTTTGAATTATTTATTGCATAGCATATGAAATATATATTATGTTGACTATTTTGCTTCTCTTTCCATTCAGGTTATATTTAAAAAGAAAGTTTCTCTTTTGAATATTGCCACAAGAATAATGGGTGGTCAGAAATCTGGAACAGGTAATTTGGCAATACACATTTAATGTCATGTGCACTCAAGACAGAAGAGAACGTCCCACCCCTGAATAGATCAGTGGGGTGTCATTGAAAATGCACTTTCTGATTCAGCAGGCCTGAGATTGTGCATTTCTAGTAAGTTCTCAGGTGATGCTGATGCTGTTGGTCCTCGGCCATGATCTTAGTAACAAGCTTATAGACTTCCCTACATTGAATTTGGATAGAAGAACCACTGGAAAACAGTTCAAGACATAAGAGGTTCGGGGGACAGCATAATTTTGCTCTTATTTCAGAGCATGTTTCTATGGAAAGGGGAAGGAGAAAGAGAAAAAAGTAATAGAACTTATAGATGTCAGATGGTACTGCTAAAACCAGAGGGAGGAAGTTGTCATAATAATCCATAAACACTGGAGAATGAGGAGCAAGGTGACCACTGATGTAGTAATTATTTTCATCAAGAAAGAGGGATTGCAAGGCAAGAAAGAGAGGAAGGAAGAAGTTATTTAGGTAATTTTGGGGTTTCTGCTGAGGAAACCTGAGTGAACTCACTTCAGATGCATTTAGAGTATTTGCATACCAGAAGATCTGATTTCTGGCTGCTCCAATGACTACTGGAATCAGGGAGTGCTAGAGTTGGGACAAACCACAGTGCCTCATTATTCATGTTTATTACTATCAGACATCAGACATATATTTTTATTAGTTATTCAAATGAGTTGAAATTTAATATGAATATATTAGCTTTTTTCCAAAATGCTGGCTGTTTTGTTAAAATAGCTATTTAATGAAAATTCTTTATAGTAAAGTGATATTCCAGACAGACAAAAATAATGTTGAATGCATTAATTGAATCCTAAAATGGTTATTTTCAATGAATATTGGACTGATTTCCAAATGTATAAGTTTATTAATATCTAATGCCTGGAGCAATTCCATTTTGTATAAGTATGTATAATTTATTATACTTTGTGATGGGGTTTATATATTATACCTTCTTGCCATTAGTGGATGAAGAAAGTTTCTGAAGGCTAAACTAGAGGATATAAGAAACGTAGGCAGATTATTACACCACATGAGCATGATAAATAATGAATATTGACTACTAGGATTCACCAAACATATATCCAAGCAGATCAATTCAGGACACTTACACTGAAGAGACGTGAAGTGTACATTCAACTGAAGTGTCATTGTAATTGTGTACCTTCTCAGTTATCGAACAAGTTAAAGAGCATGATGAATATTTGTGTTATAATGGTATAAATCCTTCTGATGTCTTGCATGAAAGTCATGCGGTGGCAGTTAGCACCAGCTTTTACACTTATTTCTAGGGTTATGATTTGCTCCTCTGATTTTAGATCTCATTTCTCCTTGTTAATCAGCATATCCACATTGATATTAACACTTTTTTTTAGCAATAGATGTGGTGCATAATCTCACTTTTTAACTTGTAACTGTATGTTTTTTGAAGCCTGTATTCCTGTTTTCTTCATTGCATTTCTATCACGTTACTGTCCCAAAGAAACAAACTAGAAAAACATGAAACCCCACACTAATACAGGCAAGAGTATTCAGTTTGATGCTAACACTCCATGAATGTATGGTTGGCCTTACCATATTTACATATGATTGATTATATATTTCTCTTGCTTGTTAGAGTATCCTGAGAATCTGCCCACCATGAAGGTAATTACTCTTACATTAATATTTTTAATTATTAACTGCATATCCTATACCAATATGCATCATGTGCTAATCATTTTGTTTTAAAACCCATTCAGGCTACAGTTGAAAATAAAGATTCTGTTCTGAATACAGCCACCAAAATGAAGGATGTACAAACATCCACACCAGGTAAACTTTGCATTGTAGATTTAACTCTGGAAAGAAGTACATTAATCTATTTGTAATGCTCATAGTCTTTCTATTCTCAATTATTTCACTTTTTATATTTTATTTCAGGATTTCATCTAAATAATGCAGCTGTTATAATTTTTATTTATGTTTTCAAAAATGAGATTTACATGCATAAGGAAAATATATTTTTAAAACATAAAGTTTTTTCTTTTTTTTTATTTGGAGACAGAGCTTTGCTCTTGTTGCCCAGGCTGGAGTGCAATGGCTCAATTGTAGCTCACCGCAACCTCCGCCTTCCTAGTTCAAGCAATTCTCCTGCCTCAGCCTCCCGAGTAGCTGGGATTACAGGCATGCACCACCATGTCTCGCTAATTTTGTATTTTTAGTAGAGACAGGGTTTCTCCATGTTGGTCAGGCTGGTCTTGAACTCCCGACCTCAGGTGATCCTCCCGCCTCGCCCTCCCAAAGTGCTGGGATTACAGGCGTGAACCACCGTGCCTGGCCTAAAAATATAAGGTTTTATTCAGATGTTTCTACTTTCACATTTTGATACTCTGAAGTTTCCAATTTGGAATTTCAATAGTTTTTAGCGATTTAAAGAGATCAATTTTGATACTGTAAAATATTTGTTTTGCTTTAAAAGTCAGTTCAAATTATGGCTTTTAGCTAATGAAATGTTTTATTTGGTAACATATTTGTTTTGTTTTAACTTTTATTGGTTTTGGTCAATTTTGTTACGCTTATTATATTAAGCCAATCAGATGTTCGGATTAGCACACTCTGTGCCTGTGTGTGTGTTACTTTATTTTTTTGTTTTTAATTTTAATGAGTAAATTGTAGGTGTTTATGTTTATGGAGTAAATAAGATATTTTGATACAGGCATACAATGTGTAATAATGACATCATGGTTAATGGGTTATCCATCACCTCAAGCATTAACCATTTCTTTGTGCTGTCTTTTAATTTGTACTTCCTCAGTAATGCTAAAATGTACAACAAGTTATTGCTGACTGTAGTCATGTTTTTGTGCTATAAAATGCTACATTTTATTCATTGTTTCTAACTGTAGTTTGTACTTACTAAGCATCCTCATTTCCTACCACCCCCACACCCTTCCTAGACTGTGGTAATGGTGATTTTTCTCTTCATCTCCATGAGCTCTATTTTTTAAATTTCTCACACCCACAAAGGACTGACAACATGTGAAGCCTTCCTTTCTTTGCCTGGATTATTTTACTTGACATAATGTCCTCTTGTTCCATCCATGTCATTGCAAATGAGAGGATCTTATTCTTTCATATGGCTGAGCAGTATATGTATCACATTTTTAGAACCCATTTCTCTGTTGATGTACATTTAGGTTGATTCCAAATTATGGCTATTGTGAAAAGTGCTGCAATAAACATGTCCGGGCAGATTTCTCTTTTATAATACTGATTTTCTTGCTGTTGAGTAGTTACCTAGCAATGGGATTGCTGGATCATGTGGGTAGTTGTATTTTTAATTTTTTGAGGACTCTATACTGTTCTCCATAGTGACTGTACTAATTCACAATGCCACCAATGGTGTACGAGGGTTCCGCTTTCTCCACATCCTCACCAGCATTTCTTAATGCCTGCCATTTGGATAAAAGCCATTTTAATTGAGGTGAGAAGATACCTCATTGTAGCTTTGATTTGCATTTCTGTGATGATGAGTGATGTTGAGCACCTTTCCATATACCTGTTTGCCATCTGATAGCAGTTTGAAACATAACAGTGTCATTTTGCTACTATTTCTGAGCATGTTTCTAGCCAGAGGGAAAGGAACACAAATTTAGGAAATAGAAATTATACATGTAAGATACTACTGCTAAATTAAGAGGTTTTCCTCTTTATTTGTGGTGGGAATAATTTATGAGAGCTATATAGAAGTGCTGATATTAGTTAATCAAATGAAATTTATTTGAACTAAGAAACTTTGACTGATTTTACTAAGAAACCTATTTTTTAAATAAGATCACACTTCCATGAAAGTGCCTTAGAGATTAGCATGGTATATCAAATCAAACTAATTTTAGAAACAAAAAGTTGTAGCATTCATTCTTTGAATAACAAAACCAAAATAATCAGTGAACATTGCACTGATTTTGAAGTATAAAATGTTATTAATAAGTCTGTGGAAATTTAATTTTTTCATTTTTGACAATTATTTACACACTGAAAGCTTATTATACACTTTTTTTTTTTTCTGAGATGGAGTCTCACTCTGTCTCCCAGCCTGGAGTGCAATGGCACAATCTCGGCTCACTGCAACCTCCACCTCCCGGGTTAAAGCGATTCTCCTGCCTCAGCCTCCTGAGTAGCTGGGATTATAGGCACATGACATCATGCCCGGCTAATTTTTGTATTTTCAGTAGAGATGGGGTTTCACCATGCTAGTCAGGCTGGTCTCGAACTCCTGACCTTGTGATCCACCTGCTTCAGCTTCCCAAAGTGCTGTGATTACAGGCATGAGCCACCACACCCAGCCTATACACTATTTTTGATGTGGTTTGTATATCTTCTTGCATGAGTGGATTCAGAAACTTCTTGACAGGGCCAAACTGCAGGATACAAGCAATGTAGACATAGCAGTAGCCTACCTAGGAATGAAAAAAATGAATAGTTTTATTAAATTTTATTCTACAACTGTCTATCTAAGCTGATTAATTTTAAACAGTTTCTCTGATGAGAAATAAATTATATATTTATTGGAAGTGTCCTCACAACTTTGTACTTCCTAAATAATAGGAAAAATAGTTGGACATGATAAATGCTTGTAGTATAATGGTGTAATTGGATCTGAAGTATTGCATTAAAGATAGGCCATAGCATCCTCCCATCAGCTTTGACACTTACTCTCTCAGGATCATGATTTGCTATTCTTTATAAGGATCATTTTTCTTATTATCAGTCAACATGTTTACATTGGAATAGACACACTCTTCTATTTTAGTTATAGTTAGTTGAGACATAACCTCACTTCTGAAACCTTAAATACATATTTTATAAAACCTGTATTAAATAAACCCGTTTATCTGAGGAAAGATAGCCAGAATCAAGGAAGACTTCACATAGCTGTCTGAGTCTTAAATTATGAAAGAAATTTGTCAGAATAGTTGAAAATATTTTAGATATAAAGAAGAGACTGCACATTGATGAAAATGTAAACAGTAGCAGTCATTTTGGAAATGATTAATAATGAACAGCAGGCTCAATGTGCTGTTATAAAGGTACTATTGTGAAGTAAAGAACAGTGTGCTGTTACTTTTTCTGTTTCTATTGGATTTTTACATTTTGTTTTATTTCCGATGGTTTTGTTCATTGATGTTGGGTGGATGAATTTATGAGTGAATCTTTGACCATATTTGCATGGCTTGAACCTGGTGACATCTAGTGCCTCCCCAAATGGTTTGCTGAAGTTTTGGAGGATTAAAAGCATTTCTTAAAGAAGTAAATATTATACTAAAGATTAAGCTTCGTTTAAACACTTTTATTTTCTGGTTTTAGAAAGACTATGGCTTTTTTTTTTTTTGAGACGGAGTCTCGCTCTGCCGCCCAGGCTGGAGGTGCAGTGGTGAGATCTCGGCTCACTGCAAGCTCCACCTCCCGGGTTCACACCATTCTCCTGCCTCAGCCTCCCGAGTAGCTGGGACTATAGGCGCCCGCCACCAGGCCCAGCTAATTTTTTGTATTTTTTAGTAGAGACGGGGTTTCACCTTGTTAGCCAGGATGGTCTCGATCTCCTGACCTCGTGATCCGCCCGCCTCGGCCTCTCAAAGTGCTGGGATCACAGGCGTGAGCCACCGCGCCTGGCTGACCATGGCTTTTATCTAACTGTTCTGTGTAGCTCATTTTAACTAAATATATAATTTTTTTTAGAAGAACAAGACTTAGAAATGGCATCAGAGGGAGAGCAAAAGAGGCTTGAAGAATATGAAAATAACCAGCCACAGGTATGTAAAAATTTAAAATCAAATTTCTGGTTTAATCTTGTTTTCCTTGCTTTGGTAATACAGCATATTTGAAATGAATTTACCTTTGGATTAGCCTTTTAGTATCAGTTGATTATAATTTAATATTTCACTTTAAAAACACTTAACTAGTTATAAAACTTAAAATAATGTTGGAATCTATAGCAACTTATATCTAATCTTTACCCTTGGAATTGAGTTAAAAATTTCCTGATATTGTTTGCACTTCTATTTTTATAACTTCCTATTATAATAAAGAAGGTAACATCAAATATTGAATTACAACTTTAAGCAATAGAAATTATGAACAATTTAACAGTGATGACCACCGTATTGGATTCAGATTAAAGGAGTAATTATTGCTAGTGGTTCAAACTTTGCAGTTTTTTTATTGCCAGTCACTAATACCAAGGTTAAGAATTTATTTTCCCTTTTGATCTCTGACTTCAGTTTCTATGTTCAGGGAGAGAATGGGTCATAAAATCAACCCAACTGGCTATCAAGAGAATTATACCTTGCAGAATGGCACCTTTGGTATTAGCGTACAAACAATAACTGCCTAATATACAAAAACTGGAAGCATTCCCTTTGAAAATGGGCACAAGACAGGGATGCCCTCTCTCACCACTCCTATTCAACATGGTGTTGGAAGTTCTGGCCAGGGCAGTTAGGCAGGAGAAGGAAATAAAGGGTATTCAATTAGGAAAAGAGGAAGTCAAATTGTCCCTGTTTGCAGATGACATGATTGTATATCTAGAAAACCCCATTGTCTCAGCCCAAAATCTCCTTAAGCTGATAAGCAACTTCAGCAAAGTCTCAGGATACAAAATCAATGTAAAAAAATCACAAGCATTCTTATACACCAATAACAGACAAACAGAGAGCCAAATCATTAGCGAACTCCCATTCACAATCACTTCAAGGAAAATAAAATACCTAGGAATCCAACTTACAAGGGATGTGAAGGACCTCTTCAAGGAGAACTACAAACCACTGCTCAGTGAAATAAAAGAGGATACAAACAAATGGAAGAACAGTCCATGCTCATGGGTAGGAAGAATCAATATCGTGAAAATGGCCATACTGCCCAAGGTAATTTATAGATTCAATGCCATCCCCATCAAGATACCAATGACTTTCTTCACAGAATTGGAAAAAACTACTTTAAAGTTCATATGGAACCAAAAAAGAGCCTGCATCACCAAGTCAATCCTAAGCCAAAAGAACAAAGCCGGAGGCATCATGCTACCTGACTTCAAACTATACTACAAGGCTACAATAACCAAAACAGCATGGTACTGGTACCAAAACAGAGATATAGATCAATGGAACAGAACAGAGCCCTCAGAAATAATGCCGCATATCTACAACCATCTGATCTTTGGCAAACCTGACAAAAACAAGCAATGGGGAAAGGATTCCTTATTTAATAAATGGTGCTGGGAAAACTGGCTAGCCATATGTAGAAAGCTGAAACTGGATCCCTTCCTTACACCTTATACAAAAATTAATTCAAGATGGATTAAAGACTTAAATGTTAGACCTGAAACTATAAAAACCCTAGAAGAAAACCTAGGCATTACCATTCAGGACATAGGCATGGGCAAGGACTTCATGTCTAAAACACCAAAAGCAATGGCAACAAAAGCCAAAATTGACAAATGGGATCTAATTAAACTAAAGAGCTTCTGCACAACAAAAGAAACTACCATCAGAGTAAACAGGCAACCTACAAAATGGGAGAAAATTTTTGCAACCTACTCATCTGACAAAGGGCTAATATCCAGCATCTACAATGAACTCAAACAAATTTACAAGAAAAAACAAACAACCCCATCAAAAAGTGGGTGAAGGATATGAACAGACACTTCTCAAAAGAAGACATTTATGCAGCCAAAAAACACATGAAAAAATGCTCATCATCACTGGCCATCAGAGAAATGCAAATCAAAACCACAATGAGATACCATCTCACACCAGTTAGAATGGCAATCATTAAAAAGTCAGGAAACAACAGGTGCTGGAGAGGATGTGGAGAAATAGGAACACTTTTACACTGTTGGTGGGACTGTAAACTAGTTCAACCATTGTGGAAGTCAGTGTGGTGATTCCTCAGGGATCTAGAACTAGAAATACCATTTGACCCAGCCATCCCATTACTGGGTATATACCCAAAGTATTATAAATCATGCTGCTATAAAGACACATGCACACGTATGTTTATTGCAGCACAATTCACAATAACAAAGACTTGGAACCAACCCAAATGTCCAACAATGATAGACTGGATTAAGAAAATGTGGCACATATACACCATGGAATACTATGCAACCATAAAAAATGATGAGTTCATGTCCTTTGTAGGGACATGGATGAAACTGGAAACCATCATTCTCAGCAAACTATCGCAAGGACAAAAAACCAAACACCGCATGTTCTCACTCATAGGTGGGAATTGAACAATGAGAACACATGGACACAGGAAGGGAAACATCACACTCCGGGGCCTGTTGTGGGGTTGGGGGAGGGGGGAGGGATAGCATTAGGAGATATACCTAATGCTAAATGACGAGTTAATGGGTGCAGCACACCAACATGGCACATGTATACATATGTAACAAACCTGCACATTGTGCACATGTACCCTAAAACTTAAAGTATAATAATAATAAAAATAACTGCCTAATGTATTTCAATATAGAAAATCCATAAATATTGTTAAATTGATTAAATCCACTGTCATTAGTAGACCTTAGAACTTAAGCCTATAATCTATATAAATATATAACACTGTCAATCATATTACATTATGTAATTTGCATTAAAATGTAAGAATTTGCTTTTCTTACTGACTGGTGTTGATTTTGGCTCCTAATAATTTAAAGTTTGCCTAATCATTAGTTAGTAATCTTTGGAAAAAGCACTCAAGTGTACACTGTACATATAGTGATAAAATCTTTTAAAGTGACAGTGCCTTTATAGTACTACAAGTCATCTCCTAATTCATTTTTGGGAAATTTAACACATAATGAATTAGTCAAGTTTAGTCCAAACAAACAGTGACAAATCAAAGTTTCATGGTTTATGTTTTTCACTTATTTTAGGCTAATGCAAATTATTTTTCACTTCTTAGTTACAATCCAGTGATTTGGGAGTAGGTAAACATAGATTAAGAAGTTTAATATTAAACTTTAATTATTTTTTAATTTTTCTCTTTTGACACTTGATTATTTAAAGATAGTTATTTTTAAAACATGTACTCTGACAGAAAAGACATCTGAGAAACAAAACTAGCAAATTTATCTTCCACTTTTGCATGTGCAAAAATTGTCTCAACAACTAGTAGTGAAAAAGTGTTGTGATAGAAAGGACCTCTTTATATATGCAGGACTTACTTGTGCACAAAAGTATGAGAGAATGTGGATCAAACAAGACAAATTAGGGTAAAAAGAAACTTTAAAATTCATCACAAATAAGTTAAAGCAGAGTTTCGGTGAAATTTGTGAAAATTACAAAACTGCTTGTATTGAGGAAGAGCAACTACATAATAGCTCTACAGGAAGAACAAACTTAAGTAAATACCCTCTAATTTGACAAATGATTCACCTGATTGTCAGGAAAGTGATGCATCTGGCATGTCTGTCTCTGTAGTAGTCCAGATATTTCCTGAACAAAATAACCCAGTCTCAGAAATGCCTTTCTATCTCATTCATACTCTGGGTCCCCAGAATATGCTTGCCAGTCACCTTCTGAGCTTTATTTAAGTAGAAATAAAGTAGACCGTGAAAATGACAACAAACCAGATACTGAACATGTTTTTAACCCAGACAAGGAAAATTTTTGTAATGATACAGAAAGTATGAAAGCAAGAAACCCAGAAGTAGTTATGGTTGAAATAAAAGAAGACCAATAGGTTGTTAGGCAAATGACAAAAAACCAAAACACCACGAATTGGAAATTAAACATAGGACATATGCCTCAATTTAGTGATTCAAAAAACCTTTTAGATATGTGGCTTAACTGCTCCAAAGAAATGAAGCATGTAATTAAAAAAAAAAAAGATTATGGTGTTTCTGTTGTTACAAACACAACAGTACAAAACCAATACAGAATGTGTTCCAGAAGCTGTTATATGACAACTGTAGTGCAAATAAGTATGAAAGCATAAAACATGAATTAGAAAATGTGCATTATTCTCCACCACTTGGTGACAGAACATCAGCAGTATGTCTAGAAGTGGAATTAAGTGATATATGCAAAGATTTAAGAATGAGGTAAGCATATTACAAGTAAAGTAGAGTTCCTGGCTTTGGAGAAAGTTCAACTTCAAAAAGACTTAGACGGTCACTTGCTGCTACTCTGTTTTTTCTCTTCACCCATTATTTGATCCATTTGAATTTTTTACTTATGAAAATCTCTTGTGTAAAATGGGGTTATCTAAATACATAATTGTACGTGTAAATAGATTGTTTTTGCAATTAAAATAATTCAAGCTCAGGAAGACATTCTCTTAATCTTTGTTCCTCAATTAACCCAAGTCTCTCTGTCAGTTTTCTAAATGGCATAGGAACTGGGAAACTAATTTATCCATAGACCATGTGGTCTTCTGAACTAGAGTCAACATAAAGGAAATTGCTTAAAAAAGAAGTACAGAACAAGTACCTGTGTTTGTGCTTGTATAAACAGATGGGTAATTCCCACTTCTGTACATTTAGTGTATGTTATAAATATTTTGGGGACATTTTGAAACAGTGTTATATATTTTGTAGGTGAAAAACCAAATACATTCTAGGGATGACCTTGATGACATAATTCAGTCATCTCAAATAGCCTCAGAGGATGATGACTCGCTTTGCTCTAATTGTAAGAAAGTCATATTACTCATTGATCAACATGAAATGAAGTGCAAAGGTAGGACCAATGCATAAATATAAGGCTTTTTAAAAATCCTATAGCAATGTATGCACACATTGCTTAGCACTGTACCATAGAGTACTGATATGTTACAAGAATGTTCATCTCAGAAATATGCCTTATGTTAAAATAGAATGAAAACAGCTGTATCTTGTACCTTCTCAGCCAAAGAGCTATGATCATTTCACTGTACTTTTCTCAGTGTGAATGGCACGCCCAATGTGTTTGTTTACTCTGCTTCTCTTCTATGCCATTACCCATTTATCCATGGTCAGGTTACCATTTCCTCCCACCTGAAATACTGTGATAACCTTCTAACTGTCTTTCCTACTATTCCACCTTCCAAAACCACGGCCTGTTCTGCAATCGTAATTATATAGTTGTAAACAATCACACCTGATCATGTTACCTGCTTGCTGAAAACCCAGCTGCCATTTATTGCTATAAGGTATGGATCTCAGTCCTCGAGCTTTATATTGCATCATTGCATACCCTTCTCTGTGCCACAGCCAGTGCCTTAGGTGTTTGCTCCTACAATCAGTAGCTTTAGTGTGTATAATTGATATGCGATAAAGTGCACACATGTAAAAGGTACCATTTGATAAGTTTTAACAGATGTATACACATGTGAAACTATTACCACCATCGAGATAGTCAACATGTATCCATCACCCACTAACGTCTCCTCATGGCCCTTTATGTTCCTGTTTTTAAAAGCTGCTAAATGGTTTTCCAAAATATTTGTACTATTTTCTATTCTCATCAGTAGTAAATGACCATTCCAGTTGCTATGTTGTCACACTACTGCTGTATTTATTTTTTTAAATTTTAGTCACTCTGATGGGTGTATTATGTATATTATTATGGGTTTAATGTACACGATCCTAATGACTAAAATGTTGAGCATCTTTCCATGTGTTTATTTGCCATCTGTACATCTTCTTTGTTGAACTGTCTTTTCAAATCTTTTGCCATTTAAAAAAGTAGGTTGATGTTTTCTTACTTGTTGAGTTTTAATAATTCTGTATGTATTTGGATACTATTACTTTTTAGCTACTTTTTTACAAGGGCATTTTCTCCAGTTTTTGGGTTGACTTTTCACTTGCTTTGTAGTATCTTTTGAAGAGCAGAAGATTTTAATCGTAATGAAGTCCAATTTAATTGTTGAATTACAGATTATGCATTTTGTGTCATATGTAAAAAATGTTTGCTTAGCACAAGGTCACAAAGATTTTTCCTATGTTTGTTCTAGAAATTTTACAGATTTGGATCTTACATTTAAATCTGTGCTCCATTTTGAGTTTCCTTTTGTATATGGAGTGAGGTGAGGTATGGATTCATGTTCACTTTTTGGATATGGACAGCCAATTGTTCCAGCACCACATGTTGAAAAGGCTGTCCTTTCTCCACTGCATTGCCATCCTGCCTTTGTCAGTCATAGGCTGGTTGCATATGTGTTATCTATTTCTGGACTGTCTATTGAATTTTATTAATTTGCAGATGCTCCCCAAATTGTGGGAAAGCCAGTGTTTGAGTCAAAAGCAATTTAATACTTCAGTAAACCCACTGTAAAGTCAATAAGTCAAACCACCTTAAGTTGGGGATTGTCTGTATTTGACTTTCTTTATACAGGTTGAGCATTGCTAATTTAAATATCCCAAATCTGAAATGCTCTAAAACCCCAAACTTTTTGATTGCCAACATAGACACCACAGTGTAAAAATTCTATATCCGACCTCGTGTATACAAACATTGTTTCATGCCCCAAATTATTAAAAGTATTGTTTAAAATTACCTTCAGTCTTTGTGTATAAGGTAAATATGAAAAATAAATGTATTTTGTGTTTAGACTTGGGTCCTATCCCCAAGATATCTCATCATGTATATGCAAATATTCCAAAATCCAAAATCTGAAAAACTTCTAGTCTGAAGCATTTTGAATAAGGGATACTCAGCCTGTACCTATGGCACACTGTTTTGGTAACTATTGAATTATAGTAATTCTTGAAATGAATCCTCCAACTTTGTTCTTTGTTCTGTTTTGACTATGCTAGATCCTTTGCATTTTCACATGAACTTTAGAATCAGCTTATCAATAAAATAAAGACTGCTTGCTTGTTAGAAATTAAGTTGGGATTGTGTCATATTTATAGATTAATTTGGGGAGAATTGACATCTTAACAATAGTAAATCTACTCCTCAATAAAATATATGTCTGCTTTTGTAGAGGTAATATTTAATTTTTCTCAGTAGTATTTTGTAGTTTTTCGTTTATAGGTCTTTTCATATTTTATCAGATTTATCTGTATTTCATTTTTGATGAAGTTGTAAATGATAGTTTAGTTACTGTAGATGAATTTGACTTTCTTTATACAGGTTGAGCATTGCTAATCCAAATACACATGTTTATAAAACTATAGAAAATGATAGTTTTAAAATTTTCATTTGATTGTTTATTGCTAGCCTATAGAAATACAGTTAATTTTTCTATATTGAATTTGGATCCTTCAATCTTGTTAAACTCACTTGTTAGTTCTGGCACATTGTTGGTAGATTTGATCAGATTTTCTTCATAGACCAAAGGTTGTTAAACCTTTCTTTCTCAAACTACCCTCTTACTAAGGATAGTGAATATTTTAGACTTGTGGCAAAAGGGTCTCTTTTGCAGCTGATAAACTCTGCCATTTTAGGATGAGAGCAGCCATAGATCATCCATAAATTAATGAACACAGCTGTGTTCCAATAAAAGCTTATCAGACAAGAAGCTGGCCCACAGGTTGGGGTTTACCCATACCTATTGTATGGTCATGGTTGTGTATAAAGACAATTTTATTTCTTTTTTTAAACTTGGATGCCTCTTATTTCTTTTTCTTGCCTGACTGCATTAACTAGAATCTTCAGAACAATGCTACAAACAAGTAGTGAAAGCAGACATTCCCATGTTCTTCCTCATCTTATGGGAAATGCATTCAGTTTTTCACTATGATGCACGTTAGCTGTAGATTCATCATAGACATTGTTTATCATGCTGAAGAACTTCCCTTGGATTCTTATGTTGCTGAGAGTATTTCTTCTTTGAAACATCAGGAGTAAATTTTATCAGGTGCCTGTATCTGTTGGGATGATCCTATGGGTCTTCTCTTTTAGTTCGTTTTATGGTAAATAATGATGATGTTTCAATGTTAAGCCAACCTTCCATTTCTGGAATAAACCCCATTTGTTTATGATGTATTACCTTTTTATTATACCATTGGATACAATTTACTAAAGTTTCATTTAGAATTTATTATAAAGACTTTTATTTTTTAGACCAGTTTTATGTTCCTGTCAAAATTGAGAGGGAGGTTCAGATATTTTTTTGTATACCCCCAACCCAATACATGTTTAGCCTCCTTCATTACCAGTGTCCTTCACCATAGTGGTAGTTGCTATGATAGATGAGCCTAAATTGACACATCACAATCACCCAAAGCCCATAATTTGCATTGGGGTTCACTCTTGGTACTGTACATGTATGGATTTGGACAAATGTACAATGATGTGTATCCATGTTATATAAATTATTTTGACTTCCCTAAAAATCCTCTGTGCTCTGCCTATGTATCTTTTCCTGCTGTCTCTTAAAAGGAAAGATTTTGTCAACTAAAAAAACAAAATATGTTGCTTCAACAGCAACTGGATGATGCTCGCAACAAAGCTGACAATCAAGAAAAGGCAATACTTAATATTCAAGCCAGATGTGATGCTAGAGTACAAAACCTTCAAGCTGAGTGCAGAAAGCGCCGTCTTTTACTAGAAGACAGTAAAAGGTTGGTAAATGAATTGAATCATTTGAAAGAAAAAGAACGCCAATATGAAAAAAAGCAAGCAGAAAGAGAAGTAAGTATCAAGAAAAATAAGTATTTTTCAAACTTCCTGAAGTAAAATTTAAAGTAATATTTGGTTACAGCTGAATGTTGGATCTAGTTGAATATAAAAAAGATACATATGATAAATATATCTGCTATATCAGCTTAGAAACATTCCTTTTTTCCAGCAAGTCAAAGTTAGAACTGAGAGATGCTTTCCTCTGATTAAAGTCAATGTGTCACTTATAAAATTTTAAGTTATAAAATGTTAATATAGACTAATATTAATAATGTAGTCTTATACTGCTGAAATAATAATTTTAATGTATTTATGTTGCAACATTTTAAGACCATGATAAATCAGATATATGGAAATGCTCATACCTAAAATGGTATTTTGAAATTGATTCAATTAAATGGGGTACTTTGACAGTTAATTTCAGATTTCCTAGATGAACTGAAGTGTATTCCCTATTTCATAATTACTTTTCTTCAGTAGCTTGAAATATGTCTTTGTTGGTAAAATTTTGTTTTTCTTCATGTCAATTTGACTTAAATCTGAAACTATTTCAATCTCAAATTATGTAGAGATATGATCATTCTATTCTTTAAAGGCGTCTAATTTTACTTATATTATAATATGGGGAAAATGCAGTAAATTTTAGCCAAATCATGTTTGATTTTATCTTCCCACTGGCATTTATAATTTACTTTCAGTTTTTAAACAAAGAATTTGCTCATAATTTTTATTTCAAGGCTCAATTACTATCATTTGGATATAACTTTGTCCAGGACAAAGAGAGGCATAGCTATCTGTGATTTATTAGTTTGACACTGGATCCCCGTTTTCAGACTAAGGAGGATTTCAGACTAATGAGGAGTGGCAGGATTCACGCAGAGTAGGAATGGAGTGAGTCAGGGAGGAGAGATACAGCAGCTGAGTCAGGGCAGGAGGTGGAGGGCAGGTTACTTAGAGCATCTAAGGCCACTGGAGTTTTACTTTTCTTCTGAGATAGACATCTATTGGAAGGATTTAAGCAGATGATTTAATGTGAGGAACTCTGAGGTTGATTTGAGTTTGTAATAAAAAAAAGAGGGAAATCATTCCACAATGTAGAATTTACCACCATCAGTCTCACCCACATACTCATTTCTTTTTGAGACTTCAGAAGGTTTTTAAGCATTGCAGATTCATCAGGGGAGGAATGACTAGTGGGCTGAATATGCTATGTGAATAACAATACCAGTTTGGCAGGAAGATAACACCTTCTGTATCCTTAACTGGATTCAGTAATGAACAGGGACGTGTACACATGAGGAAAAGAAGGTGAATCGGTCTGTGTGGTGGTATTTTTCAAAGTGTATGCTTTAGAGTTAAATATTATTAATGGTTTAATAATAAGGTGATTTGTAAAATCAGTAACAAAAATAACATCAGGTAGCTGTGAGACAGCTTTAACAAAAATGAGATGATGTCTTAAACAAACAATCAGCAACAAAAGCTTTGCTGGATGCTTCATCGCGTCACTGCATCTATTTAGAAAATGAGATGCAGGATTCAAGGAAGAAATTAGACCAGATGAGAAGTCAAGTATGTATGCAACTTTGCACGCCAACAACTGTTAATCTGTAGCTGGTTAACTAATATAAAGTGTTTTGGGGTACTAATTTTAGTGGATGGCTTTCTTTTGTATTTTTATTATAATTAATTTTATTAAAATTTTATAGTGGATGGCTTTCTTTTGTATTTTCCTTATTATTAATTTTATTACAATTTTATTATAATGCCACCTATACCTTAATCTCTGGCTTTCATTCTGCCGTTTTTTATACATATGTTTTTTTCTTAAATATTTAACCTTAGGAAAGTTGAGAATTATGCATCATTTCTCACATAAGTTGAGAGAGTTTTTTTTCCTGTTAAACAGTCTATTTTTAATGATTTCTCTATTGGCATGGTGAGGCAAGCCAGATTAATTCAGAGGATAATGTCTAATGGAATGTTTCAGAAAATTATCTTATTTTTAGTCTCTACTTTTCTGAATGTATAAAGAACGTGTGTATACTTATTTCATAGATTTCAGGTTAACTTGTTCAGAAAGGCCATTTTACTGAATAAATTTTTATTTCGATGAAAATCCTTACTCTCTTTGTATTGGGCTCAGAGAGCACACTCTGTCTCTATATGAATATGGACAGTTAGCATTTGCCAACATGTATCTATTTTCTCTTATTTATAGAAAAAGCTAAACTAAAATGGGGGTTATAGAAGGTCAGCAAAGGATGGGTTTGAGATGTTTGGGTTGGTTGAGTGGGCATTTAGACAACAAGCCTTCTCCTTTGGCGTGTTTAATGGACATCTTTGCAGTTTAAGATGATGCTTTTAAATTACTTCTCTCCTAATGATGACTTGAGTCCTGCTATTCAATGGGAGAGTCAATAAGATCCTGTAGGATCTTATTTGGAACTGACTTTGTCGATTTTAATTTTGTTCCTGCTTGTTTTTAAATTTTCTTGTTGTTTCCCTAGAAAGGAAAGATGACGCTTGGTTTTAAATATTTAAAAATGTGCAAGTTGCTTTGCTATAATAAAACTAAATGCATACATACAAAAAATAACATTATAGTTGATGTGGTAGTGTTTGGAATTCAAAATATAAATGCTTAGCATGAGGTAATCCTTTATCTTTCCACATTTTACCAGTTTGTAAGTTTGAGTATGTAACTGATAAAATGTAATTCAAAAGCAAGAAGAATGTTGTGTTTCAGTCCTAGAGCAGGGGTCAGTGAACTTTCTGTAAAGGGCCAGATAGTATTATTTAAGGCTTTGTGAACCATAAGATCCTTGTTGCAATAACTCAGCCCTGTAGTTATAGCACAAAAGTAGCCATTAACGATATGCAGATTGAAGGGGTGTAGCAGTGTCCCACTAAAATTAATTACAAAAAACAGGTAATGGGATGATTTCTCCTACATTATGACCTTTTTTAAATAAAAAAGATTGTGATAGTCTAAAATATTTTATATATATTTTGTTGATTCATTCATCTACTGATGGACATTTAGGTCATTTCTAAATGTAATTTTTTTTAATTCTTTGTTTTAGCTTCAAGAAACACAGGATCAACTTACAGCTACTATAAGATGTACTAAGGGGATGGAAGGCGACGCACAAAAGTAAAATTTGAAGCAGCGCACAAAATAACTTGAGTATTTATAAAGCAAAAGAGCACTGTAGTATGAAAATTGTATCAGTTATGATAATAAGTATGTCTTTGTGAAGCCAAAAAAGTTTCATTTGTAAGCTGTATTGAAATACATCATTTTTCTACATTATTCCTAAATTTTGCATATTATCGACAAAACACAGTTAGAAAAATGACACAGTAGCCCAATCATCTACTTTTGTGATCGCTAAGAATTTGTGTAATTATACCTTCAGAAGTTTGTTTAGAATTTACATGATAAAAAAAATTATGTGTGAGAGTAATTATTTTAAAATGCACATTTTAGGCTTGAAGTAGAAAATGCCATGATGAGAAAAACTATTAAAAAACAGGATGACCAAATTGAGCGACTTGAGAAAATCCTGCAGCGTTCAAGTTTGGTAAGCTGATCTCTTAATTTCTGTCATACTGAAAAGGAATTTTATTTTTCCAGTAGGATGGGTTAAATATCCCTTGTCCAAAATGCTTGGGACCAAAAGTAGATTTTTTTCAGATTTTGGAATATTTGTATATACCTAATGAAATATCTTGGGGAAGGTACCTGAGTCTAAACATGAAATTCATTTATGTTTCATATATACCTTATGCACATAGCCTGAAGGTAATTCTCTACAATGTTTTACAGTAATTTTTTGCAGGTAACAAAGTTTTTACTATTTTCACCAGAGCCTGTCACATGAGGTCAGGTGTGGAACGTTGCAGCTGTGGTGTCATGTCCGTGCTCAAAAAGTTTCAGATTGTAGAGCATTTTGGATTTCAGATTTTTAGATTAGGGATGATCAATCTACAATACAGATGCTCCTTGACTTACAGTGGGTTTACATGATAATGTCTCTTGTTTGACTGAAACATTATAAGTAATATTTGCTTTATTTCAGATGCCACAGGTGTTCAAGAGCTAGATGAAGGTATGTTGCCAAAATTTATGAATTAAATTCAAATCATTGATTTCTGAAATAAACTCTAAGTAGTGAACGGTATTCCTCTCAATTGTTTGGTTAATAAATGCTACATTAAATATTTTTTCTTACACACATCTAGTGAAAGATGTGAAAACATAAACATTCATAGTGAAGAGTATACTTATGCTTTGTTAATTCTTCATGTTCCATAGCTTTAAAAAAATTGCAAGAAGTCTGTGTATCCCTTTTTTTCTGGCCCTACACTTTTCTTCTGCCACCCCTATAGAACTGTCAGCCTGCACACTGAAACTGTTCTCAGAAAACAAAGGCATCATCAACTTCTCAAGGTTAAGGTAGTGATTTAAGGCTAACAGACCCCACACTCATGTGATAATAATTAGTTAAGCAATTACAGGTCACAAGCAGTCACTTGTCCAGTGACATTTTAAATCTCTAGTCATGACTTTGTCATTGGTTTACTTTTGCCCCTGGGAAAAGTTGAAAATTCCTTAGCATGGAATCAAAACTCTCACATCAGTGTGGTTCTTGTCAGGTTATTCAGCCTTCTCTTTCGCCACTTACCATACTCTGCACCTTTGTTCTATCATCCAGCCAAACTAGACTACATGGAGCTCCACAGTGATCGTCTTCACCTCCAGCTCTTTGCATTTACTTCTTCCCTCTATCCTACATGTGTTTTCCTTCCCTTTCAGATATCAACCTATGAATTGCCTCTACCAAAAAGCCTACAATATTGACACAAACCTGGGCTAGTATCCCTTCTATGTCTTCTAATAAGTGCTGTCTTATGCCTGTCACTGTATGTATGACTCTGTATGGGAATTGCCTGTTTGTTTTTTCAGATTATAGCAAACAGTTGTTGAGGGGTGGACCATATCATCTTTATCTTGTAATTCCAGTGCTTGTCCTAGTACCTTAGCACATGGTTGCTGAATACATGAATGAAGAGTGAGAAACCAGAAGCTCTGATATTTAACTGCCGTGATAATGAATTCAATGTGCAACTATGGGCAAATTGTATTTAATAGTAATTGCATATTGTACATATTTTTCATTCTTATTAACACTGATAAACTTTTCAACTTATACTGACTTTAATAAAATTGTATTACTAGGCTATTAACATGATATTTTGTTTCCCATTAAATGTGACATGCAAAGACGTTTATTAAATGAAAATATTTTTGTATCTTTTATGTCTGATGAAAATTTATATTGTGTTTTAAATGATGTTTCTTGGCCTCTTTAACTTTTTATTTTTTTATTATTATTTTTTTTGAGACAGAGTCTGGCTCTGTCGCCCAGGCTGGTGTGCAGTGGCACGATCTGGGCTCACTGCAAGCTCTGCCTTCTGGGTTCACACGGTTCTTCTGCCTCAGCCCCCCGAGCAGCTGTGACTACAGGTGCCTAGCTAGTTTTTTTGTATTTTTAGTAGAGATGGGGTTTCTCCATGTTAGCCAGGATGGTCTCCATCTCCTGACCTTGTGATCTGCCCACCTCGGCCACCCAAAGTGCTGAGATTACAGGCGTGAGCCACTGCGCCGAGCCTGAAAATCTTATTACCTAAATAACTTCCCACTCCACTCACACCCACAATCTTTCTACAATCCACATTCTCTCCTGAGACAAGAGCTTGGGAAGTTCCGTCTTCTCTGCAGGCCTGAGGGAGGACCAGGCTTTGGAGGGAAGGCCCTGGTGGGCCTTTGGAGGAAGTGGAAGGTGGGAAAGCGCACTTCTACCAGGCTGCAGTGCATTTGGCTGCATGTATCGTGAGCTGAGCATAGTGGGGAATGGATTTTGTCATCTTGGACTTCTTATGAAGTTCAAGCAAAGAGGTGGCTGGTGTTGGTCGAACAGCTGTTGGCATCTGGGCTTCTATTTTTGCCATCTCTTTGGCCATGAAGTCCTTGTCCAAGGCAGGAAGAGGAGGTGGCAGTGTAGTGGATGTGGTGGCACCCTGCCCAGGTTACCTGTTCAAGCCAAGGCATTCCCTACAGCTGCTGGGGAGAGCAGCTGCTACAGATGCCTTCACCCCTGCCTGGGAACTACCGGCTGACATGAGAGACGAAGGCTCTGCCCACTTGACTCAAGGCAGGGCAGCTGCAGGGCCAACCAGCTCCAGAGCTCCCTGCAGTGTCAGCCACAGCCTCAGTTGCAACCTCATTGTCAGCCAGCTTTTCCCACTGCCCCATCCTGCCTCCCTCATCTGTCCCAGGTGCATCTCCTGAAAGCCTCCAGAGTAAACCTCCTGTATGCACAGGGCTCTCTGTCTCAGAGTCTGTCCCCGGAAAGTCAGTCTAAGACAGCCAGCTGTATCTGACAACCATATCAGGAAAGCAACCCTAGCCCTGGAGCAGACCTTGGCTTTCTCTCAGTGGCCAGAATTGAGCCCTGGCTGCCAGGGAGCCCAAGCATAGTACAATCTCAGGTGTGTGCTAGCAACGGAGAAGGCAGGAATGGGTGTCCAGGGCACTGACTGTCACAGAAGTTTCAGACACTTAAAACCACACATTTAATTTATCAAATCACCTGAGAAGACAGAATGCCCCGGGACAGTTAATGTTCCTGGGATGATGTTTTGCATGTTCTGATAAACTGGGTCTCTCCTTTGAAAATGTCTTATGGCTAAAGGCTGAGATGAGGAAGAAAAGGTGGAGAAATACAGAGGTTGGCATTTAAGAAGCCTTGATCTAAGTGTTGATTGCAATGTGTTCTGGATGTGAAATCTAGGCTTTTCCTCATCTGTCAGATGAGGACGTGATGCCTCTGAGGAGTGGCTGTGACCCAACAAGGGAGGCAGCATTGTCATTGTGCTAAGCAGGGCTCAGGATGGCCAGGCAGGAATGAGGCTGGGAAGAGAGGACTGGGGAGCAGGGTGGAGTTCCTCGGGGCCTGTGGCAGGCAAGGCAGGGCAGGGAGGAGACAAGGCAGGGCAGGGAGGAGACAAGCCAGAGATACTCCACCTGGCTAGAATCTCCCACAGGCGTGGCCCAAGGCACAGAAACTGGGGTGGAATGAGGGTGGACTCTGGTCAGTGGGACTCAGTAAGGTGGGTTGGAACCAGTGAGCTGGATGTGTGGCCCTTCAGGGGATGGAGATCCTAGATGTGGACTCAGAAATCAGTGTGTTTCCTGGACCCTCCTGACAAGTAAGTTAGAACAGAAGAGGCATCTATGTGGGGCCTTGACTCACCCCAGGTATTTTGCCACTAGTTTCAACATTCCTTCTCTGAGAACACAAACATACATGGGAGATAGAGGTGTTTACAATCCTATTTCCTACCTATACACAAAGCCCTGGGCCACTGAATCAGTAAAATTTATGGTGATTAAGCCTCTGCACAGGGGTGGTCCAGTATCACCATGGAAACATCACACCCTTCTCCCAGCCCAGGAAGTGATGGAGGGTGATGGGTAGGCACAGTGTCAGGAATCAGGCTTAGACAGAGGCACGTGCAGCACTGGAGATGACTGATGGAGGGAGAGAGAGGCTCTGGAGCAAGGGAGCTTATCACCTGCTGGTGTCCCAAGGAGGACCAGATCCAACTGAGTGAATCTAGCAGCACAAATTGGGATCTGAGCTCTGCAGATGTGGGGGAGGAACTGGTAATGCTCCCTCATAGTCCCTCCCTTTGAACAGGAGCTGGCCTTTGACTCTCAAGTCCAGCATCTAGTTATTACTGAGATGTGCTTCCCTGAAGATTCCTTCTGGGGTGGGAAGTAGGGCTGCCAGTTTCTCTGCGGCAAACCCCAGAGATTAGGATGTTGTTTGTTTTTCAAATTTTAACATTTTATTGTGCTTTTTCCTCTATCTTTTAAAGATCAGAGCCCAGTTATTGGCCAAAGCAGAGCCTCTGGCTGTCCTGGACAAAGCTGCCAGTCAGAGCTGCTTGCTCAGTGTGGGGCATCTGGTGTGACTGGTGGGACCCTGTGTTTCAAGGTACTGCGCCCCAGCGCCCAGCACATGCTGGGGCCTCAGGAGATGGTTGTAGGATATCTGGGTCTAAGTTTCCCCCAAAGCCAACCCTGAGATAAGACTTGGGTGCAGGATCCTGGGAAGCCCAGGGGAAACCACAGGTGCAGCGCCTGGAAAAGAGAAAGCCTGTGAAGTTTACGCCAGAGCCCACTCCAGCTGGGGCCTCTGATGAGCCTGTGGAGAGCCTCGGGGTGTTCCCTTCAGAAGACGAGAGCCTGGGGAGACCCCTACACTGAGAGGAGGGCTGCCCCTCAAGGCAGAAAGGTAGTAGCACTGCAACAGCTGCAGGTGCACTCTGGGGGCCCAGGCTGAGCCTCTAGTGTCTGTACAGGGGATGGTAGGCCAGTGTTTGTTGAGACTTGGACAAGTCTTGCAATGTGGCAGGAGATGATGGCCAATGTGCAGCAGAGAGCCATGCAGGGGTCAGCTCTCCTCCTACTGAGCCCTCTTCACCTCTCCCAGCCCCTACTGGTGCACTCCCATTTTTGCCTAAGCTGTGTGAGTTTGGTTTCTGGAACTTGCACCCAAACTGTCCTTACTGAAGTGGAAATGACATTATAAACCCAAAGCCTTGGAGACAAATGTGACCTCCCTTCACTCTTGCTCTAGAAGCAAGGCTGGGTGGGCTGAGCTCCCATGCTCAAAACTTGTGTTGTGAAATGCTCCAAGGGGTGCTTTTTGTGAAATTACTGACAGCACCTAGGACCTGATGGCCAGTTCCAGATGCTAACAAGATGAAGTCGACCAACTGCTCCTTTTTACCACACAAACAACTTTTATTTGCATGTGGCTACTTAGTAAATATTAAACAGTGATCATCCTAGACAGCTGCCCGGCAACAAAAGGGAGACACATGGTGGCTTTTCAAGGTATCAGGTTGCAAAAAAAAAGTATTAGAGTGATAGAAAGTGAGCAGTGAGCAGTAATGAAGCCAGAATTTTCTTTCCCAGGACTCCTGTAGTTCTGTCCCTGCCCCTGCAAACCCCAGGAGGAGAAAAAGGTTGATACTAAACTGTAAGCACTCGAATCAGTTAAGAAGCCCCTTTCTCATAATTTATTTCATTCCAAATGACAGAAGGCAAGTGCAGTTACAGGGCTGTGCCCTACTCATCTGGGTCAGCAGAAGAGCACAGCTTTCTTTAGAAAAACATTTACTTTAAAACCAAGCACCTTGATTTGATATTTTAGTGTGCACAACTTTGCCCGTTGAGCCCTGGCCCAACCCGGTGGGCACCACCATTCTGCCAGGCCTCGAAGGGCCACAGGGTGCTTAAGAGAATGTGAGGGGGTGAGTGCAGGTGGAGGAGCGCGGTCCCCGGGACATGGTTCCTTCACTCCTCGCTGAGATGATGCGGCAGCCTTTTCTTCCAATCCAGTTGTGGCAGGAGAATCCTTGGATGTAATGTTTTCACCTTCTTCCCTGAGGGTCTTTTCTGAGGAACCAGGCATTTTCTTGTCCTTAAGAGGTGGGGTCTTGGAGTCCTGACCCAGGCGTCCGGCAGCTGCACAGTTTCTGAGATGTCAGACTCATGGAGGAGCAGGCTATGCCCTTCCCTCCCCATTCCCCACCCCTCAAGCCCCAGGTCTTACTGTATAATGATTTATTTTCCACACAAATCTACCCTCAAAATTGGCTTCATGCAGATTTTCCTTGGATCCCAATGCTGGAGAGGAAAGGGGAGGGGAAGTGGGAGGGTGGTGGGCAGGGTGGCTTGACCCTGCCAGCCTCCCCGGGAACTCAGGACCATGGCTCCCCAGCACAGGCTGAACAAGTACCAGGAGCAAGGTCTGTGGATCTGCATTAGATCTGAAGGCCTTGGTGGCACTTCTTCAATTTTAAGATAATCAGGCTGAGTATTCCCCTGAACCTACTCTAGGGAAGCCCACAGCTGAGGCAAAATCCCCAAACAGGCTTGACAGTGGAGCTGGGATTCTCAACAGTGAGGGCTTTCATGTGAGTTTGCTAGAAGAGGAAGTTCACGGTCAGATAATTCCAAGAGACAGTTACTTTCCCAGGAAAAGGAAAATAAAGGCTTCCTCCTATTCAGTAGAGTGAATTTAAATGTCCAAAGTGTGGTGTCATCGCTTAGTCTGCAAGGAAGCTCTGTTAATCCTGTGGATGTTTTAGTGGATCTTCTGTTTATCATCCAGATGGCAAGCATTGGAAGCTGCTTTCGGGGAGAAATAATCAGGGCTTTCAAAGAGTATTTCCCCCTTGGCCTGGTGCCTGTGCATCAGTGGTAATAGATGCTGAAGGCATGGAGAATGTAGAGCAGCATGGTGACGAAGGCGAAGAACTAGAAGGAGGTGGAGAGTGACTGTTAGAGACAGCAGTGCCAGCTCCTGCCCACCCCCAGGGACCCTCAGCCCCGCTGCCCAGGAGCCCATGCATGACCCTGCCTCCTAGCCTCCTGCCTGGCCTGAGGGGAGCAACCCCTGGCCGACGACTCCCTCTCCTGGAAACTCTCCATCAGGGTGTCCCTGGGGCTATCCTGGTGTCCTGCCCTGACTGCAGTCTCCGTCTCATCTGCACCTGGCTGTGAAGCAGGCTTGCCTCCACCCCGGCCCTGGGTCCATGTCCCACGCTGACCTCCTGCCCAAGGCCCACTCTCCTCTGCCCACCTCCAGAAAACCCATGCTCTGACTGCCCCTACAGCTCCACTCACTGGCCCAGAACTCTGCTCTGAGCAGCTCCTCAGCTCTTTGTGAATGTTCAGAACTCCTCCAGCTCTTCCTGGCTCACACTGAGCCTCTGATGTTTCTTCACAAGCCTCACAAGCCCAGTGGGCCCCAGGTTCCTCTTCTTGCCCTGCTCTCTGAGCCTGATGCCTGTGGCCCCTGACTCCTCCTGCCTCCCTTGCCAGCCATGTGCAAAGCCACCCCAAAGGCTACTGATTTCCCTGCCTAGCTCATGGGACATGAATTTCTCCCTTGTTTCAGCCACCGGCATCCCAGGCCAGGACTCCTCATGGCCTCACTTTTCCACTTATGCCTGCCCTGCCCCTCGAATCTGCTCCACGATTTGGGCAGGACAGGCAGAAGTGGATAAGTGAGGACACTTCTCACTCATGGGGAGAACACGACTGTGTTGCCCCATGTTGAAGCTGTGTGATGGCTCTGCTCTTTTCTCAGGGTAGGGGCCGTCACCTTCAACACCTTTCGGGTCCTGCCAACCATCCCAGCCCCACTCTGCCCCACTGTCCACTCACATGCTCCTCATTCATTCAGTCAGTCAACAAATATCTTTTAAGCACCTGCTTTCCTTCAAGAACAACTGTGGGTATAACAGTGAAGAAAATATTCAAAAATTCCTGCCCTCATGGAGCTTACATTTGAGAGATAAGAAGCAGATGGCAGCAAGATAATAAGTAGCACATTCGTGGGTTAAATGGAGTTAAATGCCTGGGAGAAAATGAAGCAGGGAAGCGAAAAGCGGAATGCCAAGGTCTCAGGGGAGGGGCCATCAGGGAAGGCCCTGTCAAGATGACAGAAGGAGGCAGGAGTCACCAGGCAGTTACCCCTGCCAAGGTCCCATGCGAGTGCATGTCTGTGTGCCCATGGGCAGTGAGGAGGGTGGTGTAGCTGGGGCAGCTGACCATGGGTGAACAGCAGGGGGCCTTGCTGGGGACAGGCTGGCTCATGGAGGGCCCCAGGGGTCACTTCTGGACTTGCAAGTTTAGGTAGTTAAACTCACCTGATGAGGGGGGAAGGGAGGCAGACAGGCTGGAAGGCAGCTGAGATATTTTGTGGCCACCCCACAGGGTCACAGTGCTCCCTGGAACCCCATACTTACTCTGAAGACAGCACCCCACCATGTACCCCTTCCTTCTGCCATGGCCACATGAGCCTGCAAGAGCTGCCAGGCTGACATGGGGCTTTCTGGCCACAGTGACTGATCCAGGGATGGGAAGAGATGTAGCCTTGGCGTTGGAAGTTTTCAAGGTAGGATTCAGGAAGGTTAGGCCACTCTGCTATGGTTTGGCTCTGTGTCCCCACCCAAATCTCATCCTGTAGCTCCCATAATTCCCATGTGTTGTGGGAGGGACCCAGTGGCAGATGATTGAATCATGGGAGTGGGTCTTTCCCGTGCTGTTCTTGTGATAGTGAATGGGTCTCATGAGATCTGATAGTTTTAAAAACGAGAGTGTCTCTGCATAAGCTCTCTTTTTGCCTGCTGCCATGCATGTAAGATGTGACTTGCTCCTCCTTGCCTTCTGCCATGATTGTGAGGCCTCCCCAGCCATGTGGAACTGTGAGTCCAATAAACCTCTTTCTTTTGTAAATTGCACAGTCTTGGGTATGTCTGCATGCACAGTATTGGCAGCGTGAAAATGGACTTCAAAGGAGGAATGTGTCACTATGAGCTCTCTGCCATGTGAGGGCGCCATCCCACAAGGGAAGGAGAGGAGAGCTGGCTGGTAAGTGGCAGACTCAGGAGGCCCCAGGGGACCTGAAGCCTGGGGGCCCTGCTCTCTCCACCCTGTGGCTGGACCACCTCGCCGTGGTCCCACAACCAGTACATTACCCCTGTAGGGTTCTGTGATTGACACAAAGGACACTGGAATAGTTCAGTCATGCTGAAGGATGTGGGCCCCATTCCAAAGGCAGTAGGAGCCATTGAAGGATTTTCAGTAGAAGAGAGACACCTGTTCCAATTTGTGTTTTGGAAAAAATTCTGCAGACAATGTGGGGGTGTCTAAGAGAGAGGAAAACTGGGGTGGGAATGATAGAAGGTAAAAGAAGACCCCTGAATGTGGGTACACATGTTTACAGGGACAAGCATCCCTCTCCCTGCCCCCATGGCTCCTTCCACTTGAAGGCTCAGGGTCCATACAGCACAAGCAGAGTTAGGCCTCCTGCACTAAACATCCTCCAGCCAAGACTTGCTGTCCACAGCCAGCTCACTCACTAAGGCTGCCGTATTAATGCAGTAGTTTCTCAGGTCCTGGGCCTCAGACATGATCATGACATGTACTTGTAGGACAGCAGCACTCATGTACAGAATGCCAGTGGTCCCGTGGTACAGGCTGTCATGGAAATGCAGAGCAGAGCCACATATGGCCATGTCACTCAGGTGAGCACTTTCCTTTTTGGCTACATAGCTGTAAAGAATGAGCAAATGAGGCAGGCCAGCCCCACAAACTCCTGCTTTTTTTGTTTGCTGTGTGATTTGGTTTGGCTCTGTGTCCCCACCCAAATCTCACCTCGAATTGTAATCCCCACGTGTTGAGGGAGGGACCTGGTGGGAGATGATTGGATCATGGGGGCGGTTTCCCCATGCTGTTCTCGTGATAGTGAGGGAGTTCTCATAGGATCTGATGGTTTAAAAGTGTGATACTTCCCCATTCTCTTCTGCTGCCATATAAGGATGCCTTGTTTCTCCTTCACCTTCCACCATGATTGTAAGTCTCATGAGACCTCCCCAGCCATGCAGAACTGTGAGCCAATTAAACCTCTTTTCTTTATAAATTACCCAGTCCCAAATACTTCTTTATAGCAGTGTGAGAACAGACTAATACAGAAAATTGGTGCTTAAAGTCAGGCACTGCTATAAAGATACCTGAAATTGTGGAAGTGACTTTGGAACTGGGTAATGGACAGTTTGGAACAGTTCGGAGTACTCAGAAGAAGACAGGATTCTGTGGGGAAGTTTGGAACTACCTAGAGACTTGTTGAATGATTTTGACCAAAATGCTGATAGTGATATGGACAGTGAAATCCAGGCTGAGGTGGTCTCAGATGGAGATGAGGAAATTATTGGGAACTGGAATAAAGGTCACTCTTGCTATGCTTTAGCAAAGAGACTGGTGGCATTTTACCCCTGCTCTAGAGATCTGTGGCACTTTGAACTTAAGAGAGATGATTTGGGGTATCTGGCAGAAGAAATTTCTAAGCAGTGAAACATTCAAGATGTGACCTGACTTTTCCTGAAAGTGTATAATCATATGCATTCACAAAGAGATGGTCCAAAACTGGAACTTATGTTCAGAAGGGAAACAGAACATAAAAATTTGGAAAATATGCAGCCTGACCATGTGGTAGAAAAGAAAAACACATGTTCTGAGGAGACATTCAAGCTGTCAGCTGCAGAAATTTGCATAAGTAATGAGAGGCCCCAAGACAAATGGGGAAGATGTCTCTAGGGCATTTCAGAGATCTTCACAGCAGCCCCTCCCATCACAGGCTCAGAGACCTAGGAGAGAAAAATGGTTTTGTGGACCAGGCTCAGGGCCCTGTTGCTCTGTGCAGTCCTGGAACACAGCACCCTTATCCCAGCTGCTCCAGCTCCAGCAGTGGAGGCCAAGGTACAGCTTGGGCCATTGCTTCAGAGGGTGTAAGCCCCAAGCCTTGGCAGCTTACACATGGTGTTGGGCCTAAAGGCAGGCAAAAGGAAAGAATTGAGGTTTAG
The DNA here is from genome assembly GCF_000001405.40 of Homo sapiens. NCBI lineage: Eukaryota > Metazoa > Chordata > Mammalia > Primates > Hominidae > Homo > Homo sapiens. Next base: position 88,815,808 of record NC_000002.12, read on the forward strand.
GAACCTCTGACAAGATTTCAGAGGATGTATGGAAATGCCTGGATGTCCAGGCAGAAGTCTGCTGCAGGGGTGGAGCCCTTACGAAGAACCTCTACTCGGGAAGTGTGGAAGGAAAATGTGGGGTCAGAGCCCCTACACAGAGTCCCCACTGCAGCACTACCTAGTAGAGCTGTGAGGAGAGGGCCACCATCCTTCAGACCCCAGAATGGTAGGTCTACTGGCAGCTTGCACCAGGCACCTGGAAAAGCCACAGGCACTACATGCTGGTTTATAAAAGCAGCTGCAGGGGCTGTACTCTGCAGAGCCACAGGGGTGGAGCTGCCCAAAGCCTTGGGTGCCTACCCTTTGCAACAATATGACTTGAATGTGAGACATGAAGTCAAAGGAGATTTTGGAGTGTTGATATTTAATGGCTGCCCTGGGTTTTGGACTTTTCTGGGGACTGTAGCCCCTTTGTTTTGACCAATTTCTTCCATTTGGAATGGGAGCATTTACCCAATGCCTGTACCCTCATTGTGTCTTGGAAGTAACTAACTTGCTTTTGATTTTACAGGCTCACGGCAGAAGAGACTTCCCTTGTCTTAGATGAGACTTCAGACTTGGACTTTTGGGTTAATGCTAGAATAAGTTAAACTTTGGGAGACTGTTGGGAAGGCATGATTGAGTTTTTAAATGTGAGAAGGCCATGAGATTTGGGAGGGGCTGGGGGTGTAATGATATGGTTTGGCTCTTTTTCCCCACCCAAATCTCTTCTCTAATTGTAATCCACATGTATCAAGGGAGGGACCTGGTGGGAGGTGATTGAATCATGAGGCAGTTTCCCCTATACTGTTCTCATGATAGTGAATGAGTTCTTATGGGATCTGATTGTTTAAAAATATAGCACTTTCACCTCCCACCTCTCTCCTGTTGCCATGTAAGGCGTGCCTTGCTTTCCCTTCACCTTCCACCATGATTGTAAGTTTCCTGAGGCCTCCCTAACCATGAGGAACTATGAGTCAATTAAACCTCTTTTCTTTATAATTTACCCAGTCTCAGCTCGTTCTTTATAGCAGTGTGAGATTAGACTAATACACCGTGTTTTAAACGTAATGTCTATGTCATAAAAAATGGCAGATTAATAAAGATCAGTATGTTTCAGTTATCCAAAGTCAATCTTGGTCTGACATATTAAATGAAAAATTCCAGAAATTAACAATTAAATGTTTGCCTTTCTGAGTATCATGATGAAATCTTGCACTGTTCCACCCTGTGCCACCTGGGACATCATCCCAGTGAATCATCCTTTTGTTCAGCACATCTACACTGTCTGTGCCACCCATGTTAGTCACTTTGTACCCGTCTGGGCTATCAGATTGACTGTTGTGGTACTGCAGTGCTTACATTCAAAGAATCCTCATTTTACTTCGTAATGGCCCCAAATTGCAAGAGTAGTGATGCTGGCAATTTGGATATGCCAAAGAGAAGTCATAGAGTGCTTTCTTTAAGTGAAAAGGTGAAAGTTTTCAATATAATAAGGAAAGAAAAAAATATGCTGAGGTTGTTAAGATATACAGTAAGAATGAATTGTCTATCTGTGAAATTGTGAGGAAGAAAAAAGAAGTGCATGCACAGCATAATCAGGGTTCAGTACTATCTGAGGATTCAGGCATCCCCTGGGGGGTCTTGGGACTTATCGTCCTGAAATAGGGTGAACCACTGTATACTATCTTAGGTATGCTGAGGAATTGTTAACTTTGTATACATGTGATAATGTGAGAAAGTTTGCGGGGTTTTCTGGAAACATACTGAAGTGTGTGGAATAGAATGACATGATTTCTGGAGTTTGCCTTAAAATTCCTTAGTGGGGACAAAGGCTAGATGAAACAAATGTGGTAAGATCTTGATAATGCTGGAATCTTGGTTATGGCTACATGAGGGCTTATAATACAATATTTTGTACTTTTAAATATGTCTTTAATTGTTCAATATGGAACACTTCTAAATGATTTTTTGAGATGATGCAACAACATAAAAATTAATGATATAATATTAAATGAAAGCATCCACATCCAAAATTATTTGTAGCATATTATATATATATATTTTTTGCATAAAATTTATGTGGGATATGGAAGAAATAACCTGTCACAGGGATTGTGATAGGGCCTTGAGAATGGAGTGATTTTTTTCCTACTAGCTTTTTCTTCAGTGTTGCTCCAAGGATTTTACCAGGAAGAAAATTTAGGGGAAACACATCAGAATATGCTTGATCACAGGGCATTGTGTATTCTCCTAACACAGAAGGCAGTGAAGGGGAATACAAGGAATGATTTACTCTTGCAGAGAAATGTCTTCATTTTGGCCTGGTAGTAAGTCTTGGTTCCATAGGAGCCTAGCCCAGGATCCCTCCCTGCCCAGAAAGACCAATTGTCCTCACCCAACCCAGGACATCCACCCAGGAGGAGTTATGCTGCTGGTTCTTACCAGAACTCTCCAGGATTCAAATCCAAACAAGGAAGACAACAGGAACACCAGGGAGATGAGAAACAAGGTGAGTGAGACATACATCACCCATCCTTGCAGCAATGGGTTTGCTACCTGGGTGGTGGCTACCAGGATCCAGACCCAGAACCCAAATATCTGGAAGATAAAAGCATAAAAGAAGGAGCTTCATTAGCCAGTATAGAGCATGTTTCCCTTTGCAGGGCATCTCTTTTCTGTCTCTAGTTAAAAGCTCAGGTGAAGTTAGGAGGGAACCAAGGGGGAAATGGAGCAGGAAGCCTGGCCCCTCTGAGTCATGGTAAAGTCACATCCGATTGTTAGGAAATTCAAGGGGTTGAAAAGCATGGGCAAGGACTTCATGTCTAAAACACCAAAAGCATCAGCAACAAAAGCCAAAATTGAGAAATGGGATCTAATTAAACTAAAGAGCTTCTGCACAGCAAAAGAAACAACCATCAGAGTGAACAGGCAACCTACAGAATGGGAGAAAATTTTTGCAATCTACCCATCTGACAAAGGGCTAATATCCAGAATCTACAAAGAACTTAAACAAATTTACAAGAAAAAAATCAAACAACCCCATCAAAAAGTGGGTGAAGGATATGAACAGACACTTCTCAAAAGATGACATTTATGCAGCCAACAGACACATGAAAAAATGCTCATCATCACTGGCCATCAGAGAAATGCAAATCAAAACCATAATGAGATACCATCTCACACCAGTTAGAATGGTGATCATTAAAAAGTCAGGAAACAACAGGTGCTGGAGAGGATGTGGAGAAATAGGAACACTTTTACACTGTTGGTGGGACTGTAAACTAGTTCAACCATTGTGAAAGACAGTGTGGCGATTCCTCAAGGATTGAGAACTAGAAATACCATTTGACCCAGCCATCCCGTTACTGGGGATATACCCAAAGGATTATAAATCATGCTGCTATAAAGACACATGCACACGTATGTTTATTGTTGCACTATTCACAATAGCAAAGACTTGGAACCAACCCAAATGTCCAACAATGATAGACTGGATTAAGAAAATGTGGCACATATACACCGTGGAATACTATGCAGCCATAAAAAATGATGAGTTCACGTCCTTTGTAGGGACATGGATGAAACTGGAAACCATCATTCTGAGCAAACTATTGCAAGGACAGAAAACCAAACACTGCATGTTCTGACTCATAGATGGGAATTGAACAATGAGAACACTTGGACACAGTGTGGGGAACACCACACACCAGGGCCTGTTGTGGGGTAGGGGGAGGGGGGAGGGATAGCATTAGGAGATATACCTAATGTAAATGAGGAGTTAATGGGTGCAGCACACCAACATGGCACATGTATACACATGAAACAAACCTGCACTTTGTGCACATGTATCCTAGAACTTAAAGTATAATAAAAAAATAAAATAAAATAAATAAAAAATAAAAAAAGAAATTCAAGGGTTTAATGCAGAAATCGTGAACAGAGGGACTCTCGACCAACTCTGGCCTGTGAATATGTCTTGTTGGCTCAAGCAGTATTGGCATATACACTTTTAAACAATTCTGAATAAGTTGCCAACATTTAAAACAGGATATTTCACATGGAAAATCCATATTTGGGTCATTTCTTTAGAAATCCATGGGTCCTGGCCACAGTGTACCCATTTCTCAGGTCAGAGTAGGCTGGAATGAGTTGTGACTGTCTCTTTAAAAAGTACCTGGAGTCCTCAGTGGGCCATCTCCCCTCACCCCATTAACCTCACAGCGTGCTGTGGCACATTCCCTGTTGCTCACTGACACTGTGGAATTGTTTACTAATGAGATAGAGCTTATTTTTATATATTTGTTAGCCATTAATATTTCCTCCTCTGTAAAGTCTTTTTTTAATCAGTTAAATATTTTAAAATAGATTTTTCTTTTTCTTATTGATTCATAGGAATTCTTGCTAATAGTGCAAATTTCATGGGCTGTCATAAACATTGCAAATATATTCTGCTAGCACTCACATACTTTATGGCTTCCTTTGATTAATTAAGCCTGTAATTTTAATGCAGTTGAATATGTCAATCGTTTATTGACTATGTTTTTTATAAAGTTTAAGAAATTCTTCTCTATTTTGGGAGTCATGAAGATATTCTTGCATTCCAGATTTTCCTCCTGACATAATTTACTTTCTTCCTGAAGTGCACCCTTTAGTAGTCTCTTTAGTGAAGGTCAGTGGCTAGTAGTCAGTTTGATTTACTAGAAAATGTCCTTAAATTTCCCCTGACAATTATTTTCTCTCCACACTTCCAAGATATATTTCCACTGTGTTGTATATTTTTTCATATGATTCTGTTGTATTCTTGCTTCCATTGTTGCCGTTGAAAGGTCAGCTGTCAGTTGAACTCTTATTTTGTAGGAATCTGTCTTCCTTACTTGGCTATATTTAGTCTTCACTCTGTCTTTGGCATTCTGCAGTTTGTGAAACAGTGATACCATGTGTTGAGATGTGGATTTTTTTTTATTACTCCTGCTTGGTATTCATTCTATATTCAATATCTGAAAATTCCATTCACTTGACCTCAATAGCTTGATTCTGCAATTTGTCACTTCCATTAACTTCCATTCTTGTTCACTTGTTTCCTCTTATGTTTAGTGAATTTTGATTGGAAGCTCATGTCTGTGGGGGTAACTCAGTTCTGAATGATGTATTAGAAACTTTCTATACCAAACAACTTCACTCACTTTTTTTTTTTTCTTGAGAGAGTCTCTCTCTGTCACTCAGGCTGGAGTGCAGAGAGAGGTTCAATCATGGCTCACTGCAGACTCCAACTCCTGAGATCAAATGATCCTCCCACCTCAGCCTCCTAAGTAGTTAGGACTACAGGCACACACTACCACACCTGGCCAATTTTTGTTTTATTTTTTGTAGAGACCAGGTCTTGCTGTGTTGCCCAGGCTAGTGTTAAATTCCCAGCCTCAAGAAATGTTCCTGCCTTGGCCTCCCAAAGTGCTGAGATTACAGGCATTAGCCACTGCGCCCTGCCTTCACGCCCTTCTGTATAGCTCAGCCAAAAGATATACAACTTCAGTTCTGCTTTCCAAAATATATCCCTAGCTTTCTGGAACCAGCAGTTCTTATCTTACAACTGGCCAATACATAGACATAGATATGTCACCCTTTCCCTTCTGAGGCTTCCACTTGCTGTTGTCTGGCTGTTGTCTTTGAATTTATGGAGTATTCATGGTCTCTTAAGGAGAAAAAAGAAAAGGGAGATGAGAAGCCAGAAGAGAACAGGAAGTTGACCACAAGGCAGAGACTCCTCAGCAAGGAGCACAATCACAGCTTTACAGGGCCAGAAAACAACTCCAGCAGCGTGGCTGCCTCTTAAAGCGCCAGTTCTGGAAGCAAATTCCCCCTTAACAATCAATATCTAAGTGAATTTTGGAAGTCCTAGGCTGGTCTGAGACTGCCGGAGAATGAGTCAAGGCCGGCTTGTCCTAGGGAGGGGGTGGTGAGGGATGGAAGCCGCTGTCCTCTGGCTCCCCGTCAACTGTGCATGTCAATCCCAGTGACAAGGGCTGCTGATGCTTCAGAAAGGTACCAGGCCTCAGCTTTAAGGCGCTTGCCAAGAAGCCATGAGAAGTGCATTAAGATGCTGGCACATGAACAGCACCCAAACAATGCTGGTTATTAGTGGTTCACCAGGTGCTTTACAGTTTATAAAATACATTCACTCAGACTGCCTGGTTTAGTCCACACAACAATTCTAACTCCCTTGGAAAGACCAGAGAACTGCCATTTGATACCTTCCACTGCTTACTGCAAGCTCACCTGCGCCAGGCATGGGGACAGCAAGGGAACCTCAGCCCCATCTTGCCAGTCAGTGCCTGCAGAGGGGTCCCGGTGCCCCTCTTGCCATCAGAAGCTTCCCTGGCCAGACACAGCCATATGCATGTTACTTACATTTGCACATTTAATCTTTGCCACAGTCCATGAGATAGTCTGTACCAGAGGGAACTGGGGCCTGAGGTCACACAGGCAGTGCGTGGTGGGACTCAGGCATGGTGTAGGACACTTGTGGTTCTTGCCCCGAAACCAGATTTCAAGGCCAAGGGCAAGGCCAGATAGAGGCTCCTAGAATGTGCCAGAGGGTGGCCTGCTACAGCCTCAGCCAAGGTCTGCCTGGGGCATTAGGGGCCTTGATGGGGATATCACGCCTGCAGTCTCAGGGAGCCCATCAGCGGCCTCCTCTCTCTGGATTCCAGCTATGGCTTAGGGATCCCTGTCCTACCTTTCACAACAGGCCAGGGGCCTCTGAGTATTTGGGAATCTGCTCAAACATTGTGGGAACCTTCCTGCAATGGCTTCAGTGTTGCAGAATCAATGTTCTGCCAAAGAAAGTCACTCACTTCTTATTTCTACACCCCTCTACCTCCTAAACAGTAGGAGGGACCAGAGCCAAGGGCTGCAGGTGGCTTTACACCCAGTAGACTTAGTGATCTCATTTCTGTCTCCAGTAGTCTAGGTTGGATTTCTTATAGTTGTGAAAACTTTGAGTATTTGTTTTTACTTTTTCTTAAAGCTCGTATGGTGGCCTAAACTGCTTTCCCATTTTAATGCTTATTTTTGTATCTCATCAGAGCTGGAGATATTTTTCAATGGTTGAGGCTGGCCCTCAAAGTGGAGAAATATTTGATTACAGTGAGCCATTTACAGCAAGTAGATTTCAAGCACAACACTGGCAAAATCCTTTTCTATAAGAAACACTGTCTTATATAGATTTTCCAAAAGGCTGAACTGAAACTGGAAAGGATGTCTTAAGGAAAGATGGATATTAACAATAGGTTTTTAAAACCTATTCTTCTCTAGAACATGGAGAAGAGCTCCTTCATGTTTAGAAAGTTGGTTAAGAACTAGAATATAAGAACTGGGGTAACAACACCCAGATTCAGCTTCCAATCTGGAATCTGGAAGTCCAGGAAGAAAGGGCTGGTGCCAGGTTTGGAGAGGGAGGTTGAACCTGGATGTTACCACACCAGATAGAGAGAAAACTTCCAAAGGCTCCTCAGGTCCAGTCAAAAGGACTCGGCAGGCTCCTGTTGGCCAAAGATGGGACCGCTTGGGCTTCTTATAGCTACAATGGATTGGAATGCACCAACTAAGGTGAAATCCACGAGTTCAAAATGATACTTAAAACAAAAACTTCTTTGGTCACTTTTGGAGGATGCTTATTATTTTGAAACTGCTTTAAAAGAAAAAGAAGCCGGCAAAAAATGTGTTGTGGGGGCAAAGAGCTTCTGAAATACGCACATACCTGAGCACTACCCTCTGGGCAGCACTCCAAGTCCTGCTACTCCTAGAACCCTTTGGGGACTTCAAGAAAGCCCCAGGGTCTGGGTCCTGCCCCAGAGAGTCTGCTTGAACAGGTAAGGGAGGCTGCATTGTTGAGAGTTCCCCAGGCAGGGTGGCCAGGGCTGAGAAAGCCTGAGGCCAGCTCTCTGCTTCTACTCTCACCTCCAGTCCATGCACCATGCAGCGCCATTCCTCCTGGGTTTGAATCCCAGCTCTGCCTGGTGGGTAGGTCATTTAGCTTGTCTGTGCCTCTGTGTGCCTGTCTATCAAATAGAAGAGGTGGGGGTCTCACTGGCCCCTCTATCATCTGGCCCTTGTGAGGGTTTGATGAGTCTGTCTGGCACATGGTGAATGTTGGCTGTAGTAGCCATAACCATTTGGAATGGCACAGAGGGCAGGAAGAGACGTTCCATGAGAAAGATACAGGGGAGGGAATGTCTAAGAGAGGCCTCTCTAAAGGATGGGAAATTCACTTTTGGAAAGGAGAGATGGGAGATCAATCAGCTGGGTGGGCGAGATAACATTTAGAGGGCACAGACCCTTCTTATGAGTTGATGATGGCTTTGGTTACCAAGAAAAATGTACCTATACACACACACAACTTTTGCCTACAAATCTAAGGACTCACAGACCCCCCAATGTCCGTCTGCAACCCCAACAGTTGAAGTCCATTGCCACCTCCAGGTTAAATAACTGTCATCAACGACTCTATTATTTTGACAATATTGATCAAAACATTAAATGCCCATACTCTTCAACTAAATAATTTCACTTGATGGAATTTGTCCTACAAATGATGCATGTGAGGAAAATAACAACTATAAAAGTTGTTTATTGCAGCCTGTTGATTACAGAAAAGCTAGGAAATGATCTCTTCATCCACAGGGGACCAGTTAAATCAATTGTATCTACAGAGTGAAACACTCTGCAATCTTCAAAAAAAAAAAAAAAAAAAAAAGAGAAAATTCTATATCCCAAAATGGAACAAGAACAATCTCCAATAATTTGTAAAGGCACAGACCAGTGTACTCAGTGTGCTATGATTTGTGCAGAAAAATAAGAAAATGCATGTGTGAGTGTCTGTGTATATGTGCATTTGTTGAAGGTGAACAGAATATTTCCAGAATGAGACCCTATCAGCCAGTCAGTGCCTTGGTCTCGGGGAAGCAGAACCTCTTGTCTTGGAGACAGTTTTGAATGTAGGACCATATTCATGTTTACATTAATCCAAAACAAATAACAGGTACATTTAAAAAGAAAAGAAAGCCACGTGGGCATTGGAGGCTCACAGAGAATTCTGAATGGGAAGAGATAAGGAGGATGGCCTTTGGGGAGAGTGGATCTGCTCACCTGAACAGAGCATCTGGAAGCCCCTCATGGGTGGGAGAGGGGCTGCTGCAGGGGCCGGGATCACACGCTGAGGTTCTGAGACAGTTGCTGCCTGAGTAATGACGCCCTGGGAACCGTGAAGGATATGTCAAAAAGATGCATGGTCTCAGGTCTGTGTGGCCAGGGCTCCAGGCCATGGCTGGGAGGTGTGGGTTTGGGGTGGGGCAGACAAGTTGCTGAGAAGCAAAGAGGTGTGCCAGGGGTGGGTACCCGGTGGCAGGTTTTTCTGCATAGCTGGGCATTGCTTCAGCATGGCAGGTTTCATGTACTGCCAACCCCAAATTCCTTTTCTTACTGCTCGTCTTAATTTTCATGACAGCTTTGCCTCTCCTTCTCTTCCCTGGCGCTTAGGTGACCACAGGCTTCATAAAGCCTAAAAAACTTCAGACTGAGAGGAAAAGACCCCAGTCAAGATGGGTGCGGCTGTTGTCATCAGCACACAGGTGAGCCGGGGTCTCCTGGTCCCACCACGGGCCAGGCAGTAATGGGCTCTGTAAAGGACACACAAGGGCGTTGCCCACGGCGGGAACCTGGATGTCCCAAAGGCTCCCTCTGCCATTGTGATGTTTCAGGATGAAGGAAACGATTGTCCTTCTCATTCAGATGTGCAGAGTGCACGTTGTTTAAGTCCAGGCTCTCTTGTCTACTATATACCTCTCTCTCTTTTTAAAAATTGTGGTTAAACATATATAACAAAATCAACCATCTTAACCATTTTTCAGTATACAGTTGAGTGGCATTCGTGTTCATTCACACTGTTGTGCACCCGTCACCACCATCCATCTCCAGAGTGCTTTCCATCTTGCAGATCTGAAACTCTGCACCCATTAAACAACAACTCCCCACTCTTCCCTCCCCGCAGTCCCTGGCAACCACCATTCTACTTTCTGTCTACACTGGGTACCTGATATGAATGGAATCATGCCGTATTTGTCCTTTTGTGACTGCCTTTTCTCGCTTAGCATAATGTCCTCAAAGTTCATCTGTGTTGTAGCATGTGTCAGAATTTCCTTCTTTTTCAAGTGCTGAATAATATTCCATTGCATATGTGTGTCACAGTTGGTTTATCCACTCATCTGCTTATACACACTAGCGTTGCTTCCACCTTTTGGCTATTGTGAATAATGCTGCTATGAACACGGGTGTCCAATTAGCTCTTGGATGCACACTCCCGAAAAAGAAAAAACAGCTGGGTGCAGTGGCTCACACCTGTAATCCCAGAACTCTGGGAGGCCAAGGTGGGGATCACTTGAGCCCAAGGGTTCAAAAGCAGCCTGGGCAACATGGCAAAACCCTGTCTCTAAAAAAATACAAACATTACCCAGACATGGTGGCACATGCCTGTAGTCCCCACTACTCGGGAGGCTGAGATGGGAGGACCACTTGAGCCCGGGAGGCAGACAGCCTTGATTTTGCCACTGCACTTCAGCATGGGTGACAGAGAGAGACCCTGTCTCAAAAAAAAGGGAAAAAACAAGACAAGGTTTCTCCTGGGGCTGTGCTTCAGACCCCATTAGGCAGTTGCTCTGCAAAATGCCTCATGAGTCACAGCTCTGTCAAACAGATGTGCACATGTTCCTACCACTGTAGCATCCCTTGGGGGTTTGGTTCTGTTCACCCAAAATGAGTGGGAGTTTGGTTCTGAACACGCAGCACTAAGGGGACCTCAAAAAGGACACCTTATAGTACGAGAACTCAAAAAGGAAGGCAGAGTGTCACCTTGCTTGACCTCAGCTGGGAATGTGTGTTCATGTCTGGCAACTCAAGTTTTTCGCTGCTCTGAGCATGTCAATGGCTGTGAAAGTGCCAAGTGTATTAATTTGGGGGTTACAAATACATCTTAGCAAGTAGGTGAACTTGCAAATACAGAATCCAGGAGTTATGAGGGTCCACTGTATTTTCAGTGTCGAAATTATCTTCCATCAAGTTGATAAAACCTCATTTACTCAATTAGGCCCTAGTCAGGGTATGTGAAGTGTTCTAGCTTTTTCCTATTACAAATGATGCTGCAGTGAATACCTTGCTGCAAAGAGAGTTCTCTCATTATAAACTGTTTCTGTGGCGTGAGTTCCCCAACTGGGCTCTCACCAGTAAGGGGATGTCGCTGCCCATGCCATTAGGCTCACCACATTCCCTACTAGGGACACATATTTGGCTTTGTCCTGGTCAACGAGACAGAGGGAAAGTCTACCTGGTGCCTAAGAAGGGGGTACAGGGCACAATGGTCCCTTTCTTGCTCTGGCCATTACTGTGCAGTGGTGAACCTGGAGCTGTGAAATGGAGGAGGAGAAAGAGGAAAGGAGCCTGCATCCCAGATGACACGACCGAGCTGCTGACCCAGATCGCAGGACACGAGATAGTGCATTTCCCTTCTGTTAAGGTCAGTCCCAGCCAGCGACAGCCCCTCCACAGCACTGCTGAGGAGCCCCTGGTCACCCATACCCCTCACCCTCTCTTCAGACACTCCACTGCCCCCCACGACTCCCAGGCCAAACTCAGGACACCCACCCTCTGCCATTATGCCGGGCTCCCCAAGCCTCCACCACTTCCCCCAGTCCTGGGACTGGCAAACTATGAGTGAGACTCATTCACAGATTGTGACTTCATTTAGTGGATTATCAACCAGCATTAAGAACTGAAGCCAACTGGGCATAATGGCTCACACTTGTAATCCCAGCACTTTGGGAAGCTGAGGTAGGAGGATTGCTTGAGGCTAGGCATTTGAGGCCAGCCTAGGCAACAAAATGAGATCCTGTCCCTAGAAAACATTTCAAAAAATTAACAGCATGGTGACGCACACTTGTAGCCCTAGCTACTTGGGAGGCTGAGTGGGAGGATCCTTTGAGCCCAGGAGTTCGAGGCAGCAGTGAACTATACTTGTCAGCCTGGGTGACAGGGCAAGACTCTTTGTCTCTAAAAACAAAACAAAACAAAAAGAACTTAAGCAGACTAGGATATAAAGTATAGGAGCGTATTGTGTACAGGAACGGGAAATACTGTTTCCTGGATCTTTTGTTTCACTTACGCACACACCCACACCCGCCAGTAGTGTACCAGGTTGCGATGGAAATCTCTCTCTTTCTGTGGATGAGTTTGTGGAAGCCCTTGCTCCAGCATGCCCTCCTTCCTGCCCACCCCTGGACCATTCCTTCCCTTCACAGCACTGTCCCATGGGTAGGCCACAGCCCAGCACAGGCCCCAGCCTGGCGGCTGCAGCAGGAGCCCCATCCCAGGGCCTGAGGGGCCATGCGGGGGTCTGGGTGGGAGTGGGAACCGCTGAGGAAGGTGAAGGGAAATATGGTGAGATGACAGGCCCGCTGTCAGGGAGAGTGGGAGGAGCCCTGGAGTGCCCTACCTCTGTGGGGCTGGAACTCCCTGTATCCGAGCTAGGGTCTTCCACACGCATGCTACTACCCCAAGTGCCACAGCTGGAGGTCAGGGACCCAGCCAGGCTGTGCTGGGTGCTCCTGGGCAGGGCTCACCTGACTGCAAGTCTCCCTGTGGGTGGCTCAGAGACCCAGAGCCCACCTGGGTGCTGCTTACAGCCCATAAGGCAGCTCCCACCCGCGTGTCACTGGCCCTGCAGCCTCATGAAGCCTTGTGAGCAGCCATCCTTATCTCCTTTGTGCTTTGAATACAGGAGGATGCTGGCTCTAAAAGGCAGAGGGGCATCCTCAGTTACCCAGCAGGGGCATGGCAGGCCTGTCTCCAGTACCCCAAGAGGACCCTGAAAACAAGTAGCATTGCATGAAAGTTCCACACTCTGCAGTTCAACCTAGCACACTTACAAACCCTGAGTCACTGCATCCTGGCTCATGGAGGGAGAATTTCCTTTTTCTGTGGCTTTAAGGCTAGCAGGAAATTGCCAGCCCAGGCCCCTAAGGCCTCCAGTGAGGGCCGGGTCTCATCTCCCACTGGATAACAGTGTTGTCGGGAACTTCCATCCAGCACTGGCGGACACTCCCGTCGCAGCTGCTCCTGACTGAGCAAGTCATTTAAGGGGGTCCTTGGCACTCATAAGCACTCACAGAATGGGGCTGGCAGTGCGCCCGGCCTCCCTGGGATGGGTCCAGAATGGTAGGAAGCGCAGTCCGGGAGGGACCCTGAGTTAGGGCCAGGCATCCCCATTCCTGCTTCCTCCTCCCCGAGGACCACGTCTGCCCATTCCTCTTTTATTTTCTTTTGGTATATATATATATATATGTATATATAATTTTTCACACCATTATAATTCCTCTTTTTAAAAAAATATATATGTATGTATAACTTTCTTAGTAATTTCTGTAGTTACCGAATCTGGAAGGAAAACTAAGAGGCCACCAGGCAGGCCGTGTGATGGAAGGAGTGAGGGGAGAAGGAGCATCCATGCAGAGGGAACAGCATGTGCAAAGATGAGGGTCAGTGAGGACGTGGTTTGTACAGGTAAATTCGAGGAGCTTTGAGGGCTGACAGGTAATGCTGGCTCTGGGGAGGTGTTGGGAGAAGAGAAGGGAAGGGAGGAGCCGTGTAATGAAAAGCTGTGCTCACCATCACTAAGGACTCTGGACTTAACCTGACAGTGGGGGTTTTAGGCAGTGGAGTGGCATGATCAAAGCCATTGCTGGATGCAGGGAGGAGGCTGGGATGAATGAGGCAGAGTTTGGGCTGGGGCATCCGTTATGAGTCTATAGAAATGGTTCAGGGAGGGGTCTCAGCTTATTGTAAGGCTTTCTTTAAAGTTGATGGAATGTTTTCTTCCCAGTTTCAAGGCACAGCAACTGTCGGTTGTGAGAGATGCTTCTGCTACCACTTCTATTGCTCACGGCAAGGCAAAATGTCAGTCTAGATTCAAGGAGGTGGAGAAATAGATTCCACTTCCTGATGAGAGAAGAATGAATGCAGAGTTTGCAACTCGTCTGTTAAAGGGAATGACAAAGATGCAAGAAGAGTTAAACTAAAGTTCATTCAGCTGGCAGTATCCAATCCAGTGGTGGGTGGCAGCAGTGCCAGGAATAGCATTCAGGCAGCAGCATTAATAGTGACATTTTTTGTTTTTCAGAATGTTTTAGGGTAGAACCTTGGCCATATTTCCAGCTTACCAGTTTCCCTTGTTTTCACCTATTTTCTGAGCCTGATTTTTCAGACTTCCCATTCACTTTGGAGTTGCATGATATCCTTTTAATAAATGCCCTTTCTGCTTAATTTAGCCAGAGGCTGCTTCTGTTGTTTGCCTCTAAGGGTGCTGACTGATTCTTTGGTCAATAAGATAATCACCAAGGACTGTACAGTAAAATAAACAAGATAATTTACTAAAGAGGAAATGCAGGTGGGTAATAACTCCTGAGAAATGTCTCACCTCACTTACGATAAAAACAAAACACATCTGAATTAAAACAGTAACAACCAGATGCTTTTTTGTTTTTGCCTTTACAATTTGCAAATTCATCTAATCACAGCTGCAGAGGGTATGGTGAGACAAGCTTTCTTCTACTGCTAGTGGGAGAGTAAACTGACCTAACCTTTTTTCCTGTAGATTTCTTGGCTATATGTACTAAGATCTTAAAATGAGTTATCCTTTGTCACTTCCAGGAATTTAGTCTAAGCAAATACTTAGAAGTATGGAAAGAAATTTATGCACGAAGGTGTTCATATTTTAGTAAAAATTGGAAACTTGAATGAAATGAGGCAATTAAGATGTGATATAATAAGATAATAAGCAGAAGCAACCCTTTCTTAGAAAGGTTTGTAAAGAACTGAGGATTGGCCAGGCATGGTGGCTCGCACCTGTAATCCCAGCACTTTGGGAGGCCAAGGCAGGCAGATCACAAGGTCAGGAGTTCAAGACCAGCTTGACCAACATGGTGAAACCCTGTCTCTACTAAAAATACAAAAAGTAGCCAGGTGCGGTGGCAGGTGCCTGTAATCCCAGCTACCGGGAGGCTGAGGCAGGAGAATTACTTGAACCCGGGAGGTGGAGGTTGCAGTGAGCCGAGATCATGCCACTGCACTCCAGCCTGGGTGACAGAGCAAGACTCCATCTCAGAAGAAAAAAAAAAAAGAAAGAGCTGACAATTATAGGAAAACCTTAATGGAATAATATTGAGTGGTACATTGTTAAATAATAAATTAACCAAAAATTATACATGTGACATTTGTCGTTCATGATCCAGTGGGGAAAATAAACTACCCTGGACATTTTAAACAAAGGGAATTTATTGTGGGAAATGCTTCACAGGTGATGAACAGCAGAGACCCAATCATCATGGAAGCAGCCCAGAGATGAGTCACAGCAGGAAGCCACTCCACCATCAGGGCTGCAGAAAGTGGCATTGGGAGAGGGCAGAGGATGGGCACTTGGTGGCAGCTAGAATCATGGAGGAGATGCAGCTACTGATGCAAAACTGCTTCCTGAAGGAGAGAGATGGTCAAGTACCCTGCCTTATCCCTTCTTTTCACTACCCTGTCTCTTGCTGGTGTCTCCCACCGGCCATATCCAGCTGGAAGCCAATTGCCAATGGAACCATGGACAGGAAATGGATCTGAGTAGATGGACAATGACCACCACACAGCATGATCTCGACTAGATAAACATGATGCATGTTAAATGGTATTACTTCTGCTGACAGGGCGATATATGGCTTTTAGTTTCCTATGTTTTTCTGTATTTTCTAAAGAAACTGAACAATATTATTAAAATTAAATAAGTGGAAAGTGTGTTTGTGGCAGATACAATAACGTTTTTAAAAAGATAATGTGTACGTAGGGAAAGATGGGATGTTGTTAAACAACAGACTTTTATATGCTGTGTCTCCCCGTGCTCCCTCCAGCTTTAGTCAGTGGCCCTAAAAGGGCTAGTGTCCTGGCTGCATGGGGCCAGCAGGGGGCGATCCAGTCTAGCACAAGGCCTTCCTTGACCGGCGGACTGTGGCTGGGATTTCCTTGCATTTCAGAGCAGGACCCTAGGGCAGGTGTCATCCTGTCAGCTAGCTCCTGCCCCCAAGAGGTTTGTCTCTGTCAGCCTCTAACTCAGAGCTGACCCTTCCTCCCATTTCAGGCAGGCTCTTACCAGGACTCATGAGAAAGCCAAGCCAAGCACCACTGGCACTCGAGGGTCCTTCCTTGTCCCTTTGGGTGATTGGCACGGTTGTCCACTGAGCCCAGAGCCTCACTGTGCTCATTAGGTGTAGCCTAAGGGCACTTGCATGGAGGTGCCAGTGGTCACTGCTTAGAGCTCTCAGCCCTAGATGGCGTATCACAGTTAATGCTCTATAAAACCCATCATGGCTTTTCCCTAGTAAGCCTCAAATCGCTGCAAGCAAGGCTTCATATATGAGAGTTTCTGCTGTCTCCTGGAGCCATCTCACCCAAAGCCACTGACTCTGGGAGACCAGCCCAGGCCACAAACCAGCAAAGCACCAGTTATAGTTAGAGCTGCATTATAAAGTGGCCAGAGGACATTTCTTTGCAGTGAGATGTGTATCGTGAACGTTTGGGGCCTGTGCTCGCCTAGTCCTCATCTTTGCTTTTCTAGGTACACAAAGCCATCCCATGGCTGCAAATGTTAGCTGGGCTGGGCTCCCTACTTGCCTCAAGCCCCTTCATAGACCCTTCAGGCACATGCTTTTCTCTGGACGTTTACAGACAGGTCCTCAGAGGTCAGAGCAGGTTGTCCTAGGGAGCAGGGAGGCTTCCTAGGGAGGTCAGACTCCAAATAGTGGATATGGCAAAAATGCAGCTGCAGACTCATGAGGAGTCGCCCTGGGCTGCCACTAGGGCTCCCACAGTGTGCGCTGCCAACCTGCTGCCCGTGCAGAAACTCTAGGGTAAGAGCTGGCTCCTGGAGTCCCACCCAGGCTGCGTGTCCCTCACAGTCTGCTCTGTGTCTATGTGTGTGTGTTGGGGGGATATTATTGGACAATTCAAGGGAGGCTCAGTGAGGAGGAAGGAAAATTTCATGTAATTCTTTCTGGTTTGTCTTTCTCAACCCCCTCCTCCTGCCTACTCCTTAACTGAGAGAGTGTACTATTATTTGTGTGACCCTTTTTTTCCTCCAATACACATAGAAGGTTGTATAATTATGCTTTTCTGTTTTGGAAAATGACTTAAAATCATGTAAAGAAAAAGCTTACTTAGGTGAAATGTAGATAAAGAGATTGTGTCAGCAAAATATAATTCTTAAGGGTAACAAGGGCCATGGACGCAATTTTAATTGTGAAAAATAAGCAGGATTTCATCAAAGTAAACTACTGCAGGTGAGAAAAGTTGAACTGCTGTAAATAAGCATTATCCTGGGCTGATAATGCTTACAAATGTTGATCCTGAAAATTCTTCAGGTACCTTTCAGAGCTGAGAGTTGTGCTCTCTGGGGTGACACTCAAAGGAAATTGGGTCCTTTTTTAAGCATAATCTTCTTGGGTTTTTAGTACATTCTTATTTTTTATTGAAATATACAATGAAAATTCATCATAATACACTCTTACTCCTAAAAGAGATTGCTGTATCATAGGACATGTGTGCATATGAAATTTTATATTTATGTTGAAAAGTTTTGAGGAGAAAAGAAGAATCCTTTCTCTAAGTAACTTTATAGATTTTGTTTTTAATTGCACGCATACAACAAGTTCTCATTAATTATAAATTCAGTTCGTGGGCAAAATATATTTTCTGTGTGCCCCTTTCTATAGGAAACTTGCTGGATTATTTCTAATTCTGAGTCTGTATCTGAGTAATAATGACAATAAGTAAATGATCCCAAATATATTTATATAAGTAAGAGATTGCATTCTAGAACTTATTTTTTGAATAATTTTCTATAATTAAAATGACAAACACTTTTGCAATCTGAATTTCATAGTAAGGATAATTCTAAACAAATTTTGAAAGTTTTGGTTTTAGAAGAAGTTCAAGAACTATTTGGCTCTGCACGGAGAGCTTACACAAGTTGTATCTCTAAGCCCTAGCTTCTTGCTATGCCTTTATTAACATACCAGTTTTGGGGTTAAAAACCTACTTTAGAGCTAAAATATTTTATTAAAAATTTAAAAAACCTACTTTAGAGATAAATATTTTATTAAAAATTTATCAGCCTGGGGGATATGGAGTGGTAGAGAGAATTACTTCCCATGGCTGCTCCCTTGCACTGTTTGAATATTTTACCAAATGCATGCATTGCCTTTCCAAAAGAAATGGAAATATTTTCAATAATCAAATCAGTAAAATTTCTGATGCTTTTCAGTTTTTTATACCTACTTTTGCCTTTTTGAATATTCTCAAGAATGGAACTAGACAAATGTAAGTGATAAATTAGAGAGAAGTGACTTTAACTTAAACATGCATCTGTGCCCAGACATACCCTTGTTAATTTATTAATATTTTAGACAATTGTCAGAATCTAAAGTATTTCCAGTTCTCAATCTAGAATGGCTAAGCTTATTTTTATGGTTCTACATGCCACTTGACAATAAAAGATCATTTATGATTCTAAGAAGCATTTGTCTCTCAAGTGGCATTGTAAATCAGTACAATCTTTTGAAAAGGAATTTAGTAACACATTTCAAAGGCCATGAAAATTCCACTCCCTGTAAGTGAATGATTTCAGTAAATTTAAAAGTCAAACATTAGAAGGCATGCCATGTTGCCTTTCACAAAAATAATTCTGCTACCATCCCTGGAAGCTGTTGTTAGAAGGTCATGTTCAATAAGCTTACAATGTTTTCCTGATTGTTGTTTGTGTGACCATTAAAATTTCACCAGTATTGGGGAATTTTTACCTTTCAGATCATTTAGTTCCAACTGTTAGGAAGCAATTAGCTCTTATGTTCTTCTGGTTCGTGAAAGTATTTTACTTTGGGTGCAGGAGTAGGGTCTCTGGGGCCATGGAATGATCCACACAGGCCCTGGCATGGGAGGGACTGGTTCCATCTCAATCTGAAAATCAGACAAAGGTTTATTTCTTACTTCTGTTATGCAATGTTGGCAGGTTGTTCTGACTCTTTTCCAGTTCCTGAATATTACTTGTTGTATAATAAAAATGATATTCTAACTAAAAATTTTAAAGAAAAAAATTTGCAATCTTGCAGTTTAATGCAACCATAGTCTTAGCATTTTTGTCTGTGTTCTCTTTTCAATCTTTGTTTATAAACATATATGTTTCTACATAGAGCTGATTGTAAGAGGTATAGAATTCCACACTTTATAAATGCCTTGTTAATTTATTGTTTTCCATGTTGTCACATAGACTTCAGGGGTCTCCTCTCAACTGACTGCAAATTACTCACTGAGTTGGTGCCCCATTATGTCCTCGGTCATTTCCCCTATCGTTGAGCATTTACAACTTTTCTAATGATTGACTTTTAAATTTCTTGAAATTATTGAGTTAAAGGGAGCAGAATTTTAACAACTTTTGTTATGTGTCACTAAATCCCTTTTCAAAAGATTGTACTGATTTACAATGCCAATTAAATGTTTTACAAGTATTATTTTCCAACTATGTGAGGATTATTTTTGTTTATTTCCATATATCTCTATCTCTCCTCTCCAACCAGCCAAAAAATAAAAATAAAAATAAAAATAAAAGTACTCAAGGGTGAGTTAGGATATAGACATACATATATGCTTATGTGTTTACATTTACTACGAATGTCTAAGCTTCAAATATTGAATTCTACAGATATTCTCTCACTGAGAGACAAGAATAACTGACTTATCCAGGCTGCAAGTCTGGTGCTTGTTCTATTTGATAGTCTGATGCTGTAAGTTTTTTGTCACAAACTCTGAAGAGTAAAGTGGAAACTTTGACTTTTTGCTTCTGATTGCAGATTTCTATCCAAAGAGGGAGTTGAGGGAAATGCTTCCTGTTGTCCTAATTACACAGTACTAAGTGAACACTGGATATGGAGTCAGAAGGGAAAGTAGACTTGTGAGCCCATCACATATGGAGAAAACACTTTTGGTTCCCATTGTTGGCAGGGACAGGGAGGCAGGCCATGTTGCCTTTCACAAAAAAAAAAAAAAAAAAAAAAAATTCTGCTACCATCCCTGGGAGCTATTGTTAGAAGGTCATGTTCAACAAACTCGCAAAGTGTTTTCTTGATTGTTGTTTGTGTCACCATTACTCAACGTTGTGTAGAATGTAGTCAGGTGATATTATCCCCAATTTTATACCGAGACTTATTTTAGGTGGATTATATGACTCAGTCAGAATCGCATCAAAGCAGAACCAGAACCAAGTTTGTTTTCAACTCCAGTGCTTCTTTCCGAAGTTTTATTTCCATTGTCAGCCACTTAACTATTTTAAAACGTATCTTTTGGAATAGGGATCTCTCAATAGGAATCCACAGCAAAGATGAAGAGAAAACTAGATCAGTTGCCTTGGCAATTTTGTCCACTCAGACCAGGACATTCAGGGATTTCTAGATTGAATTTGTGTTTCCTTCTGACTACATTGTTGAAATGATCTGGATCATCTCCTAATCTTGCTCTTGGACTCTCTAGGTGTATTCTCAGTGTCTGTGAGGGAGGGCATGTGTTTTAAGCAGTAAATTCCTAAAGGCCTGTGGAGGCCCAAGGCCATGCACACTGAGGGAGTTGTGGATCAAGTGGCATGATGGGCCCAGTCTATTTCTGGCAGAGCTGTTATTTTAGCTGTTATTCTCTTTGGCCAGTTATCTCCCTTAGAGTAGTGCCTCTTTAAATGCTTTTTCATTTGGTGAAATCTAAAAATTTGTCTCTAAAAGGCATGCTGCCAGGCCTCTTTTCATATTAAAGTGGTCATCTCCACATTGTAGATAGTAAATCATGTTCAAAGAAAAGACCTTAAAAATTCTTCATATTGCCTTGCAGAAATCACAGTATTTTAGATGTGTTGGGGAGCTTCACAATCACTCAGTTTAACCCATTCATGTTACAGACAGGGAAACTGAGGCCTGGTGACTTTCCCAGTTATTAACAAGGTAGTGACTGAGAAGGGACTTCAGTTCGCTGTTTTTAATGACTGTATAGTGAGCATCTGATGTTTGGTCTTCTACAGAAAGGGAACAGAGTTGACTAAAGTGAAAATACCCTAGTTCAGACATCAGAGGCAAAAAAATTAATCATAATCACAACAGCACCTTACAGTTGTGGAGTCCTTTATAGTTTTTAGACTCTTAGACACAGAGAAATAGAGAAATATAAATATGGAAAATAAGGTTTATTTGATATTTTATGAAATGGAACCCTAATTCACCAACATTTTTACCCCTTTATAGTACTGCAATAATTTGTTGTGAGACTCTGAAATCGTTTCTGAATTATCAGAGGAAGAAAATCATTTAAAAAAGGAAACCAGAGCTACTGGCTCTATCTTACTTCGGTCATGGTCTTTTAAAATCTATTCAATTTATTTTAACTAGACTAATTCATTCTTAAAGTAAGTCAGCTAACATGGAATTTTCTGAGGTTACTTAAAAAATTTTGGAAATTTCCTTAGCTCTGCATGAAGTATTTTTATCTCTTCTTCTTCTTTTTTTTCTAAAGAAATAGTGTTTGTGGGTCTTGATAACTGCCCACAACAGATTTTATATCATCTGGTTTTGATAGAGCAAGGGGGTCTAATGAATGATTGAAACTAACATTTATAAAATCTTTCAAATTTGAGAGGCAGGTTCTTGGAAGAAGGAGGATACAACAGAATGGCCTCTGTGTCACTGGTAGGACTCTGAAGACAGGACTTACTGCCTATGTTCCGACATGAAGAAACAGACTAGTGAAGTATGTTGTCAAAACTTTGAGAATTGTAAAGCAATGTTCACATGTAGGTTGATAAAAATAACAGAAGAAGTTATGTTAACCTAGGTCCGACCCTAGGTGCTGTCATGTTGTCACTACCTTCATAATAAGCTTCAAAGAGGTGCTCTGTTATTATCTTTAAAAATTACAGACGAGGAAACTAAGGTTTAGACAGTGTTAGTAACTTGCTCAGGGCCAGTCACTCAATGTGTGGCAGAGCTGGATTCCAAGTCAGTGCTGTCTGGCTCTAAAGCTTAGATTCTTTTCATTGCACTTTTATTATTAAACCAAAGAACTTATGATTAAAATATTTTCTGCTTTCCTTGACGATTTATTTCAAGATCTAACCATTTCTTTTTCCTGGACATTCTGAGCAGGGAGCACTAGCTCTCAACTTCCCTGCCTCTACCCTCTGGCTGGGCTGCACCTTCTCCTGCTGCCTGTTCCTCCTGCTTCATCAGCACACAGTGGGACTATACATTAGCCAGGGTGTTAGACAGGCCCTCCCTGGACCTTGTCTTACTTTCCCCCTTGTGTTATGAGGACAAGCTCTGTAGTAACTACATTGAGAATCTTAGGAGCAAAGGCTCCCCACCCCCATGGGGGCACGTCAGTGACATTTGGCTCCTCCATTTTGCTTAAGAAACCTGTGACCAGACCCTCACCCCAGGCCCATAGTGAGAAAAGCCTGTTTTCATTTCTTCTTTCACCAAGCCCATCTGGATAGAGCAGGTGCAGGGCTAGGCTCTTAAAATAGAAGCCCTTGTTTCATGTGACGTGGCACGGTGGAAACTCCCTTGCTTCCTTGCCTGTTGATCAGATTAATGAAATGATGAAGGTCTCTCCCCTCATCGTGGTGTTTTCTTGACTTCCTGTCATTGTCAGTTGACCTTTCTAGTTTCTTCATTTGTAAAATACAGGACTTGTTCTTCATAACCTCAAGGGTCCCTCCTATCTTTGATAATCTGTCTCCATGCTTCCGATTAGGGGTCAGATTTTGGAATTTACCATTTCTATCTTGTTTATTTCTCCCAGCAATATTATTCCAGCAGGAATAGCTGGGACTAAAACTTATTCTTGGTTAAAGCACATCATCTCACCATCTTGACATCCCATTTGCTCTATACCATCAACCATCTCTGACCCTGAACCCCAGTCTCCTTCTTTGTAATTTAGGAATAATAATACCTTATTCATGGTGTGAATCATATGAGAGAGAGGATTTAACATTGCTTAGCAAGTGATACACATTAGGCATTCAGACAATGCTTGTTCACTTGGGGTCAAATAATAAGGTCCATTTTCTCTTCATGACTTCTAGCTATTGATTAGCTTTGAGGCTGAAAAATAAGTTTAAGATGGGCCCTCTGACCTCAAGAGGCTAGCAATATTTTATCTTCTTTTTAACGCTATCTCCTATAGGAAGGAAAGCTAGCAATATTTTGGATAAGACAAAATAAATACATATGAAACAGAGAATGGATTAAGTCTGGAAAATCCTTCCAGTGCTACACCTAGGACAAGGTACCCCATGCAGAGCAGGTAAATTCTTAAAAGGATGGTCTCTGAGTCAAATTTTGGAGAGTGAAGTGCCAGCATAGCTGATCATCCTAAGAAAAAGTCAAGACCGCAAGTTATGGGTTCCAACAGTGGAGAAAAGGCTAAGGAAATTATGCACTGTTAGTAAGATAGAATGATGTGCACCATTCAAAATGGTCAATATGATGCATAAGTAGAAAAAAAGAAGTGCTGTGAAACAACAGCAAGTGAAAGAATTTGAACACAAAATTCTAGTAATAGTGTCAATGGCTATGTATGAAGATACTCAGATAAATGTTAGAAAAGAATATAATGTGGGAAATGAAAATAATAGATGTGTTAGGGTTATGGGTTTTTGGATGAATTTCAAAAACATTCCTTTTATTAGGCTTTCACTTCTTAAGTCAAACATTTTGAAAAATTTCACATTGTATGACTTGGATTGCATAATATACCAGTTCCTGGGCTAAGGTTCCATCTTTCTCTGGGGCAGGATTTCCTCTCTGGTTTTCATCGTGATCTCTGCCTTTGAATGGCTTGCTTTTTCTTTTAAGAGAAAAAAGTATGACAAATCCAGTAGGTGATGGAATCCTCTCTCTTCCATTTATATTTCTGTGGATCTTCCTTCTCAAATTGCCTATAACTTCATATTGAATCTGAAGAAAGGGAGAGTTTCTAGGAGCCCTGATATAAGGGCTCAGGGATTTGTGCTGCCATTTCTTTAGAAAATGCCTGATTTTCCCAAGAATGGGTCAGCTCTAATGGAGGTACCTATTCCTTCAAGGAAAAGCAGTCAACTTAGCAAACAGGTAATTCCAGAGGTGATTTACGTTTTACTTTGGCAGATGGAGCCTTCATTTTCAATAGAACTCCCTGTGAACTTCCTTTAAAAGTGTTTTGACTTTTCTGGAACACATGGACTCCATGCAGTGACGTGCCCGGTAGGCAGTAATGCATACTTAGGGCTGGCCTTCCACAGCTTGAGTAGGTGGGTTCCCTTTAAATGAAACAATCTGAAGAGATGCAACACAACTGTGACCCTTGGTGGTCTTCCAGCTTTTAATCTGATTCAGGCCACTCATTTCAACCCTATGCAAGCCAATTTGACGCAAATGAGTCCAATCTAACCAGTCCAAAAAATACTTGGGTGTTTGTGCCAATAAATCTAACGATCAAATCATTCCCCCTTGAATTAGAAGTTAACAAGACAGGATAGCTCATACTGCCCTCTAGTCATTCCTGCCACCATTAAGAAGCCTGGGGCTCTTTCTTACCCCATGTGCCAACTTCTCAGGGCCTCCTTGTCTAATTTTGCTTGAGAATGTAGAGTAGAGGAAGGAGAAATGGACAGACAGCCTAGAGAAGTGACTTACAGTCTGGGTTCAGCTCTAACTACTAATAGTGTTGAGGACGTCAGTCAGCTTCTCGAAGTCTCAGTCTCCATATTTGTTAAAATAAAGAGGGTAGTCTGGTTTTTCTGGCCCCTTCTCTCCTGTCCTCCTAGACTATGAATTCATTTTTAGCTTTTTAATGCAAATTTTTGATTCATTAGAATCTAGCTTCTTCACTCTGCCACTTTTAGTTGGCTCTTCTTAGAGCATTAGTGCCCAATTTGCACTGTTAGAATTTTCCCTTGTTTGTACCCTTCAAAATTTTTCTTTTTTTGGGCAAGGATTGTATTTTTTTCTTTTTAACTGGCTCCTTGAGGATAGATGTTGTGATATCTGTGTGCTTGTATGTCCTCAACTGTGCCCTGCACTGTTAGGGCCCTTGTCAAAACAACACATTTCTCAGTGATTCTGAGACTCTTTCTCTTATCTATAGAAGTCATAACTCAAGAGTAAAATCATACCAATATTTTACATAAACCCTAGAATTTTTATAGATCTATTATTTCTTTTTAGAGTACATATTGGAAGTAACTTCACAAGGAACATTTTCTTTACTTTTTTTTTTGGAAAAAAGATTTATGCTTATAACCAAATGAGGTTGTTTGGCAAATTTGTCTGGAGAGACACACACACTCAGGGCAAATAGGCACTCCTTTCCTGGGCAACTCAATTACCTCTTGCCTCTGGTCAAACCACTCCACAAATAAAGTGGACTGATCCTCTTGACTCTATGTGTAAGTGCCCATTGTGTGTGCACAGAGCTGGTGAGAACGGCCATGGTGCTAGGTGGGGGTGGTGTTGGTGGAGTTGGACTAGATTATCTGGGATCATGCGAAATGGAAATTCATTTCTAGCTGGCTGGCTTCAGAAGGTGCCATCTCCTATTTTTATATGAAGCGTGCTTTGGAACTCAGGGCAACGAAGGGTGGGTGTGCTGCACAAGGACAGCAGAAGAGTGAGCTGACTGGTCCCTGAAATCGCAGTTGGAAAGTGGATTACCAGTGCAGTAGAACTCTTCACGGAGGCCTGGACCATCAGGTCTAATGGTGTTGTTCCAGGTGGGTGGTCATGTGGAGCAAAAATATTTGAAATCAGCGAGCACGTACCTGAGAGATGACTTTTCCACTTGGGCTAGTCTCTTGATATTTCTGGTCCTGTTTCTTCATCTGTAAACTGGGTTAGTAATGTCACACTCTGTGAGTTGGTGCATCCAGATAACAAACAAACAAACCCACACACAGAAAAACAATCCCCATAAATGCCCTATAAACTTATATTAATCATCAACAATTCATTTATTTGTTCACTCACTTATTTATTCAACAAATACTCGTATGACCAAAGCACTGTGCTTTGTGCTAAGCTCTACAATAAATATAGAATTGTATAAAGATCAAGGAGTAAAAATCCTAGTTCAGGTCCTCAATAAATGATAGGTGAATCATAGACTGAAACGTGGAAGTAAAGTAAGGAGGTCTTCCACGACTATTGTGATCTTCAAATGTTCTTTTGGGTGCAGAGTTTCCCCGGGAAACTGCCAGTTTCTATAATGGACAAAAGACTTTGCTTTTCAGGAGTATATATTTTGATAGGAAATAAAGATAGAAATACTTGGAACTTAGACAAATTAAATACATAAATGATGGATAGTATGTAGGGAATACAGTACTGTGGGGAATCAAAGAGAGGGTGAATTCTGGGTGAAATCAGGAGGGTTTCTCATTATTCACAGATGATCTCTTACAGGAGGTGGGAATTTTTAGGTCAGCTGGAAATGGAACCAGGCTTTCATGTTCAGATATACTTGCAGATAAACAACTCATAAGAATTATAAGACTAACAGCTTCGTTAGTTTACATTTGACAATTTATTTGTGCCTCATTATTTTGGGATGTGTCAAGAATCTGATAACATGGGTGATAATGCTATTTGCCACTGTAATATCAGGTAGTCCTAGTGAAAATGCAACTTTTAAGAACTTGTTTAATTGTATCTACCAACTCTTACTGCAGAATGTAGACTTGAAAGAAGCACATTCCTTTTTCTTACATAATCATTAGGGGTTACTACATTTCTGAGCAACAAGGCTCAAGAGTTTCCAATGGAAATGTAATTTCAATTAGAAAACCAAATTGAGGTTGAGGGTGGAGAGAGCCAGCTGCAGAAGGTATCTGGACAGCAGCATGTATCTGCAGGCCTGCGTGTGTGCCAGGGTGGGGGCAAGGAGGGGTAGATTGTGTCATTTTCCACATATGTTTATTTAGCTTCTCCTGTTTCAGGGACTTTGGGTTTTATTAATAGTCAATTTAGGATATTGTGCCTCCATCCTCAAGCATTGTCAATCTTAAAAGGATGGGTGGGAGTGGTAGGCATTAAGCCTCAGAATCTTCTAGCCCTTTGGCTGGAGTGGTTCTGTCTGCTATTGCTGCAACCTGAGGAAATCTTTCAAATTCTGGGTGGGCTGCTCTGGTTAATATAGTGGAGACTCTAACAAAAATTATGTCATCCAGCAATAGAGCTCTGGTGCAGTGAGTGGCAGACTAACTGATGAACATCTCAATGCACAGCAATTCTCAGCAGCCCTCAGCCAGGGCACTCCTAGGGAGGGCCTCTGGTTACAATGCTCTTCAGAGCCTGCCCAGTCTGTCTCTGTTTCTCTGTCTTTTCTTTCCTTTCTCATTATTCCCATCACTATTATTGTTTCTCTTTCTCTAAGGTCTGTATATTATCCTTTCCCCTAGTTCTTTGAAAAATTTACTTCAGTTGCACACACAATAGAATTAAATGATAAACATCAATTTTCTAAATAAAATGCTGTGTACACCCACACTCACACCCACAGAGTATTTTCTATTTCTTAACAACAACAAGAAAAACAACAAAATGCATAGTAAGAATTAAAAAATCTGGAGGAATATTGAAGGCCAGGGCAGATTATTTGTTTAGATTAGTGATCCTTAACCCAGAATTTCCTCACATCTAGATTATTGTCTGGTGGATGACAAAGGAAAATATATATTGGAAACCCAGTTGTGGATCCTTGAGAATACAGTAGAAAGAACAGTGAAAATTGAAAGGGAAAAGGTGAGAAAACCTTCTTATTCATGTCCAGGAACAGAATTGGGCTTGAATTTGGTGGCTGCAGCTCTGAACGGACTCAAAGTGAGTGTCTGTAAATCCTGCTCAGCAACACGAGGACAGGGGTTGCCATGTCCTCCTCTTCCTTATGTACCTTCCCTCATCTGCCTCCCTATCTCTAGCACATGGACCAGGGGCTCATAAATGTCTGTAGGATGGAAAAATCTAGGAATACATGTGGGGTCAGAAGTTGTAAGAGATTGGGTTGAATATATTCTGATTCCCCAAGTTGTTTTTGTCTACTTATTTTCTTTTTCTTCTCTGTGATGGTTCTTTTTTTCTTGTTATTTGTATCTTTGCACAATGAAAGACAAAAAAAAAATAGTTCTAGTCACTAGAGGACTTCAGTAAACATGCTATCACTTACCTGCTTATGAACCAAGAGGTTGGGAAGGCAGGTCTCAGTTGGCATGTAGCCCGAGAAGAGTTTGTCACATCTTAGAGTCTAGAACCTCCTTTCCCACAGAGATACAAAACACACAGTTAACTCACTGGTATTTTGGCTGGGAAGATAGCTGAATGATAGCACCACTTTAAATCATATAGTGATGACTGCTGCTGATGATGCACATTTCTTTTCAGTATGAAATATTAGTTTTTTGGGAAATCCAATGTTCACCCTAATCTTGCAGCATTTTGTAATTTCCATCATGGCACTGAGCAGGAGGCAGGATGGGCTGAAGGGAAATACACTGAACTGAACTGGATCCTTAGGCCTGTGGGTGAGACACAGTATTGGCAGATAGTGCCTTCACCTTGTGGCTCAGTTTCTTCAGGTTTCAAAATTGAGAGACTTTTTTCACTTTTACATGTTAAGTAGGTAAGGATGAACGGAAGGATTGTGATGTATTGCATATTGGAAGAAACAAAGGTATCAGGTCAAAATTAAGAAGGGTTTATTTGTGGAATTACTGCAGGGAGAATATCCACTGAGCTCAGCCATTGAACTCAAGAACCTGTTAGTAATTAAGAATATGAAAAGATTGTGAATTGAGCACCTTCTCTGCACCATGCCCCGTACAAAGTGGATTATACACAATATTTCATTTGCTGTTCACAGTGATGTTGACATAGAGGTTTATTGTTATTGCTTTATTATAAACAAGTAACCCCAAACAAAGAGGGGATAAAAAAGTGATAGATTCCCATGTGAGAGCTCACTAACCCATGGTATCCCAATCAGAGGGCTAGAGCATTGGAATGACGTGTGAAGACACTGTTGATGTTAGGTAATTCCCAGGTTGGTTAATGTTTGGGCAGGAGGGGTATAACTTCTCTGGCCTCCAATATGTGTTAGGCACCCCTTCTGTGTGCTTACGTAGAGCTCTGTAGGCACTCCTCTCAGCTCCATTTCTCCATGTTGCAATTTCTGGTTATTTGTTTATACACTACTCTAGGAGCTCCTTGAGGTAGAGAGTTCTGTCTTGTTGACTATGTTATCTGCAAATCTTCATAGAGAGCCAGGTACATGGAAATGCTAATACATTTCTATGGAATTAGTGAAGGTGGACATTCATACGTCCAGGCATATGAACAGGTTTTTCTCTGGAGTTGGTGTTGTTTGGTGTAGAAGGGCTGTCAATGAGCCTTATGACTTGAGGAAGGATCAACAGATGGGTGGATAGAAGTACAGATGGTTATATGCATGGATGGAAAGGGAATATGGTAGAAGAGAATGCTTCTGTCATGGGCTCTAGGAAGTTTACTGAAATATATTCTGAAAGGTTGATATGTATAGTTCATCCTTATTCTTCCCAGCCTCTCTTTTCTGAGATGACCAAACTATTCAACATAAATGGTTTCCTGCTGCTCTTAAATATTTCCAGGACACTTCTGGGTCTCCTGAAGCACCTGCTTGCTCACAGCTTCATTCTCACGTGAAGTCTGCATAGGTCCTGTTACCATATCAGAACTCTTAGAGGACACTTATTCTGGGCTGAGGTTTTCCAAGGTGAGAACTCCAGGACTGGAGATGGAGCAGTGCATTTAGGTGAAGTGATATCAAACAAGGTTGGGGTTGGTGTTACTTCCCATCCCAGTGCTGGACACAGCCTTGGCCAGGTCCTGTTGTGACCCCAGGTGCACGGGGCCTTGGGAACTTCTGAAAGGGTGTGGAGTGCTCCACCCAGCCCTGTTGGAGGAGGATGGGAGCGAAAGCAACAGATGTGCTCAAGGTTCTGTTTTCAGTTCCCCAAAGGGTCTTCTCCTTGACCAAAGCAGTGTGACGGTTGCTATGACAGTTGCTATCTTGGTCCCTGGGACTCTCCCTCATAAGGTAGCATTACTTTTTTTAATCTTCTCAGGCAAGTAACCATGAAACTCTGTAATAACCAGTCTGAGGTGGGGCTGGTTGGGGGCATGTTTGGGCCTGAGTACTGGGATGTGATGGTGGAATATGCTGGGGTACCAAGAGGTACCTTTGATTAATGAGTTATTTTTCCAAATTAGACCAACACTCCTCCTAGTTGTCTTAGGCTTGATGACTCTCCATTTCTGCAGAAGTTCAGAATTCTTCCCTTGAGATGTCTGCAATTAGTTCATTGTTGCAAATTATAAAAACATAACAGGTAGAAAGAACACTGACCTTGAATCTCAAATCTGTCTCTACCAGGTCATGTCATTCAGTCTCTGCTTGGGTCTTCTCATGTGTTAAATGAGAGCTTTGATTTCCAAGCTCCTTTTCACTCTGAGAGTCACTGATGTTTTGCCTCTGAAAATGGCAACCATGAAGAGTAGTTACTGAGAAACCAGCACTGTGTTTTAGAGTTAGGGCTCTTGATCAGGCTGCCTCATTTTGAATCCTGATTTGGGAATTTCTGATGATGTGATCTTGGACATGGTATTGACTTTCTCTAAGTCTTAGTTTTTTTTTTTTTTTTTATCTGCAAAAGAGGGTAAAACAAGCTACCCCAGAGGCTGCTGGAAGATTCAGTGACATGTTGCTTGTCAGTGTTGAGACATTGTATCCATTACAACTATCATAGAATAAAAACCTGTTACAAGTTGGCATGGGCCGAGCTGCCAGCAATTTCATACATCTCTTTTATGCCTATTTTGTTTTTCATTTTGATCATCAATATTTTAATGGTGTGTCATAAATTGGGGGCTCTTTCTTATTTGTTCTTGGACCCATGGTGAAATAAAAGCTTGTATATTTTTTTAGAAGGATTCATAGAGATGAAAGGCCCTTACTGAACATTCAGTCTGACCTTATTAGTTTTAAAGGAGCTGACTGAGACCTAACTGTTATTATTACAAACTGATATTATTGGAAACCAACACAGAACCTACCATGTGCAAAACTGTGGGAAAGGCTTGGAAGTCTGGGTTTGACAACCTGAGTTTAAATAGTGATTCTTTGTCTTACTAGCTCCGTAATCCCAAACACGTAATGCAATCTTTCTTAGTCTGTTTCTTCATCTATGAGACAGGGCTAATGAGAAACATCTCAGTGTATGGTATGACAGCAAAGGGGGTCATACAGGTGACAGTGCTAGCAAATGTCAGTCCCCTCCTCTTCTCTACCTCCCAACTCCCTTGACCCTCTCCTCTGTCATCCCTTTTCTGGCTGCGTGCAGAGAATCTTGCTAGCTTTAGGGATACAAAAGGTTCCAGAGTTGGGAGACAGACTGTTCTCATACAGAGATCAATAACCACATGATATGGGTAGTAAGGGCCATTCAGATCCTGAGAAGAGTTTGGCAGGTCAATGGAGGGTGGAAAGGATGAGAGGAACTGGGGAGAGAGACAGAGAAGAGGGAAGGAAAAGGAAGGGAGAAAGGAGGACATTGTGTATCTGAGAACAGGAAAGGAGCAAGTGGAATGGAAGAAGGAGAGGGAAGGCAGCAGGTGAGGGCATGTCTGTTGGGGTGTTTATGGAGGGTTTTTTCAGGGAAAGGGTCTGCAAATGGAGCCAACAAGAAAGGAACTGGCAGGTGGTCAGGATGTCCTCCTGTGAGAGTCACTCTTCTCCCCATCCTCTCTCCTCTTAGCTTCACCCTCGCTAGAACTTTTCCTTGCTCATTTCAATTTTCAAGATTTTCCCAAGCTTCTAAACCTACAAAATCTAAGCGACACACATTTACTGGAGAAATCACAAACAGATCCCAGCCCTCCTGTGGACCTCTCTGCATCTGTGCCCTGGATACCTCTTTCTCCTTTGTTTCTGTGGATGAAACATCTGTGTTCCTAGCTGAGGATGATACCTCTACCTGTCTTCACCCACCCTTCTCACCTACTCAGGAACATTGCTCCAGCAATTTCTCTTCTCTCCTCTTCAGCACCAGCTTTTCCCTTTCTACCAAATCATTCTTATCAGCACTTAAAAATGCTGTCGTTTCTCTCCATTTAAAATAAACCCTCACCTGTGTATCATGTAGAACTATCAATAAGAAAAATATTAAAAAATAAGAAAATAAAGAAAAAAGATAAAATATATCCTCTGTAGAGCCCCTTTGTCCTTCCAGTGACCACCTCATTTCTCTCCTTCCCTCTTCTAATTCTCTCCTTGAAAGCATTGTCCATGCATGCTCTCTCCAATTTCTTCGCTCTCATTCTCTTTTGAACCCATTTGGATCAGACTTTTGCCCCTGGCATTCTATAGAAACTGCACTTGTCTAGTTCACCAGTGATTCCCAATATGGCTAAATCCAATGGCCCATTTCCATTCCTAATCTTGGTTGACTTGTCATCAGCAATTGACACAGTTGATCCATTTTTTCCTCTTTGTAACATTTTTCCTCTTGGATCCTAGGATAACAACACTGTCCTGTTTTTTTCATCTCCTTCTCTAGCCAGTCTATTTCAATCTTCTTTTCTGGTTCCTCCTCATCTTGCTGACTTCTTTACGTTGGAGTGCCTCCTGGCTCAGTGCTTGGATTTCTTTTTTGGTATGTCGTTGCTAGGTACTCTCTCCCAGTCTGATGGCTTTTTACACCATGTGTGTGGTGATGACATCACGTTTGTGTCTCCAGCACTGACCTCTTGCTTCTGAATTCTAGACTCTTATAGCCAGTTGTCCATCTGACATCTCCACTTTGTTGTCTAATAGACATCTCAGACTCAACGTACCCAAAACAGAGCTCCTAAAGCTTCAGGAATCGAGACTGTGTCTATTGACATAAGGATAATAAAATTGATTAGGGGAATTAAATAAAATAGAAATAGACCAAACTTACATTGTCATTTGATTTCCAACAAAAGCACCAAAGCAATCTAATGGGAAAGAAAAGTCTTTACACGAATAGTGCTGGAATTTTCAGCAGCTCATGAAATGTATATATATTTTATGAAAAAAAGTAAAAATAAAAGTAAAAAATGGTGCTGGAACAGCTGCACATCCACATGGAAAAAATGAACCTTGACCCTTACCTCATGCTATACACAAAAATTAATTCCAGGTGAATTAAAGTTGAGCTCCCAAACCTATGCCTATGTTCTATAGACTTCTTCATTTCAGTTAAGGCAACTCTATCCTTCCAATTCATCAGGCTGAAAACCCTGGATTCCCCCTTCAGTTTTCTCTCTTCCCCACATCAACACTAGCAGTGCTTCCTGGCAGGGCTACTTTCAAAGTAGCTTCATCTCCTGCTTGGATTATGTAACAGGCTCCCAACTGGGGTTTCCACACATCTTCCTATCCCACCCTGGATGGGTTATTCTCATCAGATCACCCAGAGAAATCCTGTTTATGTATGTCAGATGATATTATTATTATTTTTATTATTTTTGAGACAGGGTCTCACTCTGTCTCTCAGGCTGCAGTACAGTAGCACGATCACAGCTTACTGCAGCCTCCACCTCCCTGGGCTCCCTACCTCAGCCTCCCAAGTAGCTAGGACTACAGGCACACACCACCACGCCTGGCTAATTGTTTGTATAATATTTTTTGTAGAGACAGGGTTTCCCCATGTTGCCTAGTCTGGTCTCAAACTCCACCCACCTCAGCCTCCCTAAGTGCTGGGATTACTGGCGTGAGCCACCGTCTCCGGCCTCAATATTATTATTTTGCTCAAAGCCTACCAGCCTCATCTCACTTAAAAGAAATGCTTCCTGTGACCCACAAAACCCGACATGACCTGCCCTCCCTATAACCCTGTGTCATGAGCACTCCGGGCACATGCCCACCTCAGGGCTTTTTATTTGCAGTTCCTGCTGTGCTCTTACCTATTTATCCACATGGTTTACTTCCCACTTCATTTAAATCTTTACCTGAATGCTACCTTCTTAGTGACACCTTTCCTGATGACCCTGTCAAAACTTATAACCCTCCTCCAACAATTCCTGCCCTTGCTTTAATGCTCTGTTTACCCCGTCGTTATCTAAAATACTATATTTTAAAATTTATCAATCTTTATCATTTATCTCCCCAGCTAGACTATAAGCTTCACAAAGGCAGGGAGTTTTACCTGTGTGATAGCCTCAGGATCAAAGACAGTACCTGGCACATTTCAGGCATTCAATACATACTTACTGAATGAAAGAATAAAGTGTGGCCAGGCGCGGTGGCTCACACCTGTAATCCCAGCACTTTGGGAGACTGAGGTGGGTGGATCATCTGTGGTCAGGAGTTTGAGGCCAGCCTGACGAACATGGTGAAACCCTGTCTCCACTAAAAATACAAAATTAACCGGGCATAGTGGCACATGCTTGTAATCCCAGCTACTCAGGAGGCTGAGGCAGGAGAATCACTTGAACCTGGGAGGCAGAGGTTGCAGTGAGCTGAGATTGCACCATTGCACTCCAGCGTGGACAACAAGAGCAAAACTCCATCTCAAAAAAAAAAAAAAAAAAGACTAAATTGTGATTGAGGTTTACAGATGACTGGTCAGTGTTTCCCATATCCCCAAACTGTTTTCCTGCTTGATGCTATTATTTCATGGGGCAAGTTCAATTTCCTTATCCATTGCTTGACTGTCCAATTAGATTGGCAGAGCGTTAATGGCAAGGACTGTGTATCTTATCTTGTACTGTTCTATATCCTCCACTATTGCTGCCATTGTGAGGGGGAACAAGGGAGTGGCTTCCCTCCATCCAGTTCCCTACATCATATGTCATATCATACAAATATATTAGTATTTATAAATATATTAGGTCTACCTCCTTCTCTGTGCAAAATATGTCATATCAATGTCTGAGTTCTAGTATGTTCATATTCTTGGGCAATTATGTAATTATGGCTTATGTTGTCATAACTTCTATGCCCGTATTTATAAGAAAAAAATATTGAGAGCATTTCCAGGAAAATAATTGACTGGAAGAAGAGAGAGTGGTAAAAAGGAATTAATAGTGAGCTAACTATCAGTATATACAAGCCCAGCCTTCTAGGATCTGGATAACCCGAAGCAAGAATTTCTCTGTCAGTTTTCTCATCTGTATAATGGTGAGAGTGGGGGTGTTGAAGTAGAAAAATCCTTTGATTAATATTTATTCTAATCCTTGACTAGGTGCTCAGTGTTAGTCCAGGGAACTCTATCTTATTTCTTCATGGGCCAGCTTAATGTCAAGATCCAAAACTCTTGTGTAAAGCTTGGGACCATTTTCAAGGATACATTTAGTAGTTTACAATAATCTAGATAACACTGACTGATAGAAATATGCAGGAAATACAGAAAATTATAATGTGATCCACATATATAATTTAGAAGTTTTCACTAGCCATGTTATAAAAGTAAAAAGAAATCTGTGCAATCAATTTTAATAATATTTTTGTTTGCACACAAGATATACAGGGTAATCTCAACATGTAATCATATAAAATATTAATATTTTACACGTATTTTTTGTACAAAATGTTAAAAATTGGATGTGTTTTTACACGTATAGCCCATCTTAGTATGGACTGGCCTTATCTCCAGAGCTCAATAACTCTGTGTGGCTAGTGGCAGGATATTGGATATCAAGTCTAGAACATACGTGAATTAATTCAAGGTTCAAGCACATTAAGGCTGAAAGAGTTATGACTGAAGAACAAGTTCAAGGAGGAAATCAAACAATAGCCAAATTTCACTGAGCTACTCCTTCCATTACTAATGATAACAAATATTTATAGATCCCTTAGTATATACTAGGCCTGATGCTTAGAACTTTATATGAACTGTTTCATTTAATCCTCACAGCAATCTTACAAGTAAGACCTCCACCCCCTTTCAGATGAGAAAACTGAAGCACAAAAGTGCAGTAACTTGCTATTATGACTTGTGAGCATATTTTCCCAGGCAATTATATGCACAGTATGATGTAGGTAAAGCAGCCCAATAATTTATTCACTATATTTCTCCATGCTCATGGTAAGGACTGACTTGATCCCTGGTGGTCACCCACTTGTGCTCCCTCAGTGAGGGAAGGGCTGCAGAGCCCCTGGCCCGTGTCCTAGTGACTCAGGCTTGGGATCTCCAGCAGCTGCTATGGTTGACAATTTAGTTTAGTAAAATGTTAGATCCTACCCTGATAACTGTTATAAAAAATCCTCCTTCCCCTTCCCCAGCACAGGTACCCAGCCCAAGGGGCACTTTCTATGGAAAGATGAAAAGAACTGACATGGACTTGAGCTCACTGGGGGTGCAGGTTTCAAGAAAGAACAAAGAGAGCTGTTAGGTTGAAGAGACGCAGTTGAAGAGTTAAGTCTTGGAATTGTTAATACCTGGAACAAGGCACGGTGTGAAAAGACAAAGAAACACACAAACATCAATCTGTCCTCCTCTTTTCTCTTTCTGTTTCATTTCTTATCCTCCATCAGTCAGACTTTGCTTCCTCTTTCTCCTCCTTCACCTCCTCCTCCCTGCCCTTCCCAATTTCTTTCTATCTTCCATTTATTGTTCTTCCAAAATTCGTATACTCATCCTCTCTTCTCCCTTTCTCTTTTCTCCAAAATAATATGTTCAACTTACTGACTTGCTCAGGGACTTGTGGGGGCGAATGTATTAGCACCAAACCTAGGAAACATGGCGAATTCTAAAAACTTGTTCTCATAGAAAAAAGAGTTAAAAATAGAAAGCTACAGTCCAGTTTTGAAGCCACAGAAGACCTCACTCTGATGTATAGACATTAGAGTCAGAAAAAGACTTTGAAAAGACCAGTGAAGCTCCTTGTCCCACAGACAGTGTGAGGGAGGGACAAGGGGAATTGTGTGCCCAAGCGTACTTGGGATGGTGTAGGTGGCTGATAAGAGTGTCAGTGGAGGTGGTGGTTAGCATTTGGAGTGCCCCAATCTTGTGACACTAAACATTTATTGTTATACTAACCCCACTGCCAACTACCAGGAAGTTTTCATTTTTCTTACTGTGTCTTAGTCTCCATGGCATCTATAAACTGTTTTCCCCCAATGTCCAGGCATCATTCCTCTCCCACAGTTGATGTCTGGCTCTGTGCCATGGGTGTGGGCCTGCCTCTTCTCTCTCAGAATGACTGCTGTTTCATGCTTGGTGAGCCACGCAGTATGCCAAGCTGCTGTCTCTGACCTGGAGAAAGGATACCCATCCTACCACAGGTGGGGCATATCATGGGATGGCCTTCCTGGTTTTCCTTGGCAGACACATTTTTCTCACTTTTTTTTTTCTCTCCTCCCTTCTCTTTTTCCCTCCCTCTTTGATTTCTTCTCTTTTCCTTTTCTTTCTCTTGCCTCACTTCTGCCCTAGATCTACCATGGGACCCAGGGAGCTTTGGAGCCATGCAACCCACAGTGTGCTAAGCTTTTTACTCATGCTATTTCTTTTAATCTTCACAATTCTTTACCTATCAGGCATTACCATCAGATCTGCACCTTACAGGTGAGAAAGGGAGGCCCACACCGATTAAGAAATGTGCTCAGGGCCACACAGCCTGTACATGTCAGAGTAAGGGCATTCTCATGCCAAGGTTCATTTTCAGAGCCAAAAGCATACCACGTCTCAGGAGAAGCAGGCTAGATCTCTTGTCTGCTTGGCTTTTAACTCATGCTGACCTGAACTTTCTGGATTTGAGTAACTCTCAGACCTGTGGAGCCCGATTTCTGTGAGTGGATTTTGCCAGCCACCTGGGGAGGTGAACCCTTGCTGGGGTATGGCTCATTAGTGTAGAAGGGAGTTCCTTCAGAGGTACGCTGTCTTCTCGGCCATCCCCATTGTAGTAGTTTCTTGGGTCTGCCCTAACAAAGTACCACAAACTAAGAGCCGTAAAACAACAGAAGTTTATTCTGTCATAGGTCTGGAGACAGAAATCTGAATTCAAGGCACAGGCAGAGTTAGTGTCTTCTGCAGGTTCTCGGGGAGAAACCATCCCACACCTCTCCAGCTTCTGGTGGCTCCCAGCAATCCTTGGTGCTCTTTGGCTCTCAGCTGCATCCCTCTGGTCTCTGCCTCCTTGGTCATGTGGCTTTCTTCCTATGTGTCACTGCATCTCCAATCTCCTTCTTCTTATAAGGACACCAGTCATTGGATTTAGGGCCCACTCGGATCCAGCATAAAAAAAAAGTTTAAAAAAATTATTTGGAAATAATTATAGATTCACAGAAAGTAGCAAAGACAGGATATAAAGCACAGAGGTCTGATGTGTCCTGCACCCAGTTTCTCCTGTTGGTTACTTCTTACGTAATTACAGTACGATATTAAAACCAAGAATTTGACATTGATAAAATAAGTGTGTACAGTTCTATGTCATTTTATCACATGTCTAGATGCCTGCAACTACCACTGCAATCAAGATACAGATTTATCCCATGATCACAAAGATCTCCCTTTATAGTTTCGCCTACTCTTCTTTCCCCACCACCCTAACCCCTGGCAACCAGAATCTGTTCTCTATCCCTATAATTTTGTCACTTCAACAATGTTACATAAAAGGAATCACATGGTATGTGACCCTTTCAGATTGGCTTTTTTCACTCAGTAGAAAGTCCTTCAGAATCACTCCAGTTCTCTGTATCAACACTTCGTTCCTTTTTATTGCCTCATAGCATTCTATGGCATGGATATATTACAATTTGTTAGGCTAGTTGCCTATTGAGGGATGGGTTGGCTCTTTCTAGCTTTGGCTACAACAAATAAAGCTGCTGTGAACAATCATGTATGGGTTCTGTGTGGACATAAGTTTTTATTTCCTGGGGGTAAATTCCCAAGGAGTACAATTCCTGGGTCATATGGTAGGTGTCTTTTGTTTAGTTTTTCAAGAAACTGACAACTATTTTCTAGAGTAGCTATACCCTTTTATATTCCCACCAGCAATATATGAATGATCCATTTTCACCGCATCCTCACAAACATTTCAGTATGACCTAATTTTGACTTGATTACCTCTGCAAAGACCCTATTTCCAAATAAAGTCACATTTATGTGACCCATTTATGAGTACCAAGAGCAAGGAGTTGAGCATACCTTTTTGAAGGACACAATTCCACCTGCAGCACCTGTCTTCACTTGCTTAGGTTATGGGTGGGTTTCCCTTCAGAGTGTTATCTTCTGAGAAGAAGGTTTGAATTCATAGCTGGATTATGCCTGCCTTTGATTGTTCAATTTGGCCCCCAGGGATGAGTGAGCAAGTTCATGTCATTGGAAGGGACATTACTGAGTCTCACCCCTACTCAAACCTCCAAAGTTTGAAAGATTTGATACTCATCAACATTCTCAAGAGGCAGAAGGGCAAGGTGCTTCCTTATGTAGTTTCTCCATGACTGTCCTTCCCCACTTTCCCAGTACTGACTGGAAAGAAAAACAAAGCAGGACAAAGGGATTGTCAGTCATTTGAGGGAAGGGATGCTGTGTTAGTTACTCCTGAACCCCTTCAGAGTGTAGGCAGAGAGAGGTACTTAGAAAGGTGTGTTGGATGGATGAGTAGCTGAGAGGGGCAGGGCCAGAGTGCCCCATAGAATGAGGAAGAGTCCTCATTTACATGTGCCCTTCCCCCTTCCCAAACATGTGAGTGTTCATACATGGGTTTCCAGTGTCTGGGCAAGGTTAATTCTGTCCTCTGTCCCCTTGCTGAAGGTCTGTTTCATTTAATTTCTATGTATGTGTGCTCCTAGCTAGCCAAACAGGGCACAGATGCCAGGAAAATAGCAGGCCTGTTGTTTTGTTGAGCACCTTGAGCCCTGGAAGGCAGACTCATTCAGGGCTCAAGAGGGCAGGATTAGGCAGGTAGCTATTTGATCCCAGGCCCCCCCACTTACCAGCTGCGTGGTCTTGACCTATTACTTATTCCTCTTCTATCTATTAACTGGGTATAAGATGTTCTTTATGTGAAGTTATTTTGAAGCATAATGTGTATACAGAACAGTGCACAGATCATAACTGCACAACCCCACACGAGGAACAGAACATTACCAAGACCCCAGAAGCCCCTTCTTGTCTTCTCCCAGGCACTAACTCGCCCACCCCCAGCTAAGAGTAATTTCCATCCAAATTTCTAACTTTATTTTTACCTGGTTTTGAACTTTATATGGATGAAAACATACAGAACATATCTTTTGCATTGAGTTTCTCTTATGTAACATTATTTTTATGAGATTCATCTGTGTGAGTAGGTATAGTTGTAGCTTGTTAATTCTCCTCATTGGGTATTCTAATGTATAAACATACCACAGTTTAATAACTCATTCTATTGTTGGACAATCGGGCTATTTCCAATTTTTGGCTTTTGTAAATAAAGCTGCTTTGAACATTCTTGCATAGTTTTTTGGTGGGTGGGGACACTCAGTCATCTAGAAGTGGGATTGCTGAGTTATAGAATATATTTGTCTCTCAGCTTTATAGAACCTTTGCAACATTTTAATGAATGTTTTTAATCTCACAGTATAGTGTGGATTAAATTAGGTTGTGGAAAGTACTCAATACGGCCCTTGGCAGACAGGAGTCCCTCAGTACCTGTTTAAAAATGTAAATAAGGCATGACATTCCATTAAGTCTAAGTACCATGATGAACTTAAACATTTCCCTATTGTTTGTTTATTTAATTGCTTTTATTGTGTTGTTATTTTATATCATGTTGCAATGAATGATTCTCTTTATAGCAGGTTTCTTCTTTTGAAAAATTTGCTTTGGTTGATTCTCAGGGAATTGAATCAAAGGATATATGACTGTAAGACCTGTCACCCTTAAAAAGGACTATGAGGGCTTGCTGAGGAGGGGAAAACAAGGAAGCAAGTCTCTCCTACCATGGCCCAGGGGACTGTGAGGACAGAAGGCTTGTGGGTTTGAGGGAGGACTGTCTTGCAGAGGATGATAGGGTAAAATAGAATGAAGGATGATTTTTATAAATGGTTATGCGCCTTAGGATGACTACATATTTAGTCCCTTATAAGAGAAATTGAGTAGTTGGTAAAACAACAGATAATAATTATTAAATGAGGAAAGAGAGAAACCACAGGTGCAAAGATTCACTTTATTTATTCATTCTCCTCCAACATTAGCATAATTAAAGCCAAGGAGGAGGAGGGGGGTGAGGTGAAAGATGAGCTGGAGGACCGCAATAGGGGTAGGTCCCCTGTGGAAAAAGGGTCAGAGGCCAAAGGATGGGAGGGGGTCAGGCTGGAACTGAGGAGCAGGTGGGGGCACTTCTCCCTCTAACACTCTCCCCTGTTGAAGCTCTTTGTGACGGGCGAGCTCAGGCCCTGATGGGTGACTTCGCAGGCGTAGACTTTGTGTTTCTCGTAGTCTGCTTTGCTCAGCGTCAGGGTGCTGCTGAGGCTGTAGGTGCTGTCCTTGCTGTCCTGCTCTGTGACACTCTCCTGGGAGTTACCCGATTGGAGGGCGTTATCCACCTTCCACTGTACTTTGGCCTCTCTGGGATAGAAGTTATTCAGCAGGCACACAACAGAGGCAGTTCCAGATTTCAACTGCTCATCAGATGGCGGGAAGATGAAGACAGATGGTGCAGCCACAGTTCCTGAGGAAAGAAGCAAACAGGATGGTGTTTAAGTAACAAAGTTCTGCCCTTGGGTGTGTTGTTTGCGGATAATCACAGGGCATGTTAGGGACAGACAGAAAACAGCATGCTTATCCCAGATAATTATAGCAAGGAGACCAAGAAGCGTATTTAAAATCTTGATGTTTTGAGTTTCTTCCTAGCTTCCCCCTATTCCTTAATAAAGTTCTAAATTGTTTTGTTGGAGCTCTTTGCAGCCATTCTGAGGGCTTTGCATGCTTTTCTGACCTTGCAGTAAACTCAATGCTTTAGGCAAAGAATGGCCACGTCATCCGACCCCCTCAGAGTTTAGAATTCAGAACAGGTCTGAAGAAGACCAGGCAGCGGCTGAGTCAAGGAAAGCCTCCGTCCGCTTTTATTTCCCCTGTGCCTCTTCCAGGACTGTGCTGGGATAACAGGCTCCCGGGGGTTACTTTGGCTGGGCTGGGCTAAAACCTCCCTGCAGAGCAGGCCCTGAGCCCTGCCTCTGCGCCTGGGTGGTGTCAGCCCCTCCACCTTCTGACTGTTCCAGCAACTCTCTAAGCCCTCCCAAAGGCCTCAAGGCCTGTAACCATATGCAGCAATTTTCAGCCATACCAGGAGAGGTCAACTGTAATCTTGGCCACCTGCCTAAGAGGAAGTGGCTAGCTTCACTTCTGACCCTCAGCAACTGCCAGGTGGCCTCTTGGAAATCCCCCTCTGGGGGATTCCACCCGTTGGGTGGGAGAGCAGTAGTTAAAATGTAAAATAAGAATCTTTTGCTGGGAGAAGTCAACAGATAGGGAGAAGTCAGCTGATAACAGAAATAGTTTTTTTTTTTTTTAAAACTAACTTCACTGTTAACCAAGCAGTTCAACATGAAAGACTGAATCTCTTATGTTTAATATTTTCTTCTCTTTTAATCTTCATAACTAATTTTTTTCAGATAATTGTATAAAATAACCATGGTAGCAAAATAATGTGATCACTGGAAAATAAGCAGGGAAAAACATGCTATGAAGATACTCCTATCTGGGTGAATTCTTGATAGCTTTACATTTTTCATCTGGCATTTAAACATTAAACAGTTAATGTATTTGACATGAAAATTATTTCAAGTTATCTTATTAGTTTTAATAGAGTTTAAAAAGTGTTTAAAAGAGTTTTCAAAAGGCTCTAAAATCATTTTGAAATAGTTTAAAACAGTTTTGAATCGTTGTAAGTTAGTTTTAATAGAGCTTTAAAAAGGCCCTAAAATAGTCCTATCAAGTTGTTGCAGACCAAAATAATCTCCTTAAATATCACTTTTGAGATCAGCTGGGGTAAACGACAGCAACACAATGACAAATCATTAA
Organism: Homo sapiens; assembly: GCF_000001405.40. Classification (NCBI taxonomy): domain Eukaryota; kingdom Metazoa; phylum Chordata; class Mammalia; order Primates; family Hominidae; genus Homo; species Homo sapiens. Next base: position 88,859,036 of record NC_000002.12, read on the forward strand.
ACTATTTTAGAGATTATGAAATTAAAATACTCAGATTAAAATTTTCCTATCACAGAATTAAGGTACTGGAAAATATGTTTAAGTTTTTATTAATCACATTGCTATAGGTTTAGATATTTTGTACAACTGAAATAAAATCACACACTGGCAGCTACATTTTTGAAAGTTAAAAACATGGTCACGAATATATCTTATTTTAAAATCAGTTAATATACCTTAATGGTATTTAATGCCAAATTCAAAGTGAATTGATCAAGCCCTCAGTGGCCAGGTCATGGGTGTGATTTTTACTCTGAAAGAATTACATATTTCTTTCTTTTTGGTTGAGCTTTTGTTATTTAAATACATTTGATGAGAGGATATTGAAATAATTAAATAGCACTGAAAAAAAAAAAAGCTTTAAATTATTTACAATCCCCTAATGGAAATTTTCACTAATGAGATATCATAATGAATGTGAATTTTATTTCTGAAATCTCTAATAAATCAGTCTTCTCCCTGGTTTTCCCAGCTCAGCGCCCATTACGTTTCTGTTCTCTTTCCCTTAGTGGCATTATTTGTATCACTGTGCATCAGGAAAGCTGGCTACGGCAGCATCAATCGGGCAGACACAGGGTGGCCACGGCCACTAGCGGCAAGGCGGCTGCCCCAAGAGCGCGGTGGCATGGCCACCAAAGCCACTCAATCGAGAAAGACCGCGGCTCTGTCTACAGCTCGCGGTGCCACGGCCTTCTTGGCAGAATAAAAATGTAGACAAGTAATAACAGAGGATAATGAAAGAACATACTCTTTAAAATATTTCCTATTTTTTTCACAGACCCACGGTCATTAAAAAATGCAATTATTTACTTTTTTTCATTTAAACACATTTCTTTGAGATTGAGCTTTTGGGAATAACCACCTTTCCACCATTACAATAAGAGATAATTTCACGTTTAGTCTAATGTACAAATTGGATTTTTAAAAAATGAGCTCTATCTGTGAAGCCCTTATTCCTATAGAATGTGTCTTTTTGAGTTTATTACTTATTACAGACTCTAAAAACAACATTGCTGCTGATTTTCAAGTAAGCTGCCTCTTCTACATAGCAAATAGGTACACTTCACTTTTCCCTGATTTTTCTTAGGGCGTGCTATTGATTTTTATTGTTGTCTGACAAAATAATTTATCAAACAAAAGGGAGAAAGACTAAAAAATGTATTTTTCCACTTTTCTGTATCATGCATAATCAGCAACAACCAATACAATATTTGGCAAGAGTGAACAAAAATAAATTTACTTTTGCTCCTTAGAAATACAAGGGTTCCTTTTTAGTTACACTTTTTTTTTTTACTTTGTGTCATTCAGTTTAGAGCAATTTAATCTTTTTTTCTCCAAATCCATTTTTGAAGCTGAGTTTAACTTTTGCAACCCATGGCAAATCTTAAATGCCCTCATTTACCAATCTTTACCAAACTCCTATTTAAGCCTCTAAAAGTCAATACTGGCCATCAGACCCAAATTTCAGAAGACAATAGTGAAAAATTACTTACGTTTAATCTCCAGTCGTGTCCCTTGGCCGAAGGTGATCCACAGTGTTAACTTAATTACTTTCCCCTTAACAAAAATCTCTTTTCGCTGTTAATATCACTAACCTGACCGATGCAGAGAAAATCTTGCAATTGAGATGCCTCACTTAACTGGCTAGCGCTTGGCTGTTCCTTAAGATGAACTAATTTTCTATCCCTTACTCATCTGACTTTTTGAAAGAATCTGGTACTCTTTGGAATTGACCTGAGCTAATATCTCAAACACAAAAACGCTCCAAATTTAAAACCTTATAAGAAAAAGCATTAGGAAAGTGCACTTACGTTTGATCTCCACCTTGGTCCCTCCGCCGAAAGTGAGCCACAGTGAGGGATCTCACCCTTTCCCCTCAACAAAAACCTCTCTTGAAGCCAATCATATGAGATAGGCTGCTTGTTCAGAGAAAAATCTAGCTATTTCTTCCCCATTTCCCCCATGAATCCTATTCTCCTCTCAAACCCAATGATTCGTCTATTTGCTCAGCTTTTTAAGTTCATTTTCTGGTGTCCTGCTATTTACTTCTGGGTCACCAGGTTTATTCAACCAAAATATCACAAAACTTGCACAAATGATACAATGGCACTAAAATCTCACGAATAATTGAGACAGATGTACTTACGTTTGATATCCACTTTGGTCCCAGGGCCGAAAGTGAATCACAGTGATTCGTCTTAACTTTTCCCTTTACAAAAACCTCCCTGAAAGCTCAGCAAGCCTCTTTCCCCCAATGAAGTTATTTTGATTTAGAAATCTTAAAAATTAGCCACAAGCTAGCGTCCTGTGGAACAATTTCCCCTCCTCTGTACCTAACCTGGGAATGAAGTTTGTTAGATCCCTGGCATCCGACTAATGAAAATCCACACAAAGGAACACAAAGTAAACTAATTAGCAACAGTGAAGAATCAGTGGAAAAAAGTACTTACGTTTGATCTCCAGCTTGGTCCCCTGGCCAAAACTGCACACACAATGGTTCCTCTTAACTTCCCTCCTATACAAAAACTCCCTTTCTGACAATTGACCAAGGCTCTGTCCAGAACATGTTATGTTCCCCAGGACATTTCTGAAGCTATTACTTAGACAAGTTATTCTCACCCAATGACTGAATCTTGCTTGCTCTTCAAAGAAAATGTGCAATCAATTCTCGAGTTTGACTACAGACTTATCTTTATCTTTTCCCTGAAGGATATCAGAGGCTGATTGCAGAGTCACCTTATAGATCACTTCATAGACACAGGGAACAGAAGACACAGACAACTGAGGAAGCAAAGTTTAAATTCTACTCACGTTTGATTTCCACCTTGGTCCCTTGGCCGAACGTCCACCACAGTGAGAGCTCTCCATTGTCTTGCTGAACAAAAACCCTTCTCACCAAAGGGGAACAGAGTCCTGGGTCAGCTGCTGAAGCTCAACTCCCTTTTCGAGCAGGTGTGGAAGCCCTGAGGCTTCTCTGACATAGCATGTGTTTATTTTCTTAGGTGAGACCTAAAATCCAAGAAGAGAATATATTTACGTCTATGGCCTGATGGTTCCTTTCTTTAGCAACTTGCCACATCTGGACTGCTTATTATTTATTTATTTTTTAGAAAGTAGACTGAATGTTAATTACAAAGAAAAACAAGCAATTAAAAAAAATGGCCAGTTTTTTTGTACTTTCTTTTGGGGTGGGCTGGGGGGGCTTTTGCAAAGGATAAACTTCATTTAGTGTAATTATGGAAATCATCAGCTTCTCAATGAGTAATAATTACAGGTTGTCTTACTATTTTATCTTCTCCTTTGCTGCAATGTTATTTAAAAAAAGGTAGACTAAATATATATCAACTTAAGGCTCATAACTTTGAAATGCATTTTGAAATGTAGCTCCAGATGGTATACGAAACCAAAGTGAAGACTAATAGAGTAGAAAAGTAGACTTTACTTGGTTGGTTTGTCTGTTTTCACAGCACAGGAAGAGCTCAGCTCTTACTGAGCTGGACCAGGCGCATGCCATCTTTGGAGCTGCCATGGAGTCCCAGTGTTCCATAGTGTTTCCATAGTAATCTCATCAACAACACTGAAGACCTTTTCAGTATTTTCTTTTGAGTCCAGCTCCATTTTTGCAGCCTTGTATCTCTCTTAACCTTCCATCTCCACCCCTTCCATACATTACTCCCACCTCCCTACACTCCTTAGAGTTTTTCTATGGCCTCCAGCTTTCACAAGCACTCCCTCTGCTTGGGAACATCTTTGTCCACCTGGGTTAGCTTGTGAACTGCTAATTGTCTTTCAAAATTCAACTGAAGAGAGACCTTCTCTCAGATTAGCCCTGAGCAGGTGACCTGAATTTACAGAGTACAGAGACAGGTCACTGGGCCTAGAGTACCTAATTATTTTTTATTTTATTTATTTATTTTTTTTGAGACGGAGTCTCGCTCTGTCGCCCAGGCTGGAGTGCAGTGGTGCGATCTTGGCTCACTGCAAGCTCCGCCTCCCGGGTTCACACCATTCTCCTGCCTCAGCCTCCCGACTAGCTGGGACTAAAGGCGCCCGCCACCACGCCTCGCTAATTTTTTGTATTTTTAGTAGAGACGGGGTTTCACCGTGTTAGCCAGGATGGTCTCGATCTCCTGACCTCGTGATCCGCCCACCTCGGCCTCCCAAAGTGCTGGGATTACAGGCGTGAGCCACCGCGCCCAGCCGAGTGCCTGTTTATTTTTACCTGCTTTCAGATTCTCTTCTACCCTTCTAAATTATAAGCTGTTTGATGTTTTATTTGCCCTGTATTTGGGAGGCTCCGTCCAGTATCTTTACTTAGCAAATGCTTAACAAACATTTTCAGAATAAATAAAAAAAAATACCTAATTGAAAGTCAATAATAGATCAGAGATGCTATCATAGACCAAAGACTAATACTGACTGCCACAACAGTAACTTTTACAACAGAAATCATAACTACAATTCTAAAGATTAGGGGTAGGTTTATTTGATTCTGTCACTGGCAGCTTTGCTAGTTGCCTTGAATAGCAGAATTAGCATTTGGTCTCACCAGAAGATGAGGAAGGAGAGGGATCAAGTTAGAGGTGGAGAGTTAACATTGGCAAGTGAAATTTAATGTGCAAAATAGCTGACCAAGGGCATAGTCCTTTTTTAAAGGGGACACAAAGTGATTTTCTCTGCAGACATACACGCAATACCAATCATAAAGGGTGACATTTATTGAGCACTTACTAAGTGCCAGACATTGTACATGGATCATCACATTTAATTATTCCCAAGACTCTATGAACTAGGAACTAATATTATCCCCTACTTTGTAGGTGCAAAAACTTGAGGGCAGAGAGGTCAAGGAACTGGCTTATGGCAGTAAGTGGCAGAGCTGTGACCTAAACTCAGATCCCATGTTTTTAACTGAACTATATGCAGATTATACTCCAGGAGTAAAGTCACTCAACGGAAGCAACAAGCGTGACAGGGAATGCTGGGATGGGGGAAGGTAAAAGGAACTCCTTAGACTGGGATAAGTGTGTACAGACGTATGTATAAGACTACACATGGAAATATTGTTTAAAGAGTGAAAAATAACTAAAATCCTCATTAATAGGAGTTTGGTTAAACTGTGCTAGAGCTTTACAATGTAGCACAAAGCAGACATTAAGGGGAAGACGTAGACTTCTATATAGTTACGTGGAAGGTGTTTGTGAAAATGCAGGTCACTGAAGAGTATGTGTGGTGAGATATCATGATCCCATCTACATTGAATATATATGTATATAAATACGGGCTGAATTTTAAAAGACATAAATTGTGCTTGGTAGTTATCTCCTGGGATTGCAGAGGAGGAACAATGACACTTTATGCCATCTCCTCCTACTCTTCTGTATGGTGATGTGAATATATTCATTTTATAGTTTTTAGAAATAATAAAACTGTACTAATTTTGAAAAACAGTAAACTCTGACATTGCCTATTAGCATTCTCGATATTCCTGTGCAATGCATAAACATAACTTTTTAAAAGATATGTACACACATGTGTGAGTTTTCTTTGTCAAATACTTTTCTATAATCTTTAAATCAAGCATGCCAAAAAGGTAAAAGCTTTCCTGTTTCAGTGTAGGAGATAGTCGTCTGCAAAGGAAAGAGATGTAGGGGATAGAAACAGGAATGAAAAAGATGACTGAGCTGTTCGAGGGACTTATGTTCCTAAGTGAGCTAATTGGAAATCTAATATGAACAGTGCAACCGAATAACTATTGTAAAGCAGTATTTGTAAACAATAAAAGATGATTATCATAAGTACCATTGTTGCAAAAACTATTTTATTGATCACATGCAGTGGTGATCTGTAGGAATGATTGTTGTGATGTTTGCTGTAACATAAAATGAAACATGGGAAGTGGCTGAGATCTTTAGGATGTGTGTGGTTCATTTTTTGAAAGCAAATGTTGTCTCAGAAGCATCTGTGAGACTCTGCCAGGATCCACCGTTCTACAAAATATCTGTGATGGACATTGATAAGATTGATCTGTTGAGGAAAGGCAAGGTGTCAGTAAGATAGTCTGAGAGCTTCTTGGATTTCATGTAAAAGAGTGCTGGAAATAGAATTTCTTGGGGAACATTCCAACTAACTCATCACTGAAGGTGCTTTACATTGAACCCTCAGCAAAGTTAGATTATCAGAAAAAAAATATAAACTGCTGTGGAGGGGACAGGAAGGAAAGTCAGGGAGGGAGGGGGGCAAGGAGAGAAAGAGCGAGAGAGAGGAGAGAAAGAGAGAGAGAGAGGAGAGAGAGAGCACAAGTACACACTTCAATGCACATCTATAAATCATCCTGAAAACTACTGATAAATTATTTTAGCAATGTTCCTCAGATGTAACATTTCAAGAAATATCATTTTTGCTTTTTATTTGGCATAATTTACTAGCCAATTTAGGAAGTTCCCCTCACATCAGTAACATACAGTACATCACCCAGTATGTCAGAGGACACAATGGCATAAGTTTGCCTTTTGCAAGGTTTGAGGGATGGCCATTTCCCTACCTGACTCAGGAAAGTCTGTAGCTGATATCCATCTTCAAGTTTGTGGTTCTTTCTCTCTATATATATATTTGAGCTCAGCAGTCATGCTGGAGTCCAGAGTAGGTGATTCTTTCTGCTTTAGCTTGACTCCTCCTTAAGATTGTAACTCTCTCAGTTTTACATTTTTTGTCAGACGTAAGCTGACATTCCACAAGGAGAGGAGGAAATTCTGTGGTTCACATCCAGTGGTGCTTGGAACCTGATTGGTTGTCATTCTTCCAGCTAGTTTGTCACGAGTGGATATCTGTCCTGGATTCCCAAGGATCAAGGCTGCCCCATTAGCCAGGAAGTAGGGAGATAGAGGAGGTCACTTGAGAAAGAGCTGCTTCTTTGCCGCCTCCAGGTTGTGTCTGTTTCCTCTCATATCTGAAGACAGATGTGCTGGCAGAAGCAAAGTCCTTTGTCCGGCCACGTGCAAATGCATGGGACATAAATATGAACAGAGATTCTTGTCCCACTCTAGAAAATGTAGATGTTCATCTTGTTTCCAAGGGGACAGTAAGGCTGCAGGTGTTTTTTGACTTCCTTGAGAGAAAGAGAAGATAGCAGCAATTGTATCAGGGCTTACTATCCTAGGAGGGGTTCAGCCACCGAGATTTACATATTCAGTGCTGTGGTTTTTGTTTCATTTTGCAAGAGGAACGAGCCCCTCAAGCTCTGTCTTAGAGTTCCCTGCCCTCCCTGTCTACCTACTTGGCACCCAGCCCCTATGTTCTCTTCTCGTATTAAGGCATAGAAATCATGGGCAACTACTGTTCAGGCTGGCTCTGGATGAAGTTGTGAAATCGATGAGTTGGGGCTTAGTTTTGCAGACCCCCAAATGCCCTGATAATCCTGGCTCGAAGGGGTGTCCAGCCCCTCCACACCTGTGGGTATTTCTCGTCAGGTGGGACGAGAGACTGAGAAAAGAAATAAGACACAGAGACAAAGTATAGAGAAGGAACAGTGGGCCCAAGGGACCGTCACTCAGCATACGGAGGACCCGCGCTGGCACCGGTCTCTGAGTTCCCTCAGTATTTATTGATTACTATTTTCACTACCTCAGCAAGGGGAATGCGGCAGGAGAACAGGGTGATAGTAGGGAGAAGGTCAGCAAGAAAACATGTGAGCAAAGGAATCTGTGTCACAAGTAAATTCAAGGGAAGGTACTATGCCTGGATGTGCACGTAGGCCAGATTTATGCTTCTCTCACCCAAACATCTCAGTGTAGTAAAGAACAACAGAGCAGCATTGCCGCCAGCATATCTCGCCTCCAGCCACAGAGCGGTTTTCTCCTATCTCAGAATAGAACGAATGTACAATCAGGTTTTACACTGAGACATGCCGTTCCCAGGGGCATGCAGGAGACAGAGGGCTTCCTCTTATCTCAACCGCAAGAGGCCTTCCTCTTTTACTAATCCTCCTCAGCGCAGACCCTTCACGGGTGTCAGGCTGGGGGACGGTCAGATCTTTCCCATCCCGCAAGGCCATATCTCAGGCTGTCTCAGTGGGGAGAAACCTTGGACAATACCCAGTTTTCCTGGGCAGAGGTCCCTGCGGCTTTCCGCAGTGCACTGTGCCCCTAGTTAATCGAGAATGGAGAATGGCGATGACTTTTACCAAGCATACTGCCTGTAAACATGTTGTTAACAAGGCACATTCTGCACAGCCCTAGATCCCTTAAATCTTGATTCCATACAACACATGTTTCTGTGAGCACAAGGTTGGGGCTAAAGTTACAGATTAACAGCATCTCAAGGCAAAACAATTGTTCAGGATACAGATCAAAATGGAGTTTCTTATGTCTTCCTTTTCTACATAGACAAAGTAACAGTCTGATCTCTCTTTTCCCTATCCTGGCTGAGGCTAGAGCTCCAAGTCTAAGAAGGAGGATAGGAGGCGGACAGGCCAATGGAAACAATGAATGAACAACAGATGGAAACAAGGAATAGTGTGGATTTTTGAGTTCATTAGCGCGTCCTCCACTCTTTCAAAACCTCCTTTGCAATGACAGAAGAAATATAAAAATGATAATGAATTTATTTCGTGGTTGGAGAATCATGAGAGGTCCTATTAGAAGAAAAAACTTTGAAGAACACCACAGAGATTTAAACCATGTCATTGAATTCATAGAGAAACTGGAATTTAGAAACATTTTTTCCATTGCAAAAACAGGAGGTGTCCTTGAAGCAGCCAGTTCTAGTTTTCCCCACAGAGCCCCAGAAAAGCCGTACTTCAGAGCTATCGGGCTGGGAATGGTGATAGGTGGACAGTGGAGAGTGGAATAACACCTGGGTCATCTCTCTGCTGGTTACAGACAGCTTGGCCCTCATGCTTCAGGCCGTGGGAATAGAGATTGAAAGAAAAAGGGGGCAAGTTAATAGGCATTCAATAGTAATGGGATTTAAAAAACCCTCCCAAACCACTAGAAGGAAAAGAAATAGACAAAAATAATAAACCAATCCAGCAAAGTTTAGGAAAAGTGAATAAAAAATTGAGGTAAGCACGATACATAAAAGTACAAATTAAGTTTGAAGGACCAAGTCAAAATATACAGTCACAAACTATTGTGAATGTTAAATTATTTAAAACTTTAAATAATTTATCTAAAAATAAAAATAAACCAAAAAGATGACTATGTATGTTTTCAAGGATATTTGATTCACTAGAGAAACAGTTCATTTGCTTCCTATTTATGATGATTAAAAACTAGATTGCAAAAGTTAGATGTTAATGTAAAGAAAACTTTATGAAAATGATAATGGATTTTTATCTAGTAGAAAAGATAACCCCAATGCTTATGGTTTTATTGCTCTGTAGGACATTAACAAGTTGTGCATCTTATTTAGCAAACTTATTCTAACATTAGTAGATGTGAGTGTGTGTGTGTGCGTGTGTGTGTGTGTACGTATACATATAGGTGTGTGCAGGTATGTGTATATGTATGTATGTAGGTATATATGTATATACTAGCAAATGATAAAGTTGGTTCAAAGGACGATGTACAGTAGTACCTCCTTATCCACAATTTTGCTTTCTGGGGTTTCAGTTACCTGTAGGCAACTGTAGTCTGAAAATATTAAAAAGAAATTTCTAGAAATAAGAATTTACTCATTTTAAATTGTGTGCCTTAGTAGCGTGATGACATATCATGCCCTTCCGCTCCATACCAGCCTGGGACTGAATCATCCCTTTGTCCAGCGTCTCCATGCTGTCTACACTTACCCTCCTGTTTAGATGCTTAGTAGCCCTCTTGGTCATCAGATTGACTGTCATGATATCCTAGTGTTTGTGCTCAAGTAACTCTTATTTTACTGAATTGTTCTATTTTATTACTAGTTATTGTTGTTAACCTCTTACTGTGACTAATTAATGCATTTTATCATAGGTAAGTGTGTATAGGAAAAAACATAGCATATGTAGGGTTGTGCAATAGCATCCACTGGGGGGAGAATTTTGCTGAAGTTAGAACAGAGAAGACTGTCCAGAAGAAAGAATTTTCTATACTTGCCACCTTTTTTCTGTTTGGTGTCCTCATGTAAGTCTCAGTGTTACGATCTGTCTCCCCACCTCAATCACTGCCCTCTGTCTCTGGAAGGAAATTCCCCTTGGGCTGAGGCCAGCATGGTGCCAGACAGGAGAGATCCAGTACCCACTCTGGAAAATTTCATAAGATAACTGGTTCTCCACCTTCTTCAGGGACCTTTTATCATATCTCATGTGCCCATGGCATTTGTCACTGCCATCTGCACAACACTGAACTCCAGCAACATCAACTGAGAAGAAAGAGAGAGAGAGGGAGAAAGAGAAAGAGAGAGAGAGAAAAGTCGTTTGTTGATTGAGCCACACAAAATTTTTTTTCTAATTAAATTATATATCCAGGTAGCTGCAATATGCTACAATCCCAAATACACATATTTATTAAATATGATTCAAAGAGCATTCATTGAGTACTCTGTATCAAGGCACAATGTAAAATAAGTGCAAAATTACTGGTGATTGTTACGCCTTTCTGTGGGACTCGACTCTCTCTGGTTGGAGGTACTGTGTGGGAGCACGTGAGCTCCAATCAGGTGGTCTGGAGGGAGCAAAATGCAGCTGTTGGAGGTTAAATATGAAGGGAAATAGCAGTAGGCATCGGATAGCATAGAATGAAAATAAAAGTGCATATACTTCCAGTGCCTGTTTTACAGATTCCTTGTCTTTTTTTTTTTTTTTGAAGACGGAGTCTCCCTCTGTCGCCCAGGCTGGAGTGCAATGCTGTGATCTTGGCTCACTGCAACCTCCGCCTTCTGGGTTCAAGCGATTCTCCTGCCTCAGCCTGCTGAGTAGCTGAGATTACAGGTGCGCACCATCACGCCCGGCTAATTTTTGTATTTTTAGTAGAGGCGGTGTTTCACTATGTTGGTAAGGCTGGTCTCGAGCTCCTGACCTCGTGATCCACCTGCCTCAGCCTCCCAAAGTGCTGGGATTACAGGCATGAGCCAGTGCGCCTGGCCTCCTTGTTTTTTAAAACTAGTTCAAACCCTCAACTCATAATTTGGGAAATTCAGGTCATAGGATGCCCTGTTATTTATAAGGTATCCAGCAATGCATGGAACAGAATATTTAACTTTTAAAAAACTTATATTAGGTTGTTGCAAAAGTAATTGCTGTCATTTTCTCCTTTCTTTTTCTTTTTCTTTCTTTCTTTCTTTTTCTTTCTTTCTCTTTCTTCTTTTCTTTCTTTTTCTTTCTTTCTCTTTCTTTCCTTTCTTTCTTTTCTTTCTCTTTCTTTTCTTTCCTTTTTCTTTCTTGTCTTTCTCTTTCTTTCTCTTTCTTTTTCTTTCTTTCTCTTTCTTTCCTTTCTTTCTTTTCTTTCTTTCTCTTTCTTTCCTCTTTCTTTTCTTTCCCCTTTCTTTCTTTCTTTCTTTCTTGTCTTTCTTTCTTTCTTCTTTCTTTCTTTTTTTCTTTCCTTCTTCTTTCCTTCCTTTCCTTTCCTTCCTTCCTCCCTCTCTCCCTCCCTTCCTTCCTTTTCCTTCCTTCCTTCCCTTCCATTCCCTTCCCTTCCCCTTCCTTCCTTCCCTCCCTCCCTCCCTTCCTTCCTTCTCTCTCTCTTTCTTTCTTTCTTCCTTTCTTTCTTTCTCTTTCCTTTCTTCTTTCGTTGTTGTGTTCCAGAACGATTTAGTGTTACCTACAGTTCCCAGAGAAAGAATCCTGTCTTGAGGGGTGGCTGGGGCAGGGCTACTACTCTCCCTGCTCTGTGCTCTAGTGGCCAGGTGGATCAGCTCCAGCTGCCAGGCCAAATTTCCTAGGGAATGGAATTCTGTCTTTTTAACAAGAACAAAATAGGTGCTTAGTAAATATAAGATGCCTTCAGCTTTTAGTATATGCATAATCATAAATATAAATTTGTTTAAAACCTGAACTATTCTGATGTTCTCACTGGCTAGCCAAACTTAAAATGTGTATTTGGACTTGAATTTCCCACCAAGGGTGTTACTAGCTTCTTTACTGTTGCAGCTGCCTTTTGTTTTGTTTTTGAAAGTTTAAAAAAATACACAAGGGGGCTTTTGCTTCCTGAAAGATGGAGTAGAATTACTTTTACCTATTTCTCTCAAGTAAAGTAAAAACCCCGGACATTGTACGTAAAGCAAACTTATGAAGACTCTGGAAGCTGGAGAGAAGAAGGCAGACCAGTTAGGAACATTGGGACCCAAGGAGCGACCCAGCAGTGCATTCCACGGGGTTTCTTTTTGCCTCATCCATTCCAGACTTGGTTCTGGAGAAGTTTGTCAACCCAGAAACACCAACAGGCCCAGAAAAACATAAAGCCCTAATAAAAAGCTGGCTCTCTCTAGTCAAAGGAGAAAGAAAGGGGAAGCCCAGTAAAACAATTCTTAGGCAGTAACGGCTCTGCTCCATTCAAACACCCAACTTCTCCTTCCTGAGTGGCAAGAGAGGAAATTCGCTGAGATGAGTTTAAATGAGATCCAAAGCCTCATAACACAATACTCCAAAGTCCAGATTTCAAATGAAAACCACACATCCCAACAGGAACCAGGGGAACCAGGAAAATCTCAGCTTTGATGAGACAGTTAAGAGGCGCTAATACTGACATGACAGAGACGTTAGAATTACCTGACAAGAATGTTAAAGCTGCCATCGTAAGAACACATCAAACTCAACACCACCATCAATGAGTAAGATCATAAATCAACATTTCTGGAAAACTCCAACCAGCACCAGCAGAATTCGCATTCTTTTCAAGTGCTCATGGAACATATACCAAAATTGCCATATACTGGGCCATGTAACAAACCTCAACAAATTTAATAGAACTGAAATCACATGAAGTGTGTTCTCTGACCACCTGGAATCAAACTGGAAATCGATAATAGAAAAATAATGGGAAAAATGCCAAACCCTTGGAAACAAAACAACACACTTCTAAACAATCCATGGGAGATTTCAAGGAAAATAAAAGATTATATATTGAATAGAATAAAACTGAAGATGTAACATATTATAATATCAAGGATACAGTAAAAGCCCAAAGAAATGAAAACTTATCCCAGAAAAATGAAAACTTAGCACAAAAACGTATACAATACACAACTATTCATAGTGGTTTTATTTGTATTAAAAAAAAACTGGAATCAGTCAAAATGTCCTACAATAGATTAATGGTAAAACAAACTGCGGTACATCCATCCCATGGAATAATTAGTAATAAAAAGTAGTGAGTTGGGCACGGTGGTTCATACCTACAATCCATACCTACATACCTACAGCACTTTGTGAAGTAGAGGTGGGAGAATCGCTTGACCTAGGAGTTTGAGACCAGCGTAGGCAACATAGTGAGACCATGTCTCTAAAAAAAATTTAAAAAAATTAGCTGTGTGTTGTGTCCCATGCCTGTAGTCCTAGCTACTTGGGAGGCTGAGGCAGGAGGAAGCTTGAGCCCAGGAGTTCGAGGCTGCTAGAGAGAGTTATGATCTCGCCACTGCACTCCACCCTGTGTGACAGAGTGAGACTCTGTCTCTAAAAAAAATTAAAAAAAAAATAGTGAGCTGTTGATACACATGACTTGAATGGATCTGAGGGGCATTATGCTGAGTATAAAGGTCACATATTGCATGATTCCATTTACATAACGTTTTTGTCTTTTCAAAAATATTGCAAGGGGTACTTGGTTGCAGGGTGTGCGCATTTTTCAATTTACAAATTGGCCTCAAATTCGTGTATTAAGTTTCATTCCCACATTTGCAATGATAAGTCCTCCATGGAGTTTCCTCACTCTACATCCTCTCCAATACTTGATATTATCAGGCTTTTTAATTTTTTTCCACTCAAATGGTCAATACGTTGTATTTTATTTTTGGTTTAAAATACATATTTGTGTTTTCTGATCACTCATGAGGTTGACCATTTAAAAATGTTTATTGGCTATTGGGGTCTCATCTGTTGTGAATTGCCTGTTTTTAAGGTATGCCCACTTTTTTATTGAGTTTCTTATTTTTTTCACTATTGCATAGGAGTTTTCAATCTTTCTTCCCTCCTCTTATTCTTTAATAACAGAATCCCAATTTTTTTACAGGGCAACAGTGTCCCAGCCAAAAATCTAATTCCTCAGCTTCTTTGCAGTTAGGACTGTTGAGACATCATCTGAAATCTATTGTGCATTTCTGGAAAAATTTTGCTTGATGGACAGAGGCACCACTGCTTATTTCTCCTTTGTGTTCTATCTTCTTCTATCTGGAACTTGGCAGAAGCACCCATCTTGCAGGATGAAAGTCACAAGCTAGAGTGGAGGAGCAGGCAGGGAAAGGACCTGGGTCCTGCAGCAGCTGTCTAGCTCTGAACCACCTGCCTCCAGAGTCCGCCTTGGTGAGAAAAATGTATCTCTTTATCTGATCAAGCTCCTCTAGTTAGATTTCAACTACATATAGCTGAGTGAATACTGATGAATACTGAATAATGAATGCTGGTACAACTTTCTAATATCTTCTCTTAGAGTTCTGCATTGAAGTTTTTAAATAAGTTTAGTCTATACCTTTCTTTTCCATTTTCAGTCTTCAATTTTGACTTCAAGATAATTCTAGTCCTATGATGTGATTTATGTTTCTAAATAATGGCATTTACCCTCTTTCACTATTCCCTGGAATTGGAAAAAATAGGTTATTTATTTATTTATTTATTTATTTATTTATTTATTTATTTGGGTTTGGGTAAAACTTAACCATATGTTTAACAGGACCTGGACTTTGATTTAAGCAAACTTAGGGTAAAGACAGTTTAAAGACAATCAAGGAAATTGGAATAGAAAATGGGTATTGGATATTAGGGAATTACTCTCAATTATGCTGGGAATCATAATGGAATGGTGGTTGTTTTTTAAAAGTCCTTATCAGTTGGCAACGTATTAATGATTGGCTGAAAAATACTGCCAGTGTCTGTGTGTGAGGAGGTGAGAGAACAGAGTAATTGGATGAGGGGGGAGGCGGTAGTTGAAACAAGATTAGCAAAATGTTAATTTGTGAAGCTTAGGGTTCATTATACTATTTGTGTATATTCATATTTCTATAAACACTAAAAATGAAAATAAAGTGGTCTCGTGTTGCTGACTGTGACTGTCACACTCTGTCAGCAGATGGCAGTGTTGTATAAACCATGAGCCTACATAGGCCTAATGGATCATTGTGCTTGCTAAGTAACAAAATCAATGATACGATATAAACCAGGTCAGATTTTATTGCTTTTAGACAAAAGGGCAAGGTAAGATTTGCAGAGTAAAGAACAGGTACAGAGTAATAATAAATTATTTTAAAAATTCTAAGTGATTCATTAAAGTCTTATAGACAAGTTGGGTAGAAAAGTACGTAAAAACCCCATAAACCTATAAACTTACTAGAATTATAAAATCATTTGGTCTCTCTCTCTCTCTCAAACTCTCCCCTTATTTGCATTTTAAATCAGTATTTTCATACATATATATTTGCAAAACCTTATTGATTTCATTGATGAAAATGACTTGGAGTTTGCTTTAAAACCTTACACGATAAACATAAATATTATTCTGTAGTTCTTTTTACCCAACTTTTAACTGGCATAGTTTAATCTATGAAAACAGCTCCATATTTTAAAAGATTCTCTAACTATGACAACAGGCAACATTTCATAGATGATAAAATGTCTTATCAACTAATACCTAATATTTTAACTTAGGTTATGTACAGTAGCTTTAAGAACCAGTTGTAGAATTTGATATATAGAAAATAATATAGACCCTGTCACTGGGCAAACTTATGGTGGAATCATTTTTTGTGTTGTTGTGGACAAATTAGTTATTCTTTCTGAACCCCTGTTTGGATATATATTTTTTAAAGCCCATAATTTGGGCATCCTCATAAAGTAGTGACGTCTGAAATTAAACAATCAATGTAAGAGAGCTAGTTTCCTTTCTCGGCAAGAGAATATGACTCTAAAATTTATGCCCAAGTTAGACTATTTTTATCTTGCCTCTTTCCCCTAGAATATTTGGGTTTAATTAAAAATTTACAATGAAATTAGAAAAATAAAAATAAAAATCGAAAATCAAATGGAGATAAAATAACAGTGGTAATCAAAATAGACCCCTATTTTGATCTAAAAAAGAAAAGAAAAAAAGATAATTTGGACATCATAAAATTAAACTTCTGCTCTTCACATGGCACGTTAAGAAAATAAAAGGCGCCACACATTGGGAGAACATATTCATAAAACACAAATGTGAGAAAAAAATCATATGCAGAATATACAAAGAACTCTCACAGTCCATAGTAACAACACCCCAATAAAAACTTGACCAAAAATTTGAAAGGATATGTCATCAAAGAAGGTATATAGTGAAGTTAAAATACTAGGCTCGAGCAAGTGGAACCCTCATTCACTGCTGATGGGAGTGCAAAAGAGCACAGCAACTTTGGAAAACAGTTTGGCAGTTTCTTATAAAGTTCAACATACACCTACCAGATGACTCAGCAGTCCCAAAGCTAGGAATTTACCCAAGTGAAATGAAATCCTGAGTTCACACAAAAACCTGCATTGGAAAGCTTACAGCAACTTTATTCTTAGCAGCTAAAAATTAGAAATGACCAAATGGCTTTAAATTGTTAACTAGATAAACAATCTGTGGCATATCCACACAATGGAATACTACTCAACAATAGACAGTGAACTAGTGCTACACGAAACAGCAAGGATGAATCTCAAATGCATTCTCCTAAGTGAACAAGTGAACAAAGCCAGACTCAAAAGGCTTCACATTGCATGGCTCTATTTACATGACATTCAGGAAGAGGCAAACGATTGGATCAGACAAAAACCAGTGGTTGCCAAGGGCTGGGGTGAAGGAAGGGGCATAAAGGAACTTTAAAGGATGAGGGACTTGTCCTATATCTTGAATGTGGTTGTGGTTACACAGCTATGCATTTGCCAAAACTTATAGAAATATACACGAAAAGGTGGCTTTTATTGTAATTTATACCTCAGTAAACCTCACTTAAAATAAGCAGTTTTTGATTGAACATAAAATCTGGTTCTGAGCTTCTTGGAAACCGACTAAATGAAGATAATGTGTTATGTTACATAACTTTCATCTAGGGGAAAAATTTCTAGTTTCTACGTGTGACTGAAGGTTTTCCTGGGATAAAAGTTGAAGACAATTTCTATCTTGGGGCATTGCATAGGAGCTGCTAAATGGATAATATTGGGGGCACTGCATAGAAACGGCATTGGATAATACTCTCAGTAGTAATTTCATAGAGAATAAAAAACAGAATTCGTATGATCTTTTTTTTACTTGTATAAATTTAAGCAATACAGGTGCAATTTTGCTACATAGCTATACTGTGTAGTGGTGAAGTCTGGGCTTTTAGTGTATCTATCGCCTGAATCATGTATATTGTATCCATTTAGTATTTTCTCATCACTCAACCTCCTTCCACCCTTCCACCCATCTCAATCTCCAGTGTTTATCATACCACACTCTATGTCCATGTGTACACATCATTTAGCTCCCACTTATAAGTGAGAACATGTGACATTTGACCTTCTGTTTTTGAATTATCCACTTAAGATAATGGCCTCCAGTTCCAACCACATTGCTGCAAAAGACATGATTTCATTCTTTTCTTTATAGCTGAATAGTATTTCATTGTGGTATGTGTATACACACACACACACACACACACACCACGTTTTCTTTATCCAATCATCTGTTGATGGACACTTGGGTTGATTCCATATCTTTGCTATTGTGAATAGTGCTGCAATAAACAAGTGAGTGCAGATATCTTTTTTATATAATAATTTATTTCCCTTTGGGTAGATACCCAGTTGTGGTATTGCTGAACCACATGGTAGTTCTATTTCTAGTTCTTTGAGAAATCTCCATAGTGTTTTCCACAGAAGCTGTACTAGTTTACATTCCCACTAATAATGTGTAAGTATTCCCTTTTCTCTGCATCCTTGCCAACATGTTATTTTTTGGTGTTTTAATAATAGGCATTCTGACTGCTGTAAGATAATATCTCATTGTGGTTTTAACTTGCGATTCTCTAGTGATTAGTGATTTGAGCATTTTGTTTTTTGTACGCTTCTTGGCCATTTGTATACTGTATTAGTCTGTTCTTATGCTGCTAATAAAGACATACCCAAGATTGGGTAATTTACAAAGAAAAAGTGGTTTAATTGACTCAGTTCCATATGGCTGGAGAGGCCTCACAATCATGGCAGAAGGCAAAGGAGAAGCAAAGGCACATATTACATGGAGGCAGGCAAGAGAGTGTGTGCAGGGGAACTCCCCTTTATAAAATCATCAGATCTCATAGGACTTATTCAGTATCATGAGAACAGCATGGGACAAACCTGCCCCCATGATTCAATTACCTCCCACCGGGTCTCTCCCATGATATGTGGGGATTATTACAATTTAGGGTGAGATCTGGGTGGAGACACAGAGCCAAACCATATCATATACCTTCTTTTGAAAAATGTCTATTCATGTCCTTTGCCCACTTTTTTGGTGGGGTTATTTTGCTGTTGTTGTTGAATTGTTTGAGTTCCTTCTAAATTCTGGACATTATTTCCCTGTAGGATGCATAGTTTGCAAATATTTTCACCCATTCTGCAGATTATCTGTTCACTCTATTGATTATTTCTCTTGCTGTTCAGAAGCGTTCTAGTTTAATTAAGTCCTGTTTGTCTATTTTTGTTTTGGTGCTTGTGCTTTTGATATCTTAGTCCTGAGTTCTTCACCTAGATTAATTCCAGAAGCATTTTCCCTAGGTTTTCTTCTAGTGTTTTTGTAGTTACAGGTCTTATATGTAAGTCTTTAATCTGTCTTGAGTTAACTTTTGTATTTGGTGAGAGATAGAGGTCTAGTTCCATTCTTCTGCATATGGCAATTCAATTTCCCCAGTACTGTCTATTGAAAAGGATCCATATGACTATTTCTTGTATAAATGTTGAATGTGAATAGAGAACATCAGATGGCAAAGCTGGTATGTGGCTTTACCATCTGTAAACAGATGGTGGACTGTCCATCTGGTGGTCTCAGAGGGTGGCCTCCTAGGTATTCACCTTGATGAAGTTAGCAGAGCTGAGGCCACACTTTTAGACTTGTGTGCTCACAAACCCTTGGATGCAAATTCAGAGCTGGATAGATTCATTCTATTGCAAACCAACATGTTGATTTATTCATCTGTGCCTAGAAATCTAACCATTCTGTAAACTTGATGACAGCATCCTCTGGCCAGCATGTTTCTTCCTAGTTGGAGGCGTGGTGTGTTTGATGGAGCATCAACTTAGACACAGAATTAGAATCTTAACTCTGCATCTTATGAACTGGGTGTGACATTAGGTAAATTACTTAACTTTCCCCAAGCCTCAAATTTCTCATCTGAAATGTGGAAATAATAACGTTTCTCTTATAAACTTGCTGTGAGGAGTAAATAAAATAGTGTTTATGAATTACTTAGCATAGTCCCTGGGCATGTAATTTCTTAGTAAGTACTAATTTTTGTTGGTTAGATCCAGTTACAGGGGAAGCAAATTTACAGATATGTGGTTCATGAGCAACAGATTTTCTGGATTATTGTCTTACACACAGTAACCAGACTGATCTTTAAAAATCACAAACAAGAAACAAATCAAATTATTCCCCTGCTTAAACTCTCTGGAGGTTTCTTATTGCACTTAGAAACTCATTGTCATGATCCCTAGGCCAACACCTGTGGTTCCCACCCTTGGCTGGTGTGCATAGAATCTTCTGGAGAACTTTGAAAACTACTGGTGCCCAAATTGATGCCTAGAGATTCCGAAGAGTCTGGTCCATGTGGGGACTGGGCACTGTGACTTTTATTAGCTCTCTAGTTGTTTCCAGTATGATCTTGCCCTGACCCCTCCCTCCTGTCTGTGTTTCTTATTGGGCCTTCTCTCCTTCCCTGCTCCTATGACTGGGACCTCCCTTCTAATCTTTGAATGTGCTGAGCTCTTCCTTCAGGACCGAAAGCCTCTTCATTACTGAGCCAGGTGCTACCACCCCTTCTATGTCAAGCTCACATTCCATCTTCGTTATGACTCTGGCCTCTGGTCAGAACTTGGGGTGCTCTTTCCCTTCAGGAAGTTGGGACTTGGAGGGCTGGGACTTCACCATCAGAGTCTTTTGTGCCTGGTTGTAGTTGGAATCTCGTGCATTTTCATGTAGAGGTTACACTGTTTGCAGGGCCCATCTGGTCTTCACAGTGAAGAGAGAAGTCTTAGCTGTTCAAAAGTCATGTTGCTTGCTATTGGAGCCCCTGATATGTGGCCCAGATTATGGTAAGGCGAGTGAGTGAGGCATTGCCTTGGTCATAAATTTTAAGGAGGTCCCGCAAACTCAGTAGTCAAGATAAATAATATTTTAATGCAATATTTAAACAATCAAAATTAATGCAAAAAATCCATGATGAAAAAAAAATCAGAATTCAGGTCAATTCCAGGTTGATTTAGTGAATAAAGAGATATCAATAGGGACTGCTTTATTTTTTTATATTTTATTTACTTAATTTTTTTTTTTTAAGATGGAAGTCTCGCTCTGTTGCCCAGGCTGGAGTGCACTGGCACAATCTTGGCTCACTACAACCTCCACCTCCTGGGTTCAAGTGATTCTCCTGCCTCAGCCTCCCAAGTAGCTGGGATTACAACTGCCTGCCACAACTCCTGAATAATTTTGTATTTTTAATAGGGACGGGGTTTCACCATGTTGGCCAGGCTGGTCTTGAACTCCTGAGCTCAAGTAATCCACCCGCCTTGGCCTCCCAAAGTGCTGGGATTACAGGTGTAAGCCAACACGCCCAGTCACGGACTGTTTTATATTTGTGGTTAAGGGGGATTTAAGGGATAATTTGAGTCTGTTCTGCTTTCTTGGGTTGTGTTTCTCAAACTGGCTTATGGGGATTTCCAGCGATGTAAATTTTGTGATGAAAATATTTTATAGTAAAGCACACATGGCCATATTGTGGAAAGAAATGCCAAAATTTTATGAAACTTTAAAATAAATCAAGCTCAACTACTGGAGAAGCTGAGGTAGGAGGATCGCTTGAGCCCGGGAGTTGGAGGTTACAGTGAGCCATGCATTCGAAAGCAGAACAGAATCGAATTATCCCTCGAATGCGCTACAGCCACAATATAAAACAGTCATTACTGATATCTCTTTATTCACTAGATAGATCCTGAATTGTCTCGCTCTGTCTCCCAGGCTGGAGTGCAGTGCGAGACCTTGTCTCTAAAACAAATAAATAAATAAATACAAACAAAAACAAGCTCAAGACTTTGAAGAAATGATACCCCGGAGCTTTCAGACCAGAGACTCCCGAGTTACACACATTTTCTTCTTTCTGCCACTAGGTGGAGGCAGTGGAGCAGGTTGAGAATCACTGTCATAAAGCTTGTAATTAAAGAACATCAGAGTGCCAGACAGTGGAGCTGCTATAAAGTGCAGAATAACTACTCCTGTCCTATACTTGGTCGCGTATGAGCGGGAAGTGAATGGAAGGGAGGCTCGAAACAATGGGAAGAGCCGTAAGAATCAGGTCTGATAAACTTACATAAACGGCCTTGCACACAACTTTTCTGGCTGAACCTGCACTTCCCATAAGTCAAATGCAAATGTTGGAAGGAATATCTTGCGAGGTTCTTTCTAGCTTGTACAGCCTGAGCTATTTTAAAGGAGAAAAGCTGACGAGCAATCGTCCTTGGAATTTGCAGTGCATAAACTTGACCAGCAAAGGGCAGCAGTGCACACACCTTTTAAAAAGTAACTTTCCAAATTTTCTACTGCCATGAGAGAGTTCTGATTCTACAAATAGGAGACAGTGTTTGGACCACTTAATAACAACCAACCATAAAAGTAAATTTTCTTTTTATTAAACCTTTTAATTTTACATTTGTAAACAGAAAAGAAATCCTTATTTTGTTGGCTCTGGGACATCACTTTCTTGGTTCAACTCCTTCCTCCTGACCACTGCTTCTAAGTCTCCTGTGCTGTTTTCTTCTCATCTCTTCGACCTCTACTTGTTGGGTTACCTGCCAGGTCCCAGCCTGCCTTCATTGATTTAACTCATTGCTAGTAACCTCGCCCTGTTTCCCAAATTTGCATCTCCACCCGGACTATTTCCCGAACTCCAGAATCACGCATATTCATCCACCTGTCCAAGGGATATTGCCAATTAGAGGTCTAGCAGGCATCTCAAATGTCTAATATGTTCAACTCTAATCCCTGATTCCCGCCTGCCTTCCCCATCTCAGAAAATGTCCTTCCAAATTCTCTAGTTGCTCAGGTTAAACACTTGCAACCACCTTGATTTCACGTTTCTCCCACGCCTCACATCCAATATGTTAACAAATTCTATTTTTTCTACCTTTGAAACATGACCAGAATCTGACACTTTTCACCACAGTTGCCACTGAGCCTCTTGACTATTATCAAGAAAGGAGATGTGTTCTGTTTTGTAAAGATTATTAAAAGATGTTAAATTGGGACTTTTTTTGTATTTGTTTTGTAAGGTATCTCAAAGGCCAAGAATAATATAATGGATATTGTGTTCTCTAATGGAACAATTCATTTTCTCTCCTCCTCCACTGCATTTTTGGGGATGGTGGAAGTATTGGAGGATTTTCAGAATAAGAAACAATTTTATTGCTGTTCACCAGATGTCAGGAGGGTATGGTGTGGTGGGCCTGGGAGTGGACTGTTTAACCCTAGAACTTAGAAACCAGTGTCCCTGTGGAGCACAAACCCTAATAGGTCTTGGTGAGTAACAGAATAGATAAAAGAGAGCTCAGTCTGGTCATAAATCCTTTGGCCAGTTGCCATTCATTGCCATGAGAAATTCCCCAAGAAGACACCCACCTCTTTTTCAGGCAATTCTGTTTACTAGATTCTGGAGGATTCGTTATCATCGAAGAACCCTGCCTTCTAGTCAGATGGTGCATTAGTCAGAATTCTTTTTGCAAGTAACATAAGTCAGCTGTAACACATACAAGTAGAAAAGGAATTAGAAAAAGAAAAGTAGTTATACTAATGTGAAAGAAAAAATAAACCTCAGGACCCCAAAAATCACTAAGCCAAA
Organism: Homo sapiens; assembly: GCF_000001405.40. NCBI lineage: Eukaryota > Metazoa > Chordata > Mammalia > Primates > Hominidae > Homo > Homo sapiens. The sequence continues at coordinate 88,882,271 of NC_000002.12, forward strand.
AGGGAAAGTCAAGCTGGGAATTGCATCAGGCAAACCTGCCTCCCATTTTATTCCTAAATAAGATAGCTACAAAGAAAAAAAAGCTACATACCTCCCTCACAATTTGCCCACAAGGTAATTCCTTGTGGACAAAGAAAGGACAGAGCTCAAAGTCATCCCTCTGTTCACTTCAGACAAATGCATATGCAATGCTTCTTCTGCCCTACTGTTTCAATAAGCCAGACTAAGGCATAAATGACTATTTCTCTACCTGCCTTTCACATGTGAAAGGCTGATCAGAGACTCAAAACAATGCAACCCCAGCAGGAAGCCCCCTTCCCTGCCTTGAGTTGTCACACCTTTCCAGACCAAAGCGATGCACATCTTCTACATATCGATTGATGTTTCTTGTCTCCCTAAAATGTATAACACCAAGCTGTGCCCCGACCCCCTTGGGCACATATATCAGGACCTCTGGAGACTTTATCATGGGCTTGTCCTTAATCTTGGGAAAATAAACTTTCTAAATTAATTGAGATCTGTCTCATACTTTGAGTTCACACTAGGTTGTTCACAAAGACACAAGGAAGGCTATAGATCCAGGATGGGGCTATGCAGGTGGAAAATGTACCTTTGATCATGTCACCAAACCAGTCCAGGGATACGCCCAAAACATGCTTGGCAGCATGAGGCTGCAGTGTGCACTGATGACATTAGTGCTTATGGACTTGGTCTCACTGCTAGTGAGAGTCATTTTCTTGATTATTTTTCTCAAATTTGGGTGAGGTGAATGTGTAGCTCCACAAGATGGTGTAGAGGGGGCAATGTGAAGCCATGTAACCTTATTGAACATCTTTTTGGAGTGTCCATTTTACTTGAATGGTTCATGGAAAAAAATTATATTAAAATTTATACACACATAAAAGGCACAAGTTGTAGTATTTACTACGAGAAGAAAACATGATTTAAGAGATAAGCTTCAAACTGCACAAATAGCAGTAGGGGAGACGAAGATAGTTATTCACTTCCCTCTGCTGCTTATTGTGAACCATGAGAAGCCCCATCTTAAAGCGTCTGAGGAAGTACATGGACTTATAATAGCAAATCTATGCATATATCTTATTTTAGCCTTTTCTGCTAGACTTTGGGTTGGAGAAGTGATGTGAGAAGGTGTAAAGAGCACAAAATTAGGAGTCAAAAGGCCTGGTTTTAGCCTCAGCTCTGCCACGAACTAAGTGACCTGGGTTAAGATATTTCTATCTGTGCCCTCTAAGATATTTCCTTACATCAAAGAATGCAATAGATAATTTCTAAGGTTCTTTTTGGCTTTTAGTCTCTAGGTCATTGGAATGGAGACGTTAGGCGAGCATTCTTCTTTGGAGCTGTAGAACATTAGTTTGATCACCAGAAGGCACAGGATCCCATGGTGATATAGGATTATAGGAAATGAACAAAACACAGTCTTCTCTCATGCACTTCTCTCACAGTCTTCTCTCACTTCTCTCTCTCTTTTCTGTTTTGTGTATTTATATTTTCCATAATAGGGTAGGTTATACCACTGCCCCAAATCTCATGGCCTAGCTCCAACAAATGCTTATATCTTGCTCATGCTACAATCTTCACCAGGGCCAGAAAGGTGCTCTGCTCCATGCAGCCACTCAAGGATCCAGGCAGACAGAGGCTCTACCATCTTGTATTTGCACCATTTGGAGCACATGGCCTCTTAAGTTGCTTATACAGATAAAGGATAGACTGGAAAATTCCGTAAGATCTTTTTCCTGCCTCAGCCTGCAAAGGATGTATGTATGCCTATTTCTTTGGCCATAGCATTTGTAAGGAGACTGGGACATATAGGTGAGCAAATGGAACATATACAAAGTAATAATGTCTCTAAGATAAATATTTACAATTCACAAATGTACAAAGAATTTTATAGATGCATCCATAATTCACATTTTGTGTCATTATCACCATTTTCTCCTAAATTACATAAAACTTATTTTATTTATTGACATGTGCTTCATATTTATCATTTATCACTGCCTGCTAATTTTCATCAGGAGCATCAATGGCTATTCAATATCCTATTTATGTACCATAGTTTATAAATGTATTGACATTTAAGTGATAATTTATTATGGTTTTTTGCTATTATAACTTATTGAATTGATGAAATGACATACTTTTATTAACTGATTTTTCTAATATTAATTTCTAGTTCCATGAGGCTTTCCACTTTGGATGGTAAAAAGGGAGATAGCATTTCTACTTATATGCATAAATTAATTCTAGGTAGTGAATTTTATTTATCTGGGAATAATTTTTAGATATGGCAACTCTCATTCATTTTGACAAGAAAAATCTAAAGCTCATAAACCCTGAATCCTATATGCTTACTCTCACAAAAATCTCTAATGTCCTGCTGGGATTTATCCACAGTTTAGATTAGACCTGGAATACATATGGTCATGCAACAATGATCTTAGAACAGGACTTTAACTTGGCTTTAGGAACTGAGGCTGAGAGTAATAGAATTGATTTTTTTGTGTGTGTGTGAAGCTCCTATTATAATAATGAGAATACTTTGATTCACTCAGTTAAAGTTTTCCCCTGATTTATTGTGTACATACAATGAAGGATCAAGAAAGAGAAATTTTTAAATGGAAGCATTAGCCAGACAAGTTTGACCTCACAGTTTTACTAGGGGATATATCACCTAGTTTTGGATCTATTTCTAACATCTTAACATTGTGAAAAGAGTCTTGGGAAACTGGTTAAATCCCAAAGAATGCTGCAATAGGAGGTTGGCCCTTATGAGTTATTTAATATCTTGAGCTGCCTTCGGAAAATGTTGCTGAGCAGGCATTGAAGAGTATCGATAAAATTTATTGAGAATTTGTTTATTATGATTAACAGAGGTAAAAGCCAGTATATTACTGATTAATATAGGTAAAAGGCAGTTAAGAAATTGGGAATGCTTTCTCTTCTGCTTTCTTCTACGATGCACAAGGCGTTTCACATTTATGCCCCTATGAAAATTACTAGGCTGTCCTAGTCATTAGATCTTTCAGCAGTTTGTAGTTTTAGAGCTTCTAAGTTGACTTCTGTCTTTTCTATTCATACAATTACACATTCTGTGATGATATTTTTGGCTCTTGATTTACATTGGGTACTTTCACAACCCACTGCTCATGAAATTTGCTTTTGTACTCACTGGTTGTTTTTGCATAGGCCCCTCCAGGCCACGACCAGCTGTTTGGATTTTATAAACGGGCCGTTTGCATTGTGAACTGAGCTACAACAGGCAGGCAGGGGCAGCAAGATGGTGTTGCAGACCCAGGTCTTCATTTCTCTGTTGCTCTGGATCTCTGGTGAGGAATTAAAAAGTGCCACAGTCTTTTCAGAGTAATATCTGTGTAGAAATAAAAAAAATTAAGATATAGTTGGAAATAATGACTATTTCCAATATGGATCCAATTATCTGCTGACTTATAATACTACTAGAAAGCAAATTTAAATGACATATTTCAATTATATCTGAGACAGCGTGTATAAGTTTATGTATAATCATTGTCCATTACTGACTACAGGTGCCTACGGGGACATCGTGATGACCCAGTCTCCAGACTCCCTGGCTGTGTCTCTGGGCGAGAGGGCCACCATCAACTGCAAGTCCAGCCAGAGTGTTTTATACAGCTCCAACAATAAGAACTACTTAGCTTGGTACCAGCAGAAACCAGGACAGCCTCCTAAGCTGCTCATTTACTGGGCATCTACCCGGGAATCCGGGGTCCCTGACCGATTCAGTGGCAGCGGGTCTGGGACAGATTTCACTCTCACCATCAGCAGCCTGCAGGCTGAAGATGTGGCAGTTTATTACTGTCAGCAATATTATAGTACTCCTCCCACAGTGCTTCAGCCTCGAACACAAACCTCCTCCCCATACGCTGGGCCAGTAGGTCTTTGCTGCAGCAGCTGCTTCCTCTGCACACAGCCCCCAACATGCATGCTTCCTCTGTGTGTTGGGGAGGTCACTCTCTTGATTTATTCGTTGGAGGGTTTGCAGGGCCCAGGATTAAATTAAGAGACTTGACTTTTGCTGGATCTCTTTTTGTAGAAGATTATTAAAGCAAAATGTTGTAAAGATCCCTTAGAGACATTGTCAGGAGTTTTTGTGTTGCAGGAACCTGCATGTTTCACATGGACACATCACATGACCGAGCCAAATAGATTTATCTTTACTCTCTAGAACAGGGTCCACTCAGTTTTACGCACAGATGGGTCAATTCTTTCCTCTATGTGCCTCCTTGACTCTGGAAAGTTTCTACTTGGATTCCTAATTCTCTTTTTTCTTTCTTCATCTGCAATCCTTCCCAATATTAAACCTTGATCCTTCCTATTCATAGCCTCCCACATAGAAGGTAGTGTCCCTCTGTAGCTTTTTCCTTCCAGAGACCCTGTTTCTTTCCATCATATTAATACTTTCATAGGCAATTTTCTAATTCTTTATTACTCTAGAAATATGTGACAGCATTTCTCATTGCCTTTTACAATAGTTTGCCAACTTTCTTCTTATTTATCATTTTTCCATTTTTAATTTTCATGGTATACAGTAGAAAGATTATATATACACACACACACACACACATATATATATACACATATGTATATATATTTATGGGGTACCTGAGATGTTTAGATACAGGCATGCAATGTGTAATAATCACATCATGGAGAATGGGGTCTCCAGCCCCTTAAGCATTTATCCTTTGTGTTACAAACAATCCAATTACACTCTTTTAGTTATTTAAAAATGTATAGTTAAGTTATTATTGACTAAAGTCACCCTGTTGTACTAGCAAATAGTAGGACTTACTCATTCTTTCTAAGTATTTTTTGTATGGATTAACTATCCCCACTTTCCCCCTACTCCCCACCCCTGCCCACTACTCTTCTCAGCCTCTGGTCGCTATCCTTCTAGTCTCTATGTTCATAAATTCTATTGTTTTCATTTTTAGACTCTTCATATACATGAGAATAAATGATGTTTGTCTTCCTGTACATGGCTTATTTCACTAAACGTAATGACGTTCGTTAGTTCCATCCAAATTGTTGCAAATGACAGGACCTCATTCTATTTTATGGCTGAATAGTACTCCATTGTGTTTATGTACTACATTTTCTTTTTCTGTTCATCTGTTGATGGACATTTAGGTTGCTTCCAGATCTTAGCTATTGCGAACAGTGCTGCAACAAATATGGGAGAGCAGATATCTCTTTGATATACTGATTTCCTTTGTTTTGGGTATATACCCAGCAGTGGAGTTGCTGAATGATATCGTAGCTCTATTTTTAGCTTTTTGAGGAACCTCCAAACTGTTCTCCATAGTGGGTGTACTAATTTACATTCTCACCAACAGTGTATAAGGGTTCCTTTTTCTCCACATTCTTGCCAGCTTTTGTTATCGCCTGTCTCTTGGATATAAGCCATTTTAACTGGGGCGAGATGATATCTCATTGTAGTTTTGATTTGCATTTCTCTAATGATCAATGATGCTGAGCACCTTTTAATATGCCTGCTTGTCATTTGTTTGTCTTCTTTTGAGAAACGTCTATTCAAATCCTGTGCCTATTTTTGATTGGATTATTAGACTTTTTCCTATAGAGTTGTTTTAGCTCCTCATACATATTATGGTTCTTAATCTCTTGTCAGATGGATAGTTTGTAAATTTTTTCTCCTATTCTGTGGTTGCCTCTTCACTTTTTTGATTGCTTCCTTTGCTGTATAGAAGCTTTTAAACTTAATGTGATCCCATTTGTCCATTTTTGCTTTGATTGCCTGTGCTAGTGGGGTATTACTCACGAAATCTTTGCCCAGACTGATGTCATGGAGAGTTTCCCAAATGTTTTCTTGTAGTAGTTTCATAGTTTGAGGTCTTAGATTTGTCTTTAATCCATTTTGATTTGCTTTTTCTATATGGTGAGAGATTGAAGTCTAGTTTCATTCTCTTGCATATGGATAGCGAATTTCCCCAGCATTATTTATTGAAGAGATTCTTTTCCCTAGTGTAAATTGATGACATCTTTGTTGAAAATGAATTGACTGCAGGTATGTGGATTTGTATTGCAGGGTTCTCTATTCTTTCCATTGGTCTATGTGTCTCTTTTTTATGCCAGTGCCACCCTGTTTTGGTTACTATAGCTCTGAGTATAATTTGAAGTCAGGTAATGCAATTCTTTCAGTTTTGTTCTTTTTGCTTAAGATAGCTTTGGCTATTGTGGGTCCTTTGTGGTTTAATATAAATTTAAGGGTTGTTTTTTCTATTTCTGTGAGAAATGTCATTGGCGTTTTGATAGGGATTGCATTGAATCTGTAGATTGCTTTGGGTACTATGGAAATTTTAACAATGCTGATTTTTCCAATCCTTAAGCATGAAATATCTTTCCATTTTTTGGTGTCTTCTTCAATTTCTTTCATTGGTATTTTATAGTTTTCATTATAAAGATCTTTCACTTGTTTGGTTAATTCTTATGAATTTAAGTATGGTTATTGTAAATGGGATTATTTTTAATTTTTTGTCAGAGTGTTCACTGTTGGCATATAGAAATACTGTTGTTTTTTTGTATGTTGATTTTGTGTCCTCCAACTTTACTGAACTGGTTTATCAGTTCTAAGAGTTTTTTAGTGGAGTCCTTAGGTTTTTCAAAATATGAGATCATATAATCGCCTAACAAGAATAATTTGACTTCTTCCATTGAATTTTTGATCTCCTTAATTTCTTTCTTTTGTCTGATTGCTCTAGCTAGGACTTCCAGTACCATGCTGAATAAGAGTGGTGAAAGTGGGCATCCTTGTCATGTTCCAGATCTCTCAGGAAAGGCTTTCACTTTTCCCCCATTCAGTGTGTCTGTTATATATAGTTTTTATTATGTTAAGATATGTTTCTTCTACATCCAGTTTATTAAGTGGTTTTTATTTATTTATTTATTTTTGTTTGTTTGTTTTTTACACATCACTTCTTTTGGCCATTCCTAGCTCCAAGAGGGTCTGTGTTGATGTTGTTATTGTTTTCTAATAAGGAAAAAGAGGAAAACTGAGGTTAGGAGACAAGTAGCCACCTGTGTACAGGGTCAGACATAAAGTCAAATGATCACTGATGGAGCTCTGGTGATAGGCCTCTCTTAAAAATCACCAAACTTAATGCAAAATCCTAAGGACTCCATACCTAAAACCCCCTAAAATGAGATCAGTGAAAATGAGCAGTGGGCAAAATTGGGACCCATGAGAATGTATCCAGTAGGATCATGATCAGTCAAGCAAATGGGTTTAACTTGGCTTTCCTGGTTTATTATTATTTATTTCCTGGTTTATTATTATTATACTTTAAGTTCTGGGATACATGTGCAGAACGTGCAGGTTTGTTACATAGGTATACACATGCCATGGTGGTTTGCTGCACCCATCAACTGATCATCTACATTAGGTATTTCTCCTAATGCTATCCCTCCCCTAGCCCCCGCTCTCCCCCCGCAGGCCCTGATGTGTGATGCTCCCCTACCTGTGTCCATGTGTTTTCATTGTTCAACTCCTACTTATAAGTGAGAACATGCAGTGTTTGGTTTTCTGTTCCTGTGTTAGTTTGCTGAGAATGATGGTTTCCAGCTTCATCCATGTCCCTGCAAAGGACATGAACTCATCCCTTTTTATGGCTGCATAGTATTCCATGGTATATATGTGCCACATTTTCTTTATCCAGTCTATCATTGCTGGGCATTTGGGTTGGTTCTAAGTCTTTGCTATTGTGAATGGTGCTGCAATAAACATACGTGTGCATGTGTTTTATAGTAGAATGACTTATAATTCTTTGGGTATATACCCAGTAATGGGATTGCTGGGTGAAATGGTATTTCTTGTTCTAGATCCTTGAGGAATTGCCACACTGTCTTCTTTGGTACGTGTAAATTGTTGAACTAATTTACACGTACCAAAACAGATATATAGACCAATGGAACAGAACAGCGGCCTCAGAAATAATGCCACACATCCACAACCATCTGATATTTGACAAACTTGACAAAAACAAGCAATGAAGAAAGGATTCCCTATTTAATAAATGGTGTTGGGAAAACTGGCTAGCCATATGCAGAAAACTGAAACTGGATCCCTTCCTTACACCTTATACAAAAATTAACTCAAGGTAGATTGAAGACTTAAATGTTTAAGATCTAAAACCATAAAAACCCTAGAAGAAAATGTAGGCAATACCATTCAGGACATAGGCATGAGCAAAGACTTCTTAAGCATTTTTTTGATAGAGTAGCACAGATAAGTATCTGTCTGTTTTTTTTTTCCAACTGTATTTCCTTCTGCTCTATTTTTTTCTGTCTCTGCAACTTCAAATATTTGTAAATTAATTATTGAGAAAATAATAATAGTAATAATAATAATTATTATTATTTGAGACAGTGTCTCACTCAGTCACCTAGGCTGGAGTGCAGTGGTGCAATCTCAGTTCACTGCAACTTCTGACTCATGGGTTCAAGCAATTCTCCTGCCTCATCCTCCTGAGTAGCTAGGTCTACAGGTGTACACCACCAAGCCTGGCTAATTTTTGTATTTTTAGTAGAGACAGAGTTTTACCATGTTGGCCAGGCTGGTCTGAAACTCCTGACCTCAAGTGATCCGCCCACCTTGGCCTCCCAAAGTGCTAGGATTACAGGCATGAGCCACCGCACCCTGCTGAGATAATGATTTTTTAATCAAATAACTAAGTTTTCTTTCTGTTCTCTATATATTGATGTATGTTGTATATTGTCATTGAAATTTTGATTATACTCACCATGGGATATCTTACTTTGGAATAGGTGGCATCTCAAATACAATTTATTTCCTTTGGCAGAAGGGGATTATTTTGTTGTGAATTCAAACCTTCATTAACTTCAGTGTAACATAATACCATAAGTGATGTTTCCTGTTATTAAATCACAAACAGTATTAGGAATGAGAGGCTGAAGCAGGAGAATGGCTTGAGCTCACAGATTTGAGGCCAGTTTGAGTGACATAGTGAGACCCCTTGTGAAAAAAAAGAGAAAATTTTAAATGCGGTATATTTAAAACACATATTTCTAGACATTTATTACTGGTATATGGAAATCATGTTTATTATCTAATATCATAAACTCTGACATGATCACTATCATTTCTTTAGTTTTTAATAAATTTTCAGCATTTGTGTATGTCATATGTATTTATTGATTGACATAGACCTTAATGTCTTATAATATAATACAGAAGTGGACATGAGCATATTATAATTTAATTAAAAAAATGAAAGAATTTCCACTTAGAAGACCACCATAGCTGTTGCTATAAATGCAGAAATAAACACAAACTTAACTAAAAATTCATGTGTATGATGACATCGGAGAGCTACAGAAGACACAAAGGTTAGATGACCTAAAATTCTAGAGAAGAAATAGACCTCTGTAGGTGAGGTAAATCTGAGCTCTCATTTAGTTCTTTTTTTGTGTGTGTGGTTTCCATGGAATCTATTTAATCAAAACTGCAGAAGGTTCTAGAAAAACACATTTTTAACCAAGGACTGCCGATGATTCTAAGTTTTGAGTAAAACTGTGGTTGGGGGAAACAATTTTCTGCTTTATTGTGTGTCCGAGTACATACATGATAAAAGTAAAAGCCAGGGAATGGAATAAAACATAGCTTTATATAATATATTAGTAGATACCTAAATACAATATGGTCTTAAAAATGAAGTCATATGTATATAGTTGTATTCCTAAGTATGTTAGTCCCCCCTCATCCACAAATCTCCTTTCTGTGGCTTCAGTTACTTATAGTCAACCACAGTCTAAAACACATGAGTACTGTAAAAGAAGATATTTTGAGAGCGAGAGGGACCAACCAAATTCACATAACTTTTCATATTAGATCTTAGTGATGCAAATTAGATCTTACTCATACAAATGAGACATTGAATTAAGTCTTTCTCTCAGTCTGACCCTTAGAATTGTCTTTTGTAAGATTTTAAAATGCATCAAGTAATACTTACATATGTAACAGCTGACCCCTGAGCCATCACTGACACAGATGGTACCAGGACTGCTGTGCACAGACAGGCTTTCGACTCTGAGTAGTAGACACAAGTTTGCTGTATTTGCAGCCTCCACTTGAGGGCTTGGGGGTTCCCTGGCCTGGCTACACTGATAGCACAACTGGCTTTGACTCTATCCCCAATTCCCCTTCCTCCCTATCCCCTATGCAAATCCCAGTAATTCTCCAGGTGATATCCTGGGGATTTCCTTGGGATATTCTTGGTCTTCATCCTGCCTTAGAGAAAACTGATCCTCAGAGGCCTCACCTGATCCAGAGTTTTAGGTTTATCCTGACCCAGACTCTAATTCCAGGGTTATCCTCTTGAGTTGGAGGAAGAAATGGTGATTTTTAAAAGATAATCATCTATAGGATCAGTAGTCAGAGGCTTCATGCTGATGAGCTGTAGGAAATAAGATCAAATGGCAGCAAAAGGGTGGAATACGGAAGTTTCCAAAATAATAATAAGGTATAGCCCATTTGGTTCACTGGAAATTAAAGAGACCCATGGCCTTGAACAATGATGTATGTGTGAGTTACACACCCTTCAAAGAAACATGGTGTTATCTTTGTGTGTCTGCACTGAATAGCTTGGTCATATAACGGTAATAAGAATGGCAGCAAAATGCCCAGTCATCGCCCAATGGGCTCATGAACAAAGTGATCGCAGTGGCAGGAATGGAGCTTATGCATGGCCTCAGTAAAATGGACTTTCACTCCCTACAGCTGATCTGGCTGTGGCCACAGCTGAGTGTCCAATCTGTCAGATGCAGAGACCTACACTAATTCTCTAATATGGCACCATTCCCCTGGGTGACAAGCAGCTACGTGGTGGCAGGTTGATTACATTAGACCACTTCCATCATGTAAGAAACAGCATTTCATTCCTACTAAAATAGATGCCTACTCTGGATATGAATTTACCTTCCCTGAACACAGTGCTTTTGCCTGAACTATGATCCATAAACGTACAGAAAGCCAATAGTCCTAAGCAAGTTTATATTCTCTGGACACAGTTTTTAGCTGCTGCAATCAAACATGATTTAATTAACTTACCATGGGTAAGTGGCTTCTCTTCCTTAGCTAACAAATGTGCCACTCAAAAACTTAGTTTTGCGGCAGCCTCATTTTCATTTTTTAATTTTGTGAATAAATTCTGTTATGAACAGCTATTGTGTTTTAAATTTTTCTAATTTTTACAAATCATGAATAGGTATTGGATTTTGACAAATGCTTTTTCTGCACGTAATGATATAATCATATGAAATTTCTTTCCTCTCAATCTGTGTATCTTTAATTTCCATTATTTGTCTTATTATATTGGCAGAACTTGTAGTACTCTGTGGAAAAGGAAGTAAGAGGGAACATCCTTTCCACATCTTAGCAGGAAAGCTTCTAATTTCTCACCATTAAATATGGTGTTACATGCAGATTTTTGTAGATGGACTTCATGACTTGCATCTACAAGAGGAAGTTCTCTTCTATTCTTAGTTTACTGAGAGTTTTTTCTTTATAATTAATGAGTATGGGATTTCTTTAAATTCTTTTTCTGCGTTTATTGATATGATTATGTATTTCTTCTTAATCTGTTAATATGATGGATTACATTAATTGGTTTACTAATATTGAACCAGCCTTGCAGATGTGGAATAAATCCCAATTGCTTATAGTATATAATTCTTTTTAGATATTGTTGGGTTCGATTTACTAATATTTTATTGAGGAATATTGCATCTATTTTCATGAGCAATATTGGTCTGTAGATTTTTTTAGTAATTTCTTTTTTTTGGTTTGGCATTCTGATTATGCCAGTCTCATAGAAACAGGAAGTATTCTCTCTTGCTTTTCTCTTCTGGAATATATTGTAGAGAAGTGGTATAATTTCTTCCTTAAATATTAGATAGAATTCACCCATAAATCCATCTAGGCCTGGTGTTTTCTGTTTTGAAAGCTTATTAATTATTGATTCTACTTCTTCAATAGATACAGGTCTTTTCTGATTTTACTATTTCTTCAGTGTGAGCTTTTGTAGATTGCATTTTTCAAAAAGTTGGTTTATTTCATCTAGGTTATCAAGTAAGTGGGCACAAAGTTATCTATAGTATTCTTTTACTATTTTTTTTAGCATACATAAAATCTATAATGATGTCCTCTTTTTAATTCCTTGATACTTTTCCTTGCTCTGAAGTCTGGTCTGTCTGAAATTATTCTGGTTTTCTTTTGATAAGTGTTAGCATGGTATATCTTTCTCCATCCCTTTACTTTTAATCTATATGTCTTTATATTTACAATGGATTTCTTGTAGACTACATATAGTTGGGTGTTTTTTATAATGTGGCTGACAATCTCTTTTAATTGGTGTAACAATCCACTGATGTCTAAAGTGATTATTAGTACATTTGGATTGATGAATAATGTTTGTTATTTCATATTTGGTGCTCTGGTTCTTTTTGCTCATTTGTCTCCACACTTTTTTTCTGTCTTTTGTGATTTCAATTGAGCATTTTGTATGATTCCATTTTCTTTCTTTTCTTAGCATATCAGTGATGGTGATCTTTTTTTTTGTTTTTGTTTTTTACTTTTTAAGTAGTTGTACTAGGGATTGCAATAAATGTACAATTAATCCAAGTCAGGTTTTATTTACTTTTTTATGCTAATTTTTTTATTAGAATGAAAGCTATAAATAAACACATTACATAGAGAAAACTTTTAATATATATTCCTATGTGTAGATTATACAAGTGATGTTTGCATACATTCTTGTTATTAAGAAACTACAATGAAGTATTTAGATTAAAAAGTAAAAGTCACTCTTCATACACCACTAGTGGTCTTTCTACTGTTCCAGTGATTTAATAAAATAATTTTTAATTGTTTTTCCAAAATATTTTATTATTAAATAATAATTTTTCATATTTATGGGGTACCTGTGATATTTTGATATATGTGTGTGTGATAAACAAATCAAATGTGTAATAAACAAATCAAGATATTTAAGACATCCATCACTTCAAACATTCATAATTTCTATGTGTTGAGAATATTCAAAATCTTCTCTTTTAGCTACTTTTAAATGTACAATGTTATTGATAGCTATTGTCACCCTATGATGCTATCAAAAACTTATGCCTTTTCTCTAACTGCATGTCTGTACCCATCAACCAACCTCTCTTTATTCCCCCCTTCCCAGCTTCTGGTAACTATTCTACTCTCTAGCTCCATAAGATCCACTACTTTAGCTCTTACATATGAGTGAGAACATGAAATATTTGTCTTTCTGTGTCTGGCTTATTTCTAAGTGCACTTTTAATTAACATTAAATGTTTCATGGGTAGTGCAAATATGTTATGATAATAGTAGCTATTAATCAAAATTCTATGTATTACTGCTGTTATATAATTGTGTGGCTTAATAAATCGAAATTAAATTGAAGTATAATTAATTTTAACTCTCCAGCCTGAGTATTAAAACAGGAACTACTGATGCTTAGGCAGTAAGCACTGTGAGTAAATCATTACAAAATAAAAGCATACTCATAAACATTGTAACAAAACATATCAAGGAGTTATTATAATTCTCCCAAGAGTTTAGAATCTCCATGTTTGAAAATTGCTGTAATAATGCAAAGCAATTTTCCACAGTATTAGAAGTAAAAACTAAGTTTAAATATTGTTATATTTGATAGAAAAGAACATTATTCTCATATGAAGATTCAAATTATCAATTATTATTGAGAAAAACAATTTAAAAATTATTTTTTCCTTGTAATGGAGGATCCAGTGATATGATAGAATGCATAAGCAGACATTTTGAATTATATGAAAGCTGATCTTGCTATTCATGTTACTATTATATTTTCAAAGTAATAAAATATTTTTGAGAAAATTCTCTTCCTGTTTTAAGAAGCAGCCCTGCATTTTTATTTTGCACTGGGGCTCACAAATTATGTTGTTGGTTCTGTTTTCCAGTAATACATATCAGATACCAGCAATGCTGAAGTTTGGAAACTTTCTAGAATGCTTTTTGTTTCATTAGGAAGAGTCCTCCACCTCCATGATTCCCTTTGCCTTCTAGAAGAATAAAATGGGAAAAACAGAATTTTATTATTAAAAAAAAAAACCCAGAAGAGTAACATCACTTTCCACTCAAACTGACTACACTAATCTAATTTCTCATTCTTTATCTCTTTTACACTAAGGTATACCTGTAATTTTCAGAGTTCCATTTTCAAAGACTGCTTATAGTTTTTAAAAATGTGCATTTATGGTATAGAAAGAAAATCATTTTACGACTACCAGGTTCCACTGAAAAGTAATTAATATACTGTAGTCAAAATAAAATAAAAATTTTAATACATGAAAACAACTACCGAAATGTTATGAAATTATAGTTTAGTAGAACTAACAAGTGCATTAATGCAAAAGAAAAGTAGGGCTCAGTAATCAGGGAACCAAGTGTGCATTGTAAAAGTGCAGCCTCTCTAACACTGGGTTTCATCACAAGTAACAGAACAGGATGCCTGATGCAGGGAAAAAAGAAAGGCAATTGTTGGCAATGTCAGGAATATTGCCATGGCGTCTACCACTGGTGGGTTACTGAGCATCAGAACCACAGAAGAGGTAACACTGAAGCCTGCAGAATAATGAGTCTTGTTGCAGAAATGCAAAGAAAAAGAAAGATGATAAATGCACACCCAGGAGGTTACGTTAATTTTAACCTTCTGAGTGTGCACAGCTGTGAAGATAAAACTATGCACAGCTCATGGGTTAGGTTTCACACAGTCTGCCATTTAAACACTCCCTATGTCACCATCATGTACCATATAATTTGCATATTTGTCCTTTATATAACCCTATAATATGTTTGTGGCCATAAAATCTGTGCTGTCAAACTGATTAGGAACTGACTACCACCTGCAGGTCAGGGCCAAGGTTATGGGGTCCCAGGTTCACCTCCTCAGCTTCCTCCTCCTTTGGATCTCTGGTAAGAGAAACACTTCCTCTCCTCTGTGCCACCAAGTCCCCTGCATATCCACAAAAATAATATATTTTCATAAGGAATTGATTTTCCTCATTCTCTGCAAATATGATGCATTTGATTTATGTTTTTTACTTTGCTCCATAATCAGATACCAGGGCAGAAACGACACTCACGCAGTCTCCAGCATTCATGTCAGCGACTCCAGGAGACAAAGTCAACATCTCCTGCAAAGCCAGCCAAGACATTGATGATGATATGAACTGGTACCAACAGAAACCAGGAGAAGCTGCTATTTTCATTATTCAAGAAGCTACTACTCTCGTTCCTGGAATCCCACCTCGATTCAGTGGCAGCGGGTATGGAACAGATTTTACCCTCACAATTAATAACATAGAATCTGAGGATGCTGCATATTACTTCTGTCTACAACATGATAATTTCCCTCTCACAGTGATACACCCTGTTACAAAAACCT
The DNA here is from genome assembly GCF_000001405.40 of Homo sapiens. Classification (NCBI taxonomy): domain Eukaryota; kingdom Metazoa; phylum Chordata; class Mammalia; order Primates; family Hominidae; genus Homo; species Homo sapiens. Next base: position 88,897,816 of record NC_000002.12, read on the forward strand.
CCAAGTTCTCTCAGTGGGATTGCCTCAGCTGCTGCTGAAAATGTTCAGAATGTGGAACTGGGTGGCCCTGTGGTGTTTATAAGGCTTCTCCATGCCCATGCAACTCACTTCCTTTTTCTTTTTGTTTCTGTAGTTTCTGCTGCCCCCATGCTGTGCCTGACACACTTGATATGGCAAAAACCAGGACAGCCTTTCTCACGTTGTCCAGCTGTGCCAACAATTTCACTTCCAAGCAGAGGTAAATTCTCATGGCCAACTCCCTGTCTTTTGCCACACTCATCATTTCCACCTCCAAGAAAAACAAAACCAAAAACCAAAATGCATCTAGCTTAGATTCCAAATAGTAGCATTAAAGGAAATTGTCCCTCCCTATAAGCATTCTCACCCTCATCCACACAGTCATCGTGACTCTTCCCTAACCCACTGAGTGCTCACCAGTCCTCTTCAGTCCTCCCTCCAGTGATGGGGAAAAGCGAGTGATAGTTATGAGAGCAACATGTAACCTGGGTGCAGACTCTTACTAGTCAGGTTTGCCTCAGATTTCAAGTATTTATCTTTCTTTTATTTTCCATTTTTTTTCTTAATTATATGGATCAGTAAGATGTCTCATTTCTTTTTTTTAAGTTACTTGTTCTTTTAACACAATTCAATTCTATAATTCCAAATTTAAAGAGATACCCTGTATGTCTTTGGCATGTGTTATATCTGGACAAGTTTTGGGTTATCCCCTTCATGCCACTGCTCAAATCTTACCTGAAACCCCACATATTTTTCCAAAAACCTGAAAACTGTGTAGCGGTTGAGGAAATTAAATTTGGCAAATCACAATACTTGAGGAAACATGTATCTTTTTATCTTCACTCTCTAATGTTCAGGTGATGCTGTTTAATTGAGCATTTGCTATTTAGAATCACCCCTCTGAAACTTGTGGGAAAACAGCACCAGCAAGGCAGTCTTCATGTTTTGACCTCATTATTCCTGGATTATGCTAGCCTTCTTGCTATTGTTCTACTACAGCCACTACCTGAAGAAACCTCATGTAGGATTGTTTCCTAATGAAATATTAAGATTTATCTGCAATTATCCCTAACTCTGCAAACTTAACTGACTTCTCAGGTTAGTATTTAATAGCCATCAAATAAGGAGTGGCTGAAATAATATTACCAAGGAAGGAAATAATTGGATCATAGAAATGAGGGCTTTGTGGTTATTGCATGGTGAAGACCAACAAAGGCCATTGCAACCAGTAATAATATGCACAATGATGAGCTCGTAGTTAAGAGCAATTTCTGTCTTAGTTTTACTGTCACTGAACTGGGCTGGAACCCTGGAGGGCAGGGTAGATGAATGATAATCAAAAACATGATTTCATATGTTAAGTTCTTTGGAAGGCTCAATTTCGGAGATTTCTCCCACTTTCTATAAGAGCAGACATCAAAGAATCTGATTCTGGAATCTCGTTTTTTCTCTTACAGCTCTCTTTTTTTCTACTCTAATCTCTTTTCCGCTTCCAAGGACATACATTGATAAATATGGTCAACAGAATATTAAGGTGATGTCAATATTAGTGACTACCCTATAAGAGGGAACAGAAACATTCGTGTTTGTAAGCTTTTAGTCCTCACTTAAGCTTCTTTCTTGAGTAATGTAATCGCTCCCCTTAATGTCTGGAGCAGACATTAGTAAGAATAATAAATAGTATGTTTAGTCTCAAAGATGGTGAATACAGAAAGTGGTCAGAATGTGAACAACACTATTAAGTATTTAGCTAAAAATAAAACTATTGAGTTTTGTAAATTCTTATCAAGTCTTCTCTAAGATTGAAGCTCCAGGTTTTAGTGAAAATCCTGTCCAGGAAATATTACATTATAATCCCTTTCTCTCTGTTCCCATCTACCTTAGGCTCATAGTGACATGAAAGCAAATTTCCATCCTCTGGGAATATATAAACCCGGATTATTTCTTTTTATATAGATGCTCTATCCCTTGCCTGTGTGCTATTTTCTTACTGAGTCACTACCTTGCACCATGTACACAACCCCCAGTGGTTTACGATAGGATGAACCTATTGAAGCAGCTAGCAGAGAAAAGGTTATTTATGTGGGTAACTGTGTATGCTTGTTGGACATTCCCTGGGTCTCTCACACTGTTACCACAGCAGCATTATAAAAACATCATCTATCTATCTCTCTATCTATCAATTGATCTATCTGTCAATCTATCTATTGTCTATCTCCATAAACACACAAACATACTCACATTTGTGTGTGTGTGTGTGTGTGTGTGTGTGTGTATGTATACAGAAGAAATGATAAAAGTTATATATGTCTTATGTCCCAAACTTTAGAAAGGATATGTAACATGTTAGCAATCTTTGAACACACTTGCTGGAATATAGAGTAAAATACTTTGTTGCTGGTATATCAAACTGTAGTAGATAATCCTTCTGATTTCCAAACAGGGTATACAAATGCACCTTTCCACCAGCAATGTATGAGGGTTTCTATTGTTCTACATGTCCACCAATACTTGGTATTGTAAAACTTTTTAATTTAAGCCTTTCTTCTACATGTGTAGTAGTATCACTCCATAATTACGATCTGTGTTTGTGGGATTATATATGGATTATATATGCTTGTAGGGCATTTGACCATCCTCTGGGTTAAAATTTCTGTCAAATTCTGCCCATTTTACTAATGCATTTTCTGATTTAGTTGAACAGATATGTATGAAAATATATATATAACATATGCGTGATATATATCAGCGTGTATCTGCCTATCATCCATCCATCTATCTATCCATCAATCTGAATGTTTGTGCTCTGCCAAAATTCATATGTTGAAATCTTAATCTCAATATGTTGATCAAGATTGAGCCTTGGCAGGTAATTAGGCTGTTAGGGTAAAGCCCTCATGAATGGAATTAATGTCTTTATAAGAAGAAGTGAAGAGACCAGAGGGCTAGCTAGCTCTCTGCTCTTAGCCACATGAGGATGCAAGGAGAAGGTCCTCTACAAACCTGGAGTCGGGCTTCACTATACACCAGATTGGCTGGCACCTTGATCTTGAACTTCTCAGCTTCCAGAATTGAAAAAGTTTCTGCTGTTTAACCCTGTCCATCCCCCAGTTTATGGTAGTCTGATATAGCAGCCTGAACTAACATCTGTATCTATATTTATACAATTATAGATATAGATAGAACCAGTATTTTTTCGCATTTGTCTCTGTCTCTGGTTTACCTTTTTACTCACTTAAGTCTGTAAATGGAATCATTTTCTTAATTTGTTTTTCAGATTGTTTATTGTTATTGTAGAAATGCAACTTTTTTATTTTCTTTCCTGAAACTATATTTAATTTATTTATTAGTTCTAATATTTTTTGATAAGTTTTTTAAAAAAATTTATTTTGTTTTAAGTTCCAGGATATATGTATGGATGTACAGGATGTGCAGGTTTGCTACATAGGTAAACGTGTGCCACGGTGGTTTGCTGCACCTATCAACCCATCACCTAGGTATTAAGCCTTATGTACATAAGCTATTTATCATGATGCTCTTCCCCTATCCCCCAGTGTGTGTTGTCCCTCCCTGTGTCCATGCATTCTCATTGTTTAGCTCCCACTTGTAAGTGAGGACATGAGATGTTTGGTTTTCTGTTCCTGTGTTAGTTTGCTGAAGACAATGGCTTCCAGCTCCATCCATTTCCATGCAAAGGACATGATCTCATTACTTTTTATGGCTGTATAATATTCCATCGTATATGTACCACGTTTTCTTTATCCAATCTATCATTGATGGGCATTTGGGTGGATTCCATGTCTTTGCTATTATGAATAGTGCTGCAATGAATGTACATAAGCATGTATCTTTGTAATATGATGATTTACATTCCTTTGGGTATATACCCAGTAATTGGATTGCTGGGCCAAATGGTATTTCTGGTTCTAGGTCTTTGAGGAATTGCCACACTGTCTTCCACAATGGTGGAACTAATTTATATTCCAACAGTTTAAAAGTGTTTCTATTTCTCCACAGCGTCACCAGTGTCTGCTGTTTCTTGACTTTTTAATAATTGCCATTCTGACTATCATGAGATGGTATCTCACTGGGGTTTTGATTTGCATTTATCTAATGATCAGTGATGTTGGGCTTTTCTTCATATATTTTTTGGCCACATATATTTTGAGAAGTGTCTGTTCCTGTCATTTGTCCACTTTTAATGGAGTTGTTTGTTTTTTTCTTGTAAATTTGTTTAAATTCCTGGTAGATTCTGGATATTAGACCTTTGTCAGATGGATAGAGTGCAAACATTTTCTCCCATTCTGTAGTTGTCTGTTCAGTCTGATGATAGTTTCTTTTGCTGTACAGAAGCTCTTTAGTTTAATTAAGTCACATTTGTCAATTTTTGCTTTTGTTTCAATTGCTTTCGATGTTTTTGTCATGAAATATTTTTATCTGGGTATGCTGAAGAATAGTTTTCCTAAAAGTTATATATTAATAAACAAAGAGTTAGTGAGAGCACTAGAATCAGAGAATATATGTAAGAGTTTGTTCAAAGCAGGGTCTTAAATTTTAGTCTCATTGCAAATTTGGATTCTATTCCTCTTGAATGGACTACTGAAGAGATATAAAGACCATGAGGAAGCACGAAAATATCTGCTTTGCTGCCTCAAGGATGTTTAATTGCCCCATTGATTCTCTTGGGAAAGAATTCTCCCATTGTTGCTCACTGATTCTCAAAGATTAGAAGTAAAAATAACTTAGGGGATTTGTGACTAAAGTTCCCATGCCTAGAGATACTGACCTCCTACGTGGTGTTGAGTTTACCTTAATTCTTGAAGGATGCTTAACTTTGAAGGGAACTCTAGCTATATGGCTACTTTTTCTTATCATTTTAAGGAAATTTTATGGTCTCTGCTTTTCCTCATTTATGTTTAGAGGTTAGCTATTAATCTTATTCTTGTTTCTTCAAAATGAGAGAATTTTTTCTGATTAAGATTTTTTTGTTTGATCAGTAGATAGTAAAGTGTGACATTATTTATACAACGTAACACTACACAACAAAAAAGATTAATAAATTGCAACAACTTGAATTTTTACAGTAAAATTAAAATGACACATATCTATTACCTAAAACACATCTGAGAAGCTAATTTATAGAAATAGAAGTATGCATGTGTAAAGATATAGGTAAAATTGTATTAACAAATCCATTGATTATATTAGCAAAACCTGAACATAATTTAATTGCCCTTCAGTAGAAATGTTTGAATAAAGTATAGGTTTTCTACACAATCCAAAATGTGATGATAAAGAATAGGTTATATTTTTCATCTCTTGATCTGGAGATAATCTCTTTAGAAATGTTAAACATAAATTCCCAAAAATGTTAATTTATGAGCCAATATTTGAAAACATAGAAGCAGAATTATGAAAAGTAGTAATTTGTCTTTTCTATCTTTACAAATATGGAATCATTTTACATCTTGTGGGGTTACAATGAAGAAAAAAAGCAGTTATGACAATGGGAAAAATGTATGCGTAACATACAGCAATGTTCACAGAGATGAATGAAGTTATAGTGACAAATGAAAAATGTAAAAGGCAATTTGATTTATATTGAATATATATATGTCAGGAATATGGAATGAGAGGAGACAGGTAAACACAATAAAAACTCTGACCAATGCCTGAAATAAGGATATTACAGAAATAAAACAATGCTATTTAAACATCTAAAAACAGCATAATAATCACCAGAATTAAAAAAGATCCTGTAGATGTGTGTTCATTCATAGAAAGATGGAAGTCCCTACATTATTATTAATATTTTCACCATCAGAGAAATAGGGTGCTACTCAGAAAAATATTTTTTAAACAATTGACCTAAATCATATCAAGTAATGAGATATTTCTTGAGTCCAGGCATGATCATGTAAATGCATGTTGGTTAAATCCTTGGACTTGTAATGCACATTACAACTTTCAGAACTCCTCTCTGTTTAGCATTTATAGGAGACCTTCTGACTACATCAAACTTCATCTAATCACATTTTACCTGCACTGAGAACTTTTGGTGGGAAGTGAGATGGAACGCCATAGTGTCATTGCATATTCAGACCCCAAGAGGGAGCTGAGAGATCATGCCTTGAGGAAGTGATTCTGAAAGAGTCCCCACAGTGGAGGATTCCAGAGCTCTGTGTGATAACATTGCCTATCCACTGACCCACGCCCTCCCCAAATGTGCAAAGAAAGTCCAGCTGCCAGAAGCCCTTATCAGTGTGCAGATTCCCCATAATCAACACTCCTTTGCATCCACCATATCTGTAGGGGAAGTGCAGTTCCAGGCTCAGCTCCTCAGGTGTCTTCTACCCAGGTGAAAGTCCAAGGTAGATCAGTCACAAAATCAGTGCAATTTTAAAATTGCTTTATTAAAGTACAGTGTCAAACCATGAAAAGCACCTATTTTAAGTGTGCAAATCACTGACTTATGGTAAATTTGCAAAGTTGCAGATAACCACAGTTTAATCTTACAACATTTTAATCATCCCCTGAAGGATCCCTTATGCAGACCGGCAGCTATTTTTATTTCCACTCCCAGTCTCAGGCATGTATTAATCGACTTTCCCTCTATTGATTGCTTGATATGAACATTCTATATAAATGGAATAATGCATGCATGGTCGTTTCTATCTGGTTTCTTTCCATTAAACGAAGTTTAGGTTCATCCCTGTTTTAGCATGTATCAGTAGGCCATTCCTTTTTATTTTTGGATAGTATTCCGCTGTACGGATATATCACATTTTATTTATCTATTCACAGGTTGAGGAACATTGAGGTCCTTTGCACTTTTTGGTTATATGATGATCAACAATGCTGCTATGAATATTTGCCTGTAAGTCTTTGTGTGGACACCGGTTTTGATTTTTCTCAGACAGACCTCTACAAGTGGAAATGCTGAGCCATATGATAAATTTCTGTTTATTTTTTAAAAACTGCCAAACTGTTTTCAAGAGTGTGCAGCATTTAACACTTGCACCAACAGTGTATGAAGCCTTCTTTTCTGTCACATTCTCACCAACTTTTGTTATTGTCTGTTTTTTAAATTATTAAAATCATTATAGTGTATATGGAATGGTGCCTATTGTGAATTTAATTTGATTTTTGTTAATGACTAATAATGTTGAGCACCTTTTCATGTGATTACTGTCTGTTCATATATCTTCTTCCATAACATCTATACTAAAATATTTTGTTCATTTTTAAATTGGGTTGTCTTATGACTTATATATTCTGGAAATATGGCGTGTATCAGATAAATGGTTTATAAATAATTTCTCTGGTCTGTGGTTTGTCTTTTCATTTTCTTAATGGTATCCTTTGAAATGCAAATGTTTTGAACATTAATGAAACCTAATATATTAGCATTTTCTTTCATAAGTTGAGCTTTTGATGTTGTAACTAAGAAATATTTGGTGAACCCAGAAATGGAAAAGTTTTAACCTAAAGTTTTTATAATTTCAGATTTTAGGAATGGGCAGAAGCTGGAAACATTCCCCTTAAAAACTGACACAAGACAAGGATGTCATCTCTCACCACTCCTTTTCAACTGAGTATTGGAAGTTCTGGCCAGGGCAATCAGGCAAGAAAAAGAAATAAAGTGCATTCAAATAGGAAGAAAGGAAGTCAAACTATCCCTGTTTGCAGATGACATGATCCTATATCTTGAAAACCCCATCATTTCAGCCCCAAAGCTTTTTAAGCTGGATAAGCAACTACGGCAAAGTCTCAGGATACAAAATTAATGTGCAAAAATCACTAGCATTCCTATACACCATTCATACATTCCTATACACCATTCATACATTCATACAGCATTCCTATACACCAACAACAGTTATTCCGAGAGCCAAATCACGAACTCCCATTCACAATTGGCACAGAAAGAATAAAATACCTAGAAATACAGCTGACAAGGGAAGTGAAAGATCTCTACAAGGAGAACTACAAACCACTACTCAAAGAAATCAGAAACAACACAGACAAATGGAAAAACATTCCATATTCACTGATAGGAGTAATCAGTAACATTAAATGGTGGCTATACTGTCCAAAGCAATTTATAGATTCAATGCTATTCCCATTAAAGTACCACTGACATTCTTCATAAAACTAGAAAAAAACAATTTTAAAGTTCATACGGAACAACAACAACAAAAAAGTCCTGAATAACCAAGGCAATCGTAAGCAAAAAGAACAAAGCTGGAGGCATCACACTACCCAATTTCAAATTATGCTACAGGGCTACAGTTATCAAAACCACATGGTACTGGTACAAGAACAGACACATAGACCAATGGAATAGAATAGAGAGCCCAGAAATATGTCCTCACACCTATAACCATCTGATCTGTAATAAAGTTAACAAAAACAAAAAATGGGGAAAGGACTTCCTATTCAATAAATGGTGCTGGGATAACTGGCTAGCCATGTGCAGAAGATTGAAACTGGACGCCTTTCCTTAAGCCAGATACAAAAATCAACTCAAGATGGATAAAGTATTTAAATTTAAAACCCAAAACTATAAAAACCCTGAAAGACAACCTAGGCAATACCATTCAGGACACAGGCACAGGCAAAGATTTCATGACGAAGATGCCAAAAGCAATTGCAACCAAAGCAAAAATTGACAAATGGGATCTAATTAAACTAAAGAGCTTCTGCACACCAAAAGAACCTATCAACAGAATGAATAGATCCCTACAGAATGAGAGAAAAATTTTTCAAGCTATGCATCTGACAAAGGTCTAATATGCAGCATCTATAAGGAACTTAAACAAATTTACAAGAAAACAATCAACCCCATTAAAAAGTGGGCAAAGGATGTGAACAGACACTTCTCAAAAGAAGACATACAAGCAGTCAATAGTCATATGAAAAAAAGCTCAACATCACTGATCATTAGAGAAATGCAAATGAAAACCACAATGAGATACCATCGCACACTAGTCAGAATGGCTGTTATCAAAAAGACAAAAAATAACAGATGCTGATGAGGTTGTGGAGAAAAAGGAATGCTTATACACCATTGATGGGAGTGTGAATTAGTTCAACCATTGTAGAAGAGAGTGTGGTGGTTCCTCAAAGACTTAAAGTCAGAAATACAATTTGACCCAGCAATCCCATTACTGGGTATATACTCAAAGGAATGTAAATCATTCTATTCTAAAGGCTCATGTATGAGTACTTTCATTGCAGCACCATTCGCAATAGCAAAGACATTGAATCAACCCAAATGCCCATCAATGATAGACTGGATAAAGAAAATGTGGTACATACACACCATAGGATACTATGCAAGCATAAAAATGGACGAGATCATGTCCTTTGCAGGGACATGGATGGAGCTGGAGGCCATTATCTTCTGCAAACTAACACAGGAACAGAAAAACAAACACTGCATGTTCTCACTTATAAATGAGAGTTAATGATGAGAACACATGGACACACAAGGGGGAAAAACACACACTTGGGCCTATAGGAGGGTGGAGGGTGGGAGAAGGGAGAGAATCAGGAAAGATAACTAATGGATACTAGGCTTAATACCTGGGTGATGAAATAATCTGTACATCAAACCCCCATGACACATGTATACCTATGTAACAAACCTGAACATCCTGCATATGCACCCTTGAACTTAAAAGTTAAAAAATAAAATAAGATCTCTGATCTATTTTGATCTAGTGTGCATGGCAAGAGATCAGGGCCTAAATTCGTCTTTTCACCTATAGATACCAATTGAAAATCTATCCTTCCTCCCATTTAATTTCCTAGGCATTATTTTAAAAAATAACTTACCAAAAATGTAAAGGTTTATTTCTAGATTCTCAATTCCATCCTACTGATCTATAAGTTCATTTTTGTGCCAGCACCATCTTGTCCTGGAAACTGTAGTTTATAGTTGTTCTCTGCTTTATAGTATAGGCGATCCTTGGACAACACTGATATAAGCTGTGCAGGTTCACTCATACATGGATTTTCTGCCACATCTGAAATAACAAGACCAATCTCTCCTCTCCCTCCTCCTCAGCCTACTCAATGTGAATACGATAAGGATGAAGACATTTATAATGATCCATTTTCACTTAATGACTAGTAAACATATGTTCTCTTCTTTATAATTTTCTTAAAAACATTTTCTTTTCTCTACATTACTTGATTGTAAAATACAGTATATAATACATATAACAGTCAAAATATGAGCTAATCAGCTGTTTATACAATTGGTAAGGCCTCCAGTCTACAACAGGCTATCAGTAGTTAGATTTTTGGGGATTCAAACATTATACATACATTTTCTATTGTGCACGGCGTCTGTGCCCTTAACTCCCACATTGTTAGAGGGTCAACTGTACATTTTGAAACTGGAAATTTTATGCCCTCCAACTTCAATTTTCTTGAAAAATTGTTTTGGTTATTTGAAGTCTTCTGAATTTTCATATAAATTTTAGAATCAGTTCACCAAATTCTATAGCCTACTGGGATTTTGACTCAAATTGTGTTGAATCTGTAGATCACACTGGAGAGAATTATCATCTTAATAATACTGAATCTTCCAGTCCATGAACATGAAATGTCTCTTCACTTATTTGGATCTTCTTTAATGTCTCTCAGTAATGTTTTATAGTTTTCAGCATATCTCTTACTTTTTTGTTAAATATATTCAGAAGTATTTTCTTCTTATCAATGTTTGTTCATTGTCTTTATGCTTTATTTTCAAGTTAGTGATCCACAGTAGTCAATCTTATTTGTGTATTCTGTATTTGTGAATTTGCCTGCCTGCTAAAATTTAATACAATCCCAAAGTCAATACATAGAGTGCTTTTATTCTCATTTGTGGACATGCACAGAGTGGCAAAAAAATTGAGCCACTGAACACTCATGTTCCCAACTGAGGTTTAACAAAGCCACACTCTTCCATCTTGTTTCACTTCTCATACTGTAAACAAGTGTCCTTTTGCTCAATTTTGCTCTTTATGTTGGTAATTTTGTGGTTATAAATGTTCCCCAAATATAATAATGCTGAATTGCTGTTTAATGTTCCTAAGCACAAGTCTGCCATGTGTCTTACGAAGAAAATATGTGTGTTAGATAAGCTTTGTTCAGGCACAAGTCATAGTGCTTTTGGCCATGAGTTCAATGTTAATAAATCGTGTGTGTATGTGTGTGTGTGTATGTGTGTGTGTATAGGAAAATGCCTTGTTTTATTGCACTTCACTTTGTTGCTCTTTGAAGATACTGTTTTTTACAAATTGAAGGTTTGTAACAGCCTTGGGTTAAGCAGGTCTATCATCACCATTTTCCCAAAAGAATATGTTCACTTTGTGTCTCTGTATCACGTTTTGCTAATTTTCACAATATTTTAAATTTTTCATTATTATATCTGTTAGGGTGATCTGTATTTAGTGATCTTTGATGTTACTATTATAATTGCTTTGGGGAACCACAAAACACACAAACCACACTTACTCGATAAATGTATGTGTGGTGACTGCTCCAGTAACTGGCCGTTCCTTGTTTTCCTCTTGTCGGGCCTCCCTATTTCCTGAGACACGATAATATGAAGATTAGGCTAATTAAGAACTTTATAATGATCTGTAAGTGTTAAAGTGAAAGAAAGTCACATGTCTCTCACTATCAATCAAAAGCTAGGAATGATTAGGCTTAGTGAGCAAAGCATGTCAAAAGCTTAGATAGACCAAAAGCTAGACCTCTCGCCCCAGTTAGCCAAGTTGTGAATGCGAAGAAAAAGTTCTTGAAGAAAGTTAACAGTGCTACTCCAGTGAACACATCACAAATGTCTAAAAAGCAACATAGCCTTATTGCTGATATGGAGACAGTTTTAGTGATCTGGATAGAAGCTCAAACCAGCCACAACATTCCCTTAATCCAAAGCCTAATCCAGAGGAAGGCCCAAACTCATAGAATTTATGAAGGCTGAAAGAGATGAGGAAGCTGCGGAAGAAAACTTTGAAGCAGCAGAAGTTGGTTCATGATGTTTAAAGAAAAAAAGCCATCTCCATGACATACAAGTGGAAGGTGAAGCAGCAAAGTGCTGATGGAGAACCTGCAGCAAGTTATCTAGAAGATCTAGCTAGAAGTATTAATGAAAGTGGCTACACTTAACAACAGATTTTCAATGTAGATGAAACAGTCTTATGTTGGAAGATGATGCCATCTAAGACTTTCATAGCTAGAGAGGTTCCTGGCTTAAAAGTTTCCAAGGACAGGCAGACTCTGTTATTAAGATAATGCAGCTGATGACCTATGTTAAGTCGAAGCCAATGCTCATTTACCATTCTGAAAATCCTAGGGCCCTTAAGAATTATACTAAGTCTATTTTTCCTGTGCTGTATACATGGAACCACAAAACCTAGATGACAGCACATCCGTTTAGAGCATGGTTTACCAAATATTTGTTGAGACCTACTGCTCAGTAAAAAAAGATTTCTTTCAAATATTACTGCTCATTGATTTACAATGCACCTAGTCACTGAAGGGCTCTGAAGGAGATACACAAGGAGATGAATGTTGTTTTCATGCCTGCTAACACAACATTAATTCTTCAGCTCATGCATCAAAGAGTAATTTTGACTTCCAAGCTTTATTGCTTAAAAAATACATTTCATAAGGCTAGAACTGCTGTAGATAGTGATTCCTCTGATAGATCTGGGCGAAGTAAATTAAAAACCTTCTGGAAAGGAGTCACTATTTTAGATGCCATTAAGAAAATTTGTGATTCATGGGAGCTGGCCAAAAGATCAGTATTAACAGAAGTTTGAAAAAAGTTGATTCCAACCCTCATGGATGATTTCGAGGGGTTCAAGACTTCAGTGGAGTAAGTAAATGAAGATGTGTAAAATTAAAAGAGAACTAGAATTAGAAGTATAACTATGTAACAAACCTGCATGTTCTGCACATGTGTCCCATTTTTAAGAAGAAATAAAGAAAAAGAAAAGAAGCGGAGCTTGAAGATGTAACTGAATTGCTGCAATATGACAGTAAAACATTAATGGATGAGGAGTTACTTCATACGGATGAGCAAATAAAATAGTTTCTTGAGATGGAATCTACTGCTGTGAAGATGCTGTGAGCAAGGTTACAATGACAACAAAGGATTTATAATAGTATAAAAAAATTTAGTTGATAAAGCAGCAGTAGGGCTCGAGGATTGACTCCAATTTTGAAGGAAGTACTACTATGGGTAAAGTGCTATCAAAAAGTATGTCATGCTACAGAGAAACCTTTAATTAAAGGAAGATTCAATCAATGCGGAAAACTTTATTGCTGTCTTATTTTAAGAAATTGCCACAATCTCCCCAACTATCAACAACCACCACCCTAATCAGCCAGTAGCCAACAGCATTGAGATAAAATTCTCAACCAGCAAAAAGATTACTCACTGAAGGCTCAGATGATTATTACCATTTTTTAGTAATGAAGTATTTTAAATGATGTACATTGTTTTTAAAACGTAATGCTATTGCACACTTAATAGACTACAGTATAGTATAAACATAACTTTTATATATATGCAGAAACCCAAAAGTTTGTGTGATTCACTTTATTGTGATATTTGCTTTATTGCAGTGGTCTGGAACCAAATCTACAGGTATGCCTATATGTATATGCCTATATTTAAGACTTTATGAGATATATATAATCTGTTTAAGATACTCATACAAAAAGTTACCTATTGATCAGTTAATGAAAATGTGACCATAGGCTCATAGGAACATAAACCAGTACTACCACTAGGACCAATGGTTCAATATTTGTTAATTCAGCGTTTGTGACTTTACAGATATCTGTTGAAACATAACAAAATGTAACTGTACATGGAGATAAAATTTATTTCTGCATATTGCATATCTTATTGTGTGACTTTGCCAAAGTTGTTTATTACTAGTAGATTGTATGTGTAGTGGTGGGGGACATGTATTCCTTATCATTTAATATACATACAGGATTATATTTTCTGTAATTAAAATACTTTTACTCTTCTTTTAAATATTGATATACTTTATTTTTCATTTTTTTCTTGCTTGATTGCTTGACAAGAACATCCAGTGCAGTGTTGAATTGAGTAGCAAGAGTGAATATCCTTGTCTTGTTTATGACATTAGAAAGAAGGCATTCTGTCAACTTTAAGTAGATGTTAACTGTAAGTTTTTCATATATATCCTTTATAAGGTAAAGGAAGTTTCCTTCTATTACAAGTTTGTTGAGAGCTTTTGTCATAAAAGAGTTTTGAATTTTATCAAATATCTTTCTCCGTTTATTGAGATGATTACATTTTTTATATTTACTCTATGTGGCATATTACTTTATTGATTTTCAGATGTTAATCTATCTTGCATTGTTTAATAAATCCCATTTGTATTATGGTGCATAATCATTTCTATATGCTACTGGATTCTATTTAGTTATATCTTTTGATAATTTTTTCACATGCATTAGTAGGGGATATTGGTCTATGGTTTTCTTTCCTTGGAATGTCTTTGCTTGGCTTTGGTATTGGGGTAACACTGGCTTCATAGAATGAGTTGGGAAGTATTCTTTTCTCCTATGTATACTGAAAGAATTTAATGAAGATTGGTAATATTTATTCTTTAAATTCTTGATAGAACTCACCAGTGACGCCATGTAGTCTCAGTTTTTCTTTATTGGAAACTTTTTAATTTCTTCACTTGTTATGGTTCTATTCATATTTTCTATTTGTTTTTGAATTAGTTTTGGGTTATCTCATCTAAATTGCCTAATTTAATGACTTATTATTGTTCATCATATTCTCTTACAGTATTTTTAAAGTTTCTGTAGGATAGGCAGTTGTACCCCTTATTTCAATCCTGATTTTAATAATCTTGGCCTTCTCTTTTTTTCTTCAAGAGTCATAAAGATTTTTAATTTTGCCAATCTTTCCAGAAACACAACTTTTGCTTTCAATGATTTTCGTCTTTTACTTCATTGATTTATACTCTATTTTTAAAATTATTTTCTTCCTTCTGCTTGCTGTGAATCTCGCTGGTTCTTCTTTTTCTAGTCTCTTAAAATAGAAACTACCCAATTGGTTTTTAGATATTCTTTCTTTCTTTACTATACAGGTAATTACAGGCCAATATTTATAAAATTATTTATTTATTTCAAATCTTCCACTCTATAGATGAAACCTTCACCACTTCGTCACTCAGGAAGCAACAGGAGAAACATGAGAAGCTGGGATGAAAACACCATTTTGAGGAATCTGTTTGTCTGATGCTGGTCAGAACCTATTACCAGAGGAAGCTTCCTTATTTAATCCCCTTAGGACAGGGGCCATTTGAGAGAAAGAGAATAAAAACAAACAAAACACTTAGGCAATATGACAGTTTTAGTGGACAACCCTAGGTTGGCCCCATGATACAGAACCACTGGTGTTCCTAACTGTGTAATTCCCTCTTCTTGAGTCTGGGCAGAATTTTTGACTTCCTTCTAGCATACACAATATTGCAAAGGTGAAAGTATTTTGCAGATGCAGTAGTCCCAAATCAGTTGGGTTTGAGTTAATCATAAGGGAGATTATTGTGAGTGGATCTGACTTAAGCAGGTCAAAGCCATTAAAAGAGGAACTGAGCTCTCCTTGTTACCAAGAAATTATCCTAGCTGGTTTGATTATTAGTAGCCCATGTGGCAGGAAACTTAAGATGTTCTCTAGGAGCTTAGGGTGATCTCCAGCCAACAGCCAGCAAAAAGCCAGGACCCTCAGCCTTAGAGTTACTATGAAAACAATTCTGTCAACAACTTGAATGATCATGGAAGCAGACTCTTTAAGTCCCTGGATGAGAATGCAGCCTGGTCAACACCTTGACTGCAGCCTGTGAGACCTTGAAGAGAGGACCCAGATAAACTCTGCCCAGGCTCCCGACTCATAGAAACTGCATGTGAATTATAAACGTGTATTATTTTAAGCCACTAAGTGTGTGATAATTTGCATGGGCCAACAGCCAACTAATAATAAAATTTTATATGTAGTGAGATAGGGTTACAAGGGTTACAAATTTAGAAACCAATGTAAATCTTATTAGACTGAAATGCTGCAAAAGCCTATTTTGCCAGAGTTTCTCTGCTTGCTTTGTGGAGGATGCAGAAGACTGACGGAGGCCAAGGTAGGGATGGAGGGGCACATAATCACTAATCTTTCCATGATTGTGACTATGCACACCTGCATTTCTGGAGTCCACTCTGCCTGTAGTGTTAGAGCAATTAGAAAAGCAAAAAGAGAAGATGAGAAAAAAAACCTTAACAATGGACATGGAAAATATCATAGAAAAAGGACATGACCTGTAATCCCAGCACTTTGGGAGGCCAAGGCAGGTGGATCATGAGGTCAGGAGTTCGTGACCAGGCTGGCCAACATGGTGAAACCCCATCTCTACTAAAAATACAGAAATTAGCTGGGCGTGGTGGCAGGCACCTGTAATCCCAGCTACTTGAGACATTGAGGCAGGAGAATCACTTCAACCTGGGAGGTGGAGACTGCCGTGAGCCAAGATTGTGCCATTGCCCTCCAGCCTGGGTGACAGAGTGAGACTCTGTTTAAAAAAAAAAAAAAAGAAAAGAAAAAGGACATGAACACTGCATGAAGAGTAAAGGACAATTTATTAAAACTAGAGCTGAGAATCTAACTTTTGGGAAAGTCACCGAGATAGAGACATCTAAATTAAATAAGCAGAGATAACTACCTCACAAGTCTTAGGTTTCTAAATAACTAGAAAAGCCTTTTCATGTGGGTTCAGCAAATAAAAGTGGAGAAAAGTCAAAATTCAGGTGAGAAGGTCACCTATATCTGAAAGATATAGAGCTAATAATTTTGACTATTCAGAGCATTTTTTAAAATGACTACAAAGTTTTCTTAATGTTTAAAATTCTTCTATTGGTAAGGGTCTTTGACATAAAAAATATACATTGAGAAGTAGAAAACTTCTGAGAGGTCCTGATACAGTAAAGAAATTATTAAATTATAAAACTGGCTGTGACACACATGCATGCACACACACACACACACATCAATTTAAGGATTTTCTCTTTGATAATTTGACCCCTTTGTTCAAACAAGCCTATGACAGCAGGCTGATGGACCTGCATAAAAAGCCACATCTGAGGGATTTGAGCCTCAGGGAGCAGCTGCCTGGGGAGGTTTTTGTTTAGACCTAAAGCACTGTGGGAGGAAAATTCTTACTCTGCAGACAGTAATAATTTGCAGTATCATTAGCTTCCACAGGATTAATTGTGAGGGTGAAATCGGTCCCAGACCCACTGCCGCTGAACCTGGCTGGGACCCCAGTGTCTTTATTGGATGCTTGGTAAATCAGGAGTTTAGGAGGTTGTCCTGGTTTCTGCTGATACCAGTGAATTAAGTTTATTCCCAAGAAACTGACACTCTCACTGGCTCTGCAGGTGATGGTGGCCCTCTGTCCTGGAGACACGGCCAAGGAGGCTGGAGACTGGGTCAGCACAATGTCCCCATTGCAGCCTGAAATGATAAAGACAGATAAATTATATCAGATATACTGAGACTGTCCCCATGTAGGCCATGCATTGGTGACACTTGTAACCACAGTCATATGCAACATCTTGAGTAACCAGAAAACAAAAGATAACTGGGGAACTTACAACCTACAATGAGTGCCCTAAATCCAACAACCAAGAATCCAGAGACACAAAAAACAATGATGGCCACATGAGTTTGCCCGATGTTTCCCTATACCCCCTCACTTGGAGCCCAGAGCAGGAGGATCCACAGCAAAGGAGCCCCGGACCCTATCTCTGAGAGCTGAACTAGAGGCTGCTCCTCAGGGGCCCTGACAAGCTGTCTTTAAGGATGCTCTGAGAAGCTTGGACCGTTGTCTAATGGCCCAACATGCAAATCAGCTCAGAAAAGTTTGAGTTGATGCTCAAAGGGGACACCTGCTCTTATTTCACCCAGTGGGAGTTGGGGCTAACAAAACATTTCCTAGGGTAGCTCAAGCATGTCCCAAGGGATTTGGTGACCTTTTCTATTGGATCTTTGCCTGCCAGTCTACTTGAGATGCCATGTGGAGGAGTGTACTGGGGCTGCCCTGCCATTTGGATATAAGTTATTTCAGAAATACTTTTGATTTTTCAAAATTCATATTTTATATCATTATCAATAATAATGCATTTTAAGTTATCATTGTCAGAAAGAGAAAGCAAGTTGGGTGGGTTTTATGAAACTGGTTCATATGGGAAGGAGAAGTTTGTTCCACTGAGTAAGTGGTATTTAAAACAAGTCTATAAATGTTATCATGATCTGGAAAGGATGAAGGGGGTGAGCATGAAACCTTGATGAAGACTGGTAACCTAAACTAATCAAGGAACTTGCCTCATTGTGGATAAGGCAGGGTCTCTCCATCTGCTTAGTCCTGAAACCAATGCTGTATCCACCAGAGGCCCTCAGAGGCAGAAGAGTCATTGTAGTGGATCCTATTCAGAGTGGAGAATAACCATCCCCCAACTCCCACTGGTTCCATCTGCCTTGCCACTGGAAGCTGGGGCTAAGGAAGTCCATCTTCTCCTACAGCAAGATATGGTGTCCACACCAGTCAGCTGGCACTCTCACCCATCCATAGGTGAAGGTTTTCCCCCAACAAAACCAACTTAAAATGTCTGGAAGAAGGGACTGCATCTTCAAATGTGCAGACACCAACACAAGGCTACAAGGAACATGAAAAGTCAGGGAACATGATGCCAACCATCACTTCTCTATGAGCTCCACTCCAGGACTCTATTCTGTTACTTGTGATGGAGTTCAGGGCCAGAGAGGTCCCACTATACTGCTTCCAACTGTGCGCTTGGGTCCCTGATTACTCAGTTATATTTTTCATTGATGTTAACATGCATATTAGCTCTAGTTAACTAAAAGTTTTCTTTTATCACTCTGGGAATTGTTTTTATGCTTTTAAATTTTTATTTTATTTGATTTCAACTAAAATAAACTAGTGGCTTCCCAAAGGATCTAGGTAGAACTAAAATAATGGTCTTTCTACACCTTAAATCTACATTTTTATAAACAGCTGAAAATGAACAGCTGAGAATTACAGCTACACCTTAGGGCAAAGGAGATGAAGAGCGGGAACTTAGATTAGTGTGGTGAGTTTGAGTGGAAAGTACTATACCCTCTTGTTTTTCCTAAATGATTAAATTCTGCTTACCTAGCTCTATTCCCCTAGAAGAAAGCAGGAATAATGGAATTTGAGTATTCCTTGAAAAAACAAAGAACATTTTCAAGAAATTTAAGAAGTTTTCAAACTTTAACCTTTCAGATGTCTAGTAGATATCTCTGGAAAACAGGGCAAGCATCAATTTGTGGATTGAGAAGAAAGATAAAATATTTCAGAGGAGCCAATATGCCATGAGAAAAGTCCTGAAAAACTCCCCCTGAACCCTTGGAACTTTTGTGCCATGATTAGGGTTGGGACAATCCCTGAGCTTTGCCCCCTCCTACAACTCTGGGTGGAGGAGGACAGAAGTAGAGGTGGGAAGTAAAAGGGGTGAAATTTGCATTTTTTTATTAGGCCACCTAGATGACCGATCATTAAGAAGGCTCTAGAAAATAGAGACAAACTTGACCACTTTAAGTTGTTCACTGTCCCATCCTCTGTCTTCTACTCTTTCTCCAGCAACCAAGTGATAACTACTACACACAACCTGCAAGGATACAGTCCTCAGACTCAGATCTGGGGTGGAGGTAGGGAAGGTAATAATAAAATGCACCCACATGTGTTTGGAGCAATCAAGAAATATTGAACTATACCATATTTTGGCAAATAAAAGACTTGGGTAAAGCAACCCCATCAAGGATAAGTAATTTGAAATGAAATAATACTGAAAATTACAAATATACCATGGGAGAGGGCTATATGACTGACAAAAATACATAGCAAGTAAATAATAAATTAGATAACTCTTCTGAAAATGATGTACTCTAGTAAAACAAAAGTATTTTCTGCAGCAAATGATTGTAAATTTAGAAGACACACCAAAAAAAAAAAAAAAAAGAAAAACACTTAAATTTATTTTCAAGGATGAGATAGCAAGAAAATAATAGGTAAAATAAATGTGTCTGGTTACAGGTACAGGATTAAAAAAGTAAAGCAGAACTAGTAATTTTAACATAGAAAAAATGTAATAAGGCAAAGAAATAAATGGAGTCAAAGACACATAAGGTAAGCTTAGTAAAGGGATAAAGTTCAGAAAAAAAGGCAAAAAAAA
Source organism: Homo sapiens (assembly GCF_000001405.40). Lineage (NCBI taxonomy): Eukaryota > Metazoa > Chordata > Mammalia > Primates > Hominidae > Homo > Homo sapiens. The sequence goes on from NC_000002.12 coordinate 88,918,147, forward strand.
TTACAGATAATTATAGAAAGGATAGAAAATAGGCACCCAATATACATGGATAATTGATGTGTTTTAATTATGGAATTTAATAAAATGGCATATGAAATAAAATGTAATAACATAATGACCAGAATGTCAATATGTTTAAGTGAAGATATGTTAAAACACCCCACCATAACATATATGTGAATTACATATTTATTAAATACAGAAATATTAAAAGATAAATCTATAACAAAGAATTTATATGAATATATATCTGACTTTGTATTTAAAGAGACTATTTATAAGCCAGAAGAAAAAGGAATTCTAAAAGAAACAAAAAAATATAAAAAGAAAGCAACAGAAGCCTAATATAAAGTTTCTAAGTAGAAGTTTTAAATCAATGTCAAACACAAAATTATACACTGAAGAAAATCAATACATGTAAAAATAAAAGTAAACTATAAAAATCAAAGACATCTCACAAAATGATGAAGAAAGCAAATTTAAATTAGAAAAATAATCCATAAAATGAAAAATTAATAAATTGGACCTCATCTAAATTGAAGTTTTTGATCTGAAAAAAAATCTCTATTAAAGGGATGTAATAAATTGAAAGTGGACTTGTGTAATTTAGCAAATGAACTCTTGAGCAATTATCTCAGAGAAATAAAACATTATTATACAGAAACTTGTACACAAATGTTCACAGAAGCTTTATTTATAGTAGCTAAATCAAGGAAATTACCCAAATGTCTTTCAGTAAGTAAACAGTTAAATAAACTGGGGTAATCCGTATTATAGAATACATTCAGAAATAAAAAGCAATAAACAATTGATATACCCAACTTTGATGAGCCTGAAGGGTATTACGCCAGTGAAATAAGCCAATCTCGAAATGGTACTTATTGCATGATGTCTTTTATGTGGTGTTTGCCAAGGGTTAAGGATGGGGTAGAGAAGGTGAGTGCGGCTATAAAAGGGTAACACCAGGAGTCGTGTGGTGATGATTTAGCTGAATTTCTTGATTACAGTGGTGGTTATAGAAGGTCACATAAATGATTCATTCACATCGAGCTACACACACATAAACACAATCACATAAACAAACAAAAATTGTGTGCGTGCGTAACTTGTGAAAACTGAATAAGTTCTATGGATGACACCAATGTTAATTTCCTGTCTTTGGTATTGTACTATAGTTTGAAAGATGTCAACACTGGAGGAAGTTGCCAAGATGTATGAGACTTCTGTATATTTCTTTGCAACTTCCTGTGAACCTATAACTATGTTATAGTTAAAAAATAAAAAGTAAAAAAAATCTTAAGCTTTATTACTTGAAAACCTTGAAAAAAATGAATTGCCCTTTTTCTATCAAATGATTGGCAAAAAAACTTAAAGCCTTATGCCTCCCTCTGCTGGTGGGAATGGAGAGGGATTGAAAAGCCATACTTTGGTGGTTGCAATGTGGATTTCTACTGTTTCCTAAGTAATCTCTGCTCACTATTGGAGTGAAATTTAAAATACGTACACTTGTTGGCCCAAACTTACTACTAAGAAAATTGCCTATAGAACTAATAACTCCGTGTTGTCTAAGGAAACATCTGAATGCCTATCAGTAAGAGATGGCTAAATATATTGTGCTATTTTCATATTATGAAAAATTATGGCTGCCTCTGCCTCTGCCCCTCTGCCCCTCTGCCCCTCTGCCTCTCTGCCTCTGCCTCTCTGCCTCTGCCTCTCTGCCTCTCTGCCTCTCTGCCTCTCTGCCTCACTGCCTCTGCCTCTGCCTCTGCCTCTGCCTCTGCCTCTCGCTCTCCCTCTCTGTACGGTGTCCCTCTGATGCCCAGCCGAGGCTGGACTGTACTGCCGCCATCTCGGCTCACTGCAACCTCCCTGCCTGATTCTCCTGCCTCAGCCTGCCTAGTGCCTGGGATTGCAGGCGCGCGCCGCCACGCCTGACTGGTTTTCGTATTTTTTGGTGGAGACGGGGTTTCACCGTGTTGGCCGGGCTGGTCTCCAGCTCCTGACCACGAGTGATCTGCCAGCCTCGGCCTCCTGAGGTGCCAGGATTGCAGCCGGAGTCTCGCTCACTCAGTGCTCAATGTTGCCCAGGCTGGAGTGCAGTGGCATGATCTCGGCTGGCTACAACCTCCACCTCCCAGCCGCCTGCCTTGGCCTCCCAAAGTGCCGAGATTGCAGCCTCTGCCCGGCTGCCACCACGTCTAGGAAGTGAGGAGCGTCTCTGCCTGGCCGCCCATCATCTGGGATGTGAGGAGCCCCCTCTGCCTGGCCGCCCAGTCTGGGAAGTGAGGAGCGCCTCTTCCCGGCCGTCATCCTGTCTAGGAAGTGAGGAGTCTCTGCTCGGCCGCCCATTGTCTGGGATGTGGGGAGCGCCTCTGCCCCGCCGCCCCATCTGAGATGTAAAGAGCTCCTCTGCCCGGCCGTGACCCCGTCTGGGAACTGAGGAGTGTCTCTGCCCCGCCGCCACCCCGTCTGGGAGGTGAGGAGCGTCTCTGACCGGCCGCCCCGTCTAAGTGAGGAGCCCCTCCGCCCGGTAGCCGCCCAGTCTGGGAAGTGAGGAGAGTCTCCGCCCTGCAGCTGCCCCGTCCGGGAGGTGGGGGGCAGCCCCCGCCCGGCCAGCCGCCCCGTCTGGGAGGTGGGGGGCGCCTCTGCCCGGCCGCCACCCCGTCTGGGAGGTGTACCCAACAGCTCATTGAGAACGGGCCATGATGATGATGGCAGTTTTGTCGAATAGAGAAGGGGGAAATGTGGGGAAAAGAAAGAGAGATCAGATTGTTACTGTGTCTGTGTAGAAAGAAGTAGACATAGAAGACTCCATTTTGTTCTGTACTAAGAAAAATTCTTCTGCCTTGAAAAAAAAAAAACAGAAAAATTATGCAATTTTTGAAAGAAAGGGTTAATTTCATACAATTGATCTGTTTATTATACAATATCAAGTGTAAAAGCAGAAATACAAAAATGTTTTTATAACACGTAATCCAGTGTTTGAGAACCTACAATAATAACCACAGAACTATAGCATACACAATATAGTAAATTTTTTTCATATATTAAATATGATTCACGTTTCTTGGGGTGACTATAGTTTTCTCACTAATAGAAGAACAGTAAGTTGATTAAACCAAAAATCATGACACAATTATATAGGGAGGAAGTCAGAGCACTCTGTTCTTAAGCTCTGCTCTAGGGAGAAACTATTTAACCAGCCTAATGTGCTATATACAGTTTTATTATTATCTAACTGACTGGGGAAAGAGAAATACTCAACTCCATCCAGCACTAGCATCCAGTCCCACCTACATGGGTGGAGAAAGAAGCAAAGAGACACTTGTGATGTTTACAGTCCACAGACATAAGCTCACTAAAGCACTGAACCCTAAGCATAGAAGTATAGAATGTTTCTCTTCCCCTACACCTTACCCCCATATTATTAAAGGCCTATTTCTAGCACTTCCCTTCACCCAATATATTTTATCTGGCTATCAAGTAAAAATTATAAGGCATAATAAAAGGCAAAAAGACATGGTTTGAAGATAACAAGCAAGCTTCGGAACCAGACATGGCAGGGATGTTGTAATTTTTAATAGAGGAGCAATGTAAACTGAAAGATGAAGATCCCAAGAAAAAGCAAAAAAAAGAAAATGCTAGAGATTAAAAAACAAAACTAAACAGAACACTGTAACAGAAAGGACTGGGTATGGCTGGAAAAACAAAGTCTGATCTTGAGAGTATATTAATAGAAATCTCCAAAACTGAAGAGAAAAGAGAATAAAGACTGAAAACCAAAGGCCCAAGAACTGTGAGACATATACAAAAGGTGTTACATTGTTTAACTCTTTTTCTCTTTAGAAAAAAAAAAAAGTGCAGTTTGCTGCCAGCATTCATATAATTTTACATAAACACACTCTTTGAGGCTGAAGCAAATCTGACTGATTTTCAATGTGAAATAAAATATAAAATCCGTTCTTGGAATTATTTCTAAACAGAACTTGTCTCTAATCCTAATATAACAGAAATGTATATGATAATCAGTATTTAATAATTTTTTGTGTGGTAAATTTCAAAGCACAGAACAACATAAAGCGGAATATCACATTCCACACAAAAATATCACGTTTCTCTTCAGATTGTCTTGCTAGGCTCGTCTTTGCACAAGCAGCAAACTTTGCAGTGACCAGTTGGATTTCGCTCCCCTGATGTTGGTGATATCTCTTGGGGAAAGGTCTTCCATACAGGTGAAGAGGTATGACATCATCAGAGCAAGGATGACCTGGAAGACTTTGCTGCCCTGGCCTGTGATGCTTTAAGAGCATTTTTTCAATCAACGTCAGTCTGAAGTTTATATGGCTAATTGTGTGCTCAGGATTGTCCTTCTTGAACAGGGTGTAGAGGTTCATTCAGCACTGTAATGTTTAGAAGGTGGTGAAAGAATTTCTTAGACCGAATCTTGTGCCCTTTGAAGAAGTGAGCATCAAATCAGCTGAGTCCACTGCTCCCATCTTCTCACTATAGTCCACAGTGGCATATGACTTCTTAGTTTTCTCTCCATTTCTGTTGTCTACTTCAATCACAGTATCATTGTGGAATGTTGACCACATTCTCACCTTCTTCTTTTTGAGGTAAACACTGTAGCTGCAAGTGCTGCCAGCAAGTATTCTTGGGCAAAAGGTAAATGGGTTAATGGACATGAAGAAAAAGGAGGAGGACGGGGTGGAGGCGTGGTAAACAAAACCATATTGAGTGAAAATTTTTCTAAATTAATGTCAGATATCGAACCACAGATCCAAGAAGATCAGGAAACACCAAGCAGTATAACTGCCAAAATAAGCAAATAAGCAAAACAAACAAACAAACAAAAACAAAAAACACTTGAGCATATAATTTTTAAACTATAGGAAGTCAAAAACAAAGAAAAAGTATTGAAAAGGAGACAGAGAGAGAGAGAGAGCATGAACATAAGAGAAACAAACCTTTCATGTAGAGGAGCAAATATAAATATTGCATCCAACTTCTTCTGTGAAACAGGAAGCATTCTTCACTTCAATGCAAGCAAGAGGAGAGTAGAGTGAAGTATGTCGTGTTGAGAGAAGAAAACCACCAACCTAGGATTCTGTTTTCTATGAAATCATCCTTCAAAAGGAAATGATAAATGATGGCTTTCTCAGACAAACAAAAATTCAGAAAAATTTGTTGCCAGTAAACATGCTTTGTAATAAATAGAAAAAGAAAAGTTCTTTTGAGAGAAGGAATATAGTATAGGTCAGAAATTTGAATTTACATAAAAGAAGAGCATCAAGAAGAAATAAGTGAGGGAAAAATTAAGGAACATATTTTTCTTAACTGATATAATTTTTTTCAAAATAATAGTAATGTGATTATTATGCATGCTGATGTATACATTTACATATATAAATACACACGTATGCACATATATGCATACTTATTTATACTTACATATAAGTGAAATGAATGACAATAATGCAACAAATGGAAAAAATTAGGAATACTTTGTTATTATCAGGTACTCACATGACCTATGAAATGGTATAGGAGTATTTGAAAGTAGGCTTGGATTAGTTGTAAATGTATATTGAAAACTTCAGAGCAACACTAAAAGAGGTTAAAAAATCTAATATGCTAATAAAGGAGAGAAAATAGAAGCGCATAAGATGCTAAATTAAAACCATAAAAAAGCAGAAACAAGTAGAAGATAAACATAGAAAAAAAACACACCAAACAATAAATCGAAAACAGTGAAAGTGTGGTAGACATTAATCCAAGGCATTGATAATTAGTTGGAGCATCAAGTGTCTAAATGTACAAATTAAAAGATATGTTATTAGAGTGTATCAAAAAGGAAGATTCAACTATATGGTGTCTATAAGAAACCTAATTAAAATATTAAAGCACATATAGATTGAAAAGTATATGAATGGAGAAAGATATACCATGCTAATATTAATCAAAAGAAAGCACAAGTAGCTATATTAATTTTGGAAAAGAAGATCTCAAAGCAAGGAAATTTATCATGGACAGAAAGAGCATTACATATGAAAAAGGGGCCAATTCTTCAAGAAGACAAAGCAGTGCTTAACATATGCGAGCTTAACAGCAGACTGTCAAAATAAATGTGGCAAAAACTGATAGAACTACAAGAAGGTACAGCTGAGTCCACGATTACAGTTAAAGACTTTAACACTTCACTATCAGAAATGGGTAGATCCAGCGGGCTGAAAACCCATAAAAACAGTCAAACTCAACAACACTATCAATGAACTATGTATAATTGCCATGTGTACACTATTTTGTCCAAACACATATTTTTTCAAGATCACATGGAATATTCTCTGTGATAAACTTAATGCCAGGTCATAAAACACACAGTAACGTATTTTAAAAAAATAGAAATCATTCAGTGCCTTCTCTCAAACCACAATGGTATTAAAATACAAATCAATACCAAAATGTAGACAATACCCAAATATGTGGAGATTAAACAGCACACTTCCAAATAACAAAAGAGTTAAAGAAGAAATCTCAGGAGAAATTTAAGAAGATTTTGAACTAAATGGAAATAAAAACATGACTCATCAATATTTGTGGAATACAGCGAAAGAGGTGCTGAGAGGGAAATTTATATTATCAAATGTATAAATTAGAAAGAAGAAAAATCTAAAATCAATAATCTAAGCTTTCACTGTATGAAAGTAGAAAAAGAAGATAAAATTAAATCTAAATTAGGCAGAAGAAAGGAAATAAATATTAGAGCAGATATCAAAAAAATTGAAAGCAGGAAGTCAACAGAAAAAAAAACATTAAAAGCTAATACTATAAAAATACAAATAACATTGATAAGCCTCAAGCCAAGCTAAGGAAACACAGAAAGCACACACATTGCTAACAGCAGAACTGAAAGAGGGGACATCACTACAGATCCTATGAAGCTTAAAAGGATACTGTACGACTATTATAAACAATGCTATGATCCAAACTTGATAACTTTGATGAAATGGATGAAGTCCTTGAAAGAAGCAATCTACCAAAACTAACTAAAAGAAATAGACAGTATAAACTGCCCTATATATATTTTATATATTTAATAAACTGAATAAATAACTAACAACCTTTTTAAAAATAAAGCACCAGATTCAGATGGATTCAATGGTGAATTCTACCAAATATATGAGGAAGAAATTCTTCAAATTCTCCATCTATTTCACAAGATAGAAGCAAAGGGCATACCTCCTAAGTCATTCTGTGAGGGAAATACTAGTCTACTAACAGAACCAGGCAAAGACATTACAAGAAAATAGAACTACAAATATTTCTCATGAACATAGATGCAAAAATCCTCCAAAAAGTATTAGCAAATCGACTATGACAATGTATAAAAAAACACTATACAGTATAGTATGCCAAGTTGGATTTATGCTAGGTATGAAAGGCTGATTCAGTAGTCAAAAATTAATTGATTTAATCCAATGTTAATTCTTGTGCATCCAACACAATTGAGTATCCAGAGAATGGGATATTATTTATAGCCTAAATAAACAAGCTATCAAACCACGAAAGAACATGGAGGAAATTTAAATGCATATTACTAAGTGAAAAAGTCAATCTGAGAAGACTGCATATTATATTATTTCAACTATATGATGTTCTGTAAAAGACAAAATCATAGAGACAGTGAAAGGATCAGTGGTAGTTAGGGATTTGGGAGGGTGGGGGATGAATGGGGGAGGTGAACAGAGAATTTTTAGGGCAGTGAAACTGTTATGTCTGATACTACAAAGATGGATATTTCCTATTATACATTTTTCAAAACCTATAACATGTATGACATCATAAGTGAACCCTAATGTAAACTAAGAAGCCCTAATCTAAACTCTGGGTGATAATGTTGTGTCAATGTAGGTTCACTATGGTGGGGGATGTTGATAACTGGGGAAGCTTTGCCTGTGTCAGAGAAAGATACGAGAATCTGCACTTTCTTCTCAATTTTGCTGTGAACCCAAAACTACTCTAAAAATGAGCTCTTTAAAAACATAACTTCCTCCCCTGCCCGGCCAGCCGCCCCGTCCGGGAGGTGGGGGGCAGCCCCCGCCCGGCAGCCACCCAGTCTGGGAGGTGGGGGGCGCCTCCGCCCGGCCGCCCCATCTGGGAAGTGAGGAGCCCCTCTGCCCGGCTGCCACCCCGTCTGGGAGGCCTACCGAACAGCTCATTGAGAACCGGCCATGATGACGATGGCGGTTTTGTCGAATAGAAAGGGGGGAAATGTGGGGAGAAGAGGGAGAGATCGGTTTGTTACTGTGTCTGTGTGGAAGGAGGTAGACATTAGAGACTCCATTTTGTTCTGTACTAGGAAAAATTCTTCTGCCTTGGGATGCTGTTAATCTATAACCTTACCCCCAACCCCGTGCTCTCTGAAACATGTGCTGTGTCCACTCAGGGTTAAAATGATTAAGGGCGGTGCAAGATGTGCTTTGTTAAACAGATGCTTGAAGGCAGCATGCTCGTTAAGAGTCATCACCACTCCCTAATCTCAAATACCCAGGGACACAAACACTGTGGAAGGCCGCAGGGTCCTCTGCCTAGGAAAACCAGAGACCTTTGTTCACATGTTTATCTGCTGACCTTCCCTCCACTATTGTCCTATGACCCTGCCAAATCCCCCTCTCTGAGAAACACCCAAGAATGATCAATAAATACTAAAAAAATTAAAAAACAAAAAAACAAGAAAAACATAACTTCTTAAAAAATAATTAGTTATTTCCACTATCTAATACAGCAACTTGAATTGTGGGAGAATGAGTAACAGTGAAAGATTTGTCATATTTTCTTTTATTATAAATCAATTATTAAAAATATTATTCTTACAAAATAATCTTTTTTGAATTTCAGAGTATTGCTATTGCCAGTAAAAGTTAATGATAAACCTTTAAAAAGTCTGCCTTGTAATTGGTTATTTTGTCTCAAAATCTGTTGCCCTTAAGTATCCAGACCATGTAAACTTTTGTAAGAATTCTTCTTTCATCAGAAAAAGGCTTTGAAATTTTCTTATACTATCTGGGAGTATAATATTCTTAATTCTAAATGGGAACCTCCCCTTTCTGTATGTTAACATACCGTGCCAAAATGTTGACAACAGCAGCTAGAGTGGATCACTCCACACTGGACAAAGATAAGAATTGATAAAGTTTGTAAGAACAGCCTATGTTTAGATCTAGGTGGGAAGCAGGCCACTGTGTGTCTCCAATCTTGGTCACATTCAACTGCATGAGGACAGACTTATATAGGTCAGTTTTCTTGTAGTTCAACTTTCTTGCCAAATCCTGTTTGGGGGTCCATAAGTGTAAAAGCACATGTAATATATATACATATATAATATGTATGTGTGTGTGTAATAATATATATATTACATGTATACATGTATATATACATGTAATATATATACCTTATATATATTCTCTCTCTCTCTCTCTCTCTCTCTCTCTCTCTCTCTATATATATATATATATATATATATATATATGACTTGGGAAAGAGGAGTCTTGGAAGTGGAATTGCTTGTGTCCATTAAGCTGGATTCAGTGTTCGTAGGGTGGAGTTTGACCCTATTTGTAGGGGATTTGGGGGCTTATCAAGGAAAAAGAGGTGACCACAGAGTAGCAGTAGCACACACATTTATTGGGTGAAACTTTGAGGGGCTCACAGGGACAAGTCCTTCACAGCAGGAGTCTTTGCAGATGTGAAGGTGCCAGGTTGCTATTCAGAAAGGAAGGGAAACAAGAAAACACCTGAGGAAAGGGACACTGGAGAAAGGGGCTTATGTGTCTAGGTGATGTCACACAGCAGCATGATGGAGAGCCTCTGGGTTAGAAAGCTCAAGAGGACAGTTGCAGTTTGGGGGTTTTATTGCCTGAATCTTACTTTATTTATTGGCAGCAGGTGAGGTTTCCTGGCATATGCAAAGCAAGCAGTGTCTAAATGGCAAAATAATAATAATAATAAAATTTGAGGGCTATTTTTGAAATAATTAGTTGTGTAAAATTTGAACTTGATGATAGTAGTTTAAAAATAAACCTGCAGTTTAGCAATACACAACTTTGAGGGCAGTAAACAGAGCTTTGATTCATTTATATAACACTGTTGCACATCCTATAATGTTTGTTCTGTTGACTTTATCAACCCAAACTGTCCAAACCTATAATGCTTTGCACTAGAATACATACCCAGATGTGTGGTTCCTTCCCATACCCAAATGGAGGTTCCTTATGGCATTGATTGTGGTGATGGATTCATGGGTGTGTACTAATTTTCAAACTCATGAAATTGTGTACATTAAATATGTACAATTTTTTGGTATGTCAATTATCTCAATAAAATGGTTTTAAAAATCTCAACTAGCAGAGGGATATTCCCCAAATGCAGATTGTCTAGAGTGGATTCCTGGCTTCAAGACACTTGTAATGAAAGCTGGTTGTCTCTTCTAAATAACTATAAATTGTCACCCAGAAGAAGTAAAATTCATGGCTAACCATTCTGTTTTACAGGTTCAGAGCAGGCTTTGTGGATGTGTTTATCCTCCGAATTTATATATTCTCTCTAAACACTGGGAGACGTTAGTATGTTTACATGTCTGACTTCTCTGGGTTGTCAAGATCCCATTTTTGATCTACCTAATATGAATTTGTATCCAAATGTTTAAATTCTTTTCTTTCCTTTTACTTGAAGTAAATACTAAAAAATCCTACAGAGATACTCAACCCAACCATAAAAATGAGTTTGAGAATCATGTGTTGGCGATGAAGGCTTTTTATCTGTAAATGCTAAACTTTCTGCTGAGCCCAGCTCACCCATGGACTAACTGGATAAAGTGAGACAATAATTCCATTGTCTACCTGAGCATTCCCCACCTTAAAATTTTTAACTGCCTCTAACATCTCTGCTCTAGGCTTACTCTTGAAGACAGGGTCCTCTATCTTGAAAAGAAGTTTTTCTCAAAAGCCAGAGCTTGTTTAATAATTTTCAGTTTTTTTAATGTGAGATTTGTCTATTCCACCTTGTAAGAAAATTTGATTTGCCAGACAAATGAAAAGTGGAAAACTCAAGAAGAGTTTAGAGATAGAATCAAGGACAATAGCATTTTAAACTGTGGGTACATCTGTCTTTGAAATAATTTGTATAAATATACGGAAATGACAAAGTAAATAATTTTTTTGTATTTTTAATTTAGATAAGATAGTTTACTTGCAGAAAAATGGAGACTATGAACCTGGAATTCTCAAATTCAATGTTTTTTCTTCCGGTTTAAATAATTTCAAGAATCTATAAAATACTTACATAAACTTTAAATACAGAAATTTTAAGAGCTTCAGAAAAAATCGACCAAATTAAATCCCTTACACTAGTTTCTGAAATCAACCAAAATTGTGTTTTAACTACTGTGTTTTATTTCCAATGAACAACAATCAAAAACATTAGATAAAGTAAGATGCAATAGGTGAATGAATTGTTTGGTGGTCACTCTTAGTTATAATGAGATAATAATGAGACAATATCTTCATCAGAAAGTGGAAATGGTGACTTTCTGCCTTAAGGGAGCAGGGGACTCACAGTTGTAAACTTCCCCTCCGTCTTGATCTTTCTTGTGCAGGAGCCGAGGGTAATCCACTGTTTCAGTGGTCTTTGAGCAGCAACAGTCCTCATCTTTCTGTAATTCTAGAAATGCTCATACTGGGCTCTTCTAAAACACTTTTTATGCTAAATAGAAAAATAAAGATCAGTAATAAAATAAAAAGAAATAAAATAAAATAACTTATGAACTCCTGGAAGTAGTTGTGGGATAAAATTATAAAGTTTAACAAAAAACTAGAACCTAGAACAACTTACTAAAAACTAATTTAGTCAAATTTTACTCTTATTTTGTATTCTTGCCCTCACAAATTAGGAATTTTCTCAACCCAAAGAATGATTGCCTTTCTTATATTCTGGAATCTTAACAGCCATAGGAGAAATTTGAAACTATGAGAATTTATACTAACCAGTTATCCTAGGAAATCTGGTTACACAAAAATTAACTATTTAGAGTAAAATAAAAGGAAAAATTTGTTGATCCCATGGAAATAATTAACTGAATATTTGCTGGTCAATAAAGCTAATCCTAAGTATGCCCCTAAATAACAGCGACATCGTTGTTTCTGGATTAATGCTAAGTTTTCAAGATCCATTAAAAGTAATTTGCCTTGGATTCAGACTCATAGTATTGGTCATAACTGTAATTCAACTACCACCAGAACTTGTAGAAGACAACAACAAAAAAGAAGGGGTAATGAGAAATATGTTATGAAATGTATCCCAATGTTAACATTTATGAAGGAGAGGGAGGTGTTTTATGAATATCTATTCTCATAGCACTGATATCTTCAATTTGATAAGCAAATACAAATCTTTAAACCAGAATTTGGAACAGGGTAAATATGGCTCTCATGAATTTGACTTGACTGCGTCCTGGGGTTGTATTGACATAAGGACTAGATGGAGGTACATACAGCAGAAGTAATGAAAATTATAATGTCAAATTTTAGAGCCTCCTAACTAAAGCACTAGCTCAGATACTGTATAAAGATGAAAAAAAAGTTATGTGAAAATGCCCTGGAACTGTTTCTGGACTGCCTAGTAACATCCTGGCTGTGGTTGGATGGCTGATTTACCCCAGCTGGAAGTATCAGTATTGTACAGCTGAAATTTGTGGGCACTCTCCTCTGCAGTTGTCACCAAATGGCTTATACTTTTATTTTCAAAATCCACTTGCAATTCTAAGAGCTCTCCTTTTCTCTCACAAAAGGCAGTTGAGGCAAATCAAAGACTTTTGGGATAAAATGTTATCTCCACTATGAATTGACAAAGTCTATTTAGATGTTTGCAAACTAAACATTTTCACTAATTGCTGTGAGTCACACTCCCCCTGAGTATAGCTTGTGTAGAATGCAATCACAGGTATGTAAGTGGAGGTTTGGTATAACCACTAATGGAGAGGTAGGAAGTTAGAAAGTGGGAAAATACCAATTTCTGAATATTACCAAACGTTATCGTGTTAAAAATATAACAAAACCTGCTAATCCTAACATATACCCAACCTTTGTAGCCATGAGTAGGCCTCAATTTTCTTGCTGTTATGCTGACTAAATCTCATTGACAAATGCAGGAAACACAGGGAGGATCAGAATGCACTTTCCAGGTAGCTCTCTCTTCTGTCATGTCTAGTTGCTCAGAGAGCACTTTGATCACCTTCATTCTTCTGCTTGAGCCATGTGAAATAAGGCTGTTACAGTGATGGGGCCAGAACAGTCTGGATCTTCCTGCAAATTATTCCCTGCAGTCATCTAACATCTACCTGTGAAGCCAACTCAGAATCTGCCATGCAGACAGTCCACGTGCAAACACTTGTGGATGGCTGGGCCATCCCAAGTAGGGAGGTTTGTGTTCAGGGTTTTACCACTGTGTGAGGACCTTGCAGACCCTGTTCACAGCAATAAACCCCAACATCCTCAGCCTCCACTTTGCTGAATTTAAGTGTGAAACCTGTCCCTGACCTGCTGCCACTGAACTTGTTTGGGACTCCATAGAATTTGTTAGAAATTGTGTAGATAAGAAGCTGTGGAGACTGGCCTGGCTTCTGCAGGTACCAATCCAAATAGGTGTTTCCATCACTATGCAGGAGGCTCTGACTAGACCTGCAGGAGATGGAGGCCGGCTCTCCCAGAGGGATGGGCAGGGAGAGCAGATGCTGGGTCATCACAATATCCCCACTGGATCCTAAAATAATAACAGTGAGAAGTACAAGGTTACATACAAACAATGTGAGACATTTTTATAATTTAGTTTTATTGTATACGTTAGGCTACTTTTTTGTGTTTGATTAGATTCATACACTACATTTATCCAATATCCAAAAATAATCCAATAATTAAAGGCACAAAGTGGCCTCTTTGTTTTTGAAGTTCTCGACAGTGAAGTTCTTTTTCCTTGTGGCTCGTTCTTAGTTCTTACAGGTCTGAATATTAAATTCCCTTTGCTGGAGGACAAGAAATCTGCATCTGACATGTAGACAGAACAACAAATGGGAGGCTGCAGATTCCACAGAGCTCACCCTCCAGTCCCATTCTCCTCTCTTCTGTCCTTACCAGGGACCCAGAGCATTAGCAGCCCCAGGAGCTGAGCAGGGAGCCTCACTGTGAGAAGGTGAACTGAGGAGTCCTGATCAGTCAAGGCAAGGTTAGAGCTGAGCTTTTATCTCAGACTCACAAGGGAAGGTCTTCCCTAGGGGACAACATGCAAATCCCCTGGTGAGTGAAGCAGTGAAGAAATATCCAGTTGGGGTCGAAGAGTGGGCTTCTTATGTAAGCAAAGTGACACAGAATATCTTTTGTGTTGATGAAACCAAAATAAAATATTGGTGTTGCCTGGCTTAGAAGGGTGACATTCTGAAATACCATGAATCAATGTGGAAGACACTGTGACTGCAGCCTGTCACTCTTCATTGCTGATGCAATGGAGATTGTGATGATGAAGATGTGTATCAATCTTTAGGTGGTGAATAGGCTTTCTTCTTGGCTCCACCCAGCTAATTCTGAGGAGGAACTAGCTCTCACTAACTCTGGTGCTCATTGATAGAATGTCTCTAAGTATCAGGATGAACTTGAAACAGTTCCAGGGTTATTTGGCTGTGGTTGCAAGGCTGATTTCCCTCAGCTTGTATTTCACTGTAGCTGGTATTTCTGGGCACTTGGCTCTACAGCTGCCATTAAATGGCACTAAATGATGCCCCAGTGAATAAGCTAGCTGTAATGTGTGCTTCGTAAACAAGGAGAAAATTAGAGTTCACGGGAAGAGGAATGCATATTCCATTCCATTGTATCTAATGCATGTCGTTGTCTTTGAAGGGAGGAAGGCCTTGGTAGGCCTCTTTGGATTCTAGAGGCAAGAAATTCTGTACCTTGGAATACTGTACTGGCTCACTGACCGACTGATACACGAGTCAGCCAGCCTTGAGTGGGACCCGGGGCAAAAAAAGGGCTCTGCAGCAGGTTCAGCCTGTAGCACAAGCAGTCCTGCCTCTCAGGCCAGTGCAGATGCAGATGAATTGGACAGCACAATCAACCATCTGGACATAATTGACACTTCGAGAACACTCCACCAGCACAGCAGATTGCATAATCTTTTCAAAAAATTTACTAAAATAGACCATATTGTTACCAGAAAAGGGGATTTTGATTCAAACTCCAAGAGAGGATTCTTGGATTTCATGCAGGAAGAAATTCAAGGAAAGTTGGAAAGTGCAGTGATAAGAGAGAATTTATTGAAAATTACTCCATTACAGAGTAAGGCATCCTCAGAAAGCAAGCAGAGGAACATACCGTCTTTAAGTTTTTCTTATATAGGAGTGTCGTCTATGTAAAGACTAAACTAAGCTGTGCCTACATGCGGATGAGCAGACATTACGACAAAATTTATTATTCTGTTGATTTAAGGGAAACTATTCTTGACATTCTAGTGTGTTATCTTGGAAATAAGGACTGTGTCTTGCAAAGAAACATATTCATTGGGGCAATGTGTTATCAAAAAAAAGATTTTATCTACTTATGATCCAATAATTTAGACTGACTTCAACAGATTTTTTTAATGACAAAAAGCAGAAGATGGTATAAGAGGAAAATACAATACAACAGAAAACACAAGCTATTATAACTCTTGCTTCATGGATTTTTACATATCTATTAGACATATGCTGGGTATATGTGTGCAATGATAATCTAAAAACTGGATGCTAACTAGCTTAAGGAATGCCTGCATTACACTGAGTCTTGCCCACTTTTCCAATTATAAACAGAAAGCTACAGTACTATTTGTATGAGTATCAAAACTTTTAGCTGCCTGAGATAGAGGTAAAGAAGATTTACTGAGATAAAAGCCTTGGAAGTAGTAGAGATTTGTCCTATGATGTTATGGCTGTTGCTGTGGTTGCCGTTGTTAGGAAATACAGTGGGAGTGAAAGCAAGATTGACAAGCTCTGCTCTTCCTCATACTCACAACCCCCTCTAGAGATGGACAGATGGTGGTACAGGAATCTCTGACACCTCTTAGAAGTCTTTTGCTCTTTCCAGAATGTTTCCTGACAAGTATTGTTTTGAGTCACAGATTAGGTGAAACTGGGTGTAGAAGAAAGGACTAGAGCAAGGGAAGAAGTTTTCCATCCCAGATAGTTGTTGTAGGAACAGGGAAATGGAATTTTTCATAGATTTATGCCACATTTCTATCATGTTGGGGAGAGAGGCATCAAACCAGGCTCATTCCTGAAAGAATCATTACATTATTTTAGAGAGAAAGAACTACAAATTTCTTGTCAAATAGATGTTTAAAATTCAAAGCTACTGATTTTTTTTTTTTTTTTTTTGAGATAGAGTCTCGCTCTGTCATCTGGGATGGAGTGCAGTGGCACGATCTTGGCTCACCACAACCTCTGTCTCTCTGATTGAAGCAATTCTCCTGCCTCAGCCTCCCAAGTAGCTGGGATTACAGGTGCAGGCCAACATACCTGGCTAATTTTCGTATTTTTAGTAGAGACGGGGTTTTGCCATATTGGCCAGGCTGGTCTGAAACTCCTGACCTCAGGTGATCTGTCTGCCTCAGCCTCCCAAAGTGTTGGGATTACAGGCTTGAGCCACTGCACCAGGCCCTGCTGATGTATTAATATTATTCATCTTCTTGAATACACCAAATGGTAAAGTGCAAATCCACACTTTAAACTTGAGATTTCTACTCCTATGTAAATTATACTAGTGAGGAACAAAAAAATTCTCTATTGGTTGGGAGATGATGTTTGACAGTGGTCAGTTTGTGAAGTGGAGGCTTACGTCACAGTACTTTTTACAGTATTGCATATAAACATGAATGTCCTCATACCCAGAAGAATCAGCATTTCTCATGAGCCATATTACCACCAAGAAAGAAGTGAATTGAAGCCTGTGACTACTTGATGAAGGGTGTATAGAAGAGGGAAAGAAAAAGGACACAAAACACAATATTGTAAGTGGAAAGGAGAAAGTCATTACACAGCCTATAAGAGTAAAAAAATAAAGAGAGGATATTATGAGTAATTTTATGTCAACTGACTTGACAAAAGTGGTGCAGGGCAGGTTCTTGGCTTCACTAGGAAGGAATGCAGCGTAAGCTGGTGGTAGAAGAAAACAGCTTTACTGAGGTGGCAGTGTTACACCTCTGTGACTGCTCTTGTGGAGCAGAGCTACCCCATAGGCAGTGTGCCAAGAGCAGTAGCATAGGGCAGTTTTGCAGTCATATTTATCACTGCTTTTAATGACGTGCTAATTAAGGAGTGGGTTATTCAGAAATAACTAGAAAATGGGCAGTAACTTTCAGGTTTTGCCATGGCAATGGTAAACTGATACGGCACTGGTGGGCATGTGTTATGGACAGGTGCTTCCAGTGTCTCTTCCTTGTGTCACCCACTCTTCAATCTGGTCCAGAGTTGAGTCCCACCTACCTCCTACCTCATTGCCCCTTGGAGATTAGATACTCCTCCTTAATCTTAAGGGGACTGCAGAAGAGCAGAGTCCCTTTTCTGTGAGTGCTTCCTTCTGACTTTATGGGGGCAGGCCTTCCCTAGCATTTGAAGAGTAAAAATCTTTGGTATCTGAACTAAGGGGCCCAGTGGCAGGATGCTTTCATTTGTGGGGTCAGAAGACAGAATGGATTGAAAGACTTATGACGGACCGTATCATTTTTACATGAAATTTAGAAGATATAAACTTTACTAGGAGGTTAAACAAGAAAATTATAATTGGAAGAGAGAGAAAAATTAATGCTCCTATGTCCACCCACAGAACCAAGTTGTTAATCTATGTGTTTGCAAAACAACAGCCTTAAGTTTTCTAGGTTTTATAAATGGAGGTTGTGGTGTCCACCTTTTGTGCCTGCAGGATCTCATAAGAAACAGGTTTAATCCTGGACAGCTAGTGGCTTCCTGAAGCCTAACAGTAGTTGGAATAATTAAGAATATCTGGTAAGGGCCCCTTTATTCTGATTATTATTGATTCTTGGGGGATCATTTTGTTGTTGTTGTTTTTTAAGACAGAGTCTCGCTCTGTTGCCCAGGCTGGAGTGCAGTGACACAATCTCGGCTGGGCTCACTGCAACCTCTGCCTCCTGGTTTCAAGCTATTTTCATGCCTCAGCCTTCTGAGTGGCTGGGATTACAGGCATGTACCCCCATGCCTAGGTAATTTTTTGTAATTTTAGTAGAGATATGGTTTTGCTATGTTGGCAAGGCTGGTTTTGAACTCCTGGCCTCAAGTGATCCACCCACCTCAGTCTCCCAAAGTGCTGAGATTATAGGCGTGAGCCACTGCACCCAGCCAGTTCCTTCTTTTTAAGTTTTTCATAAGACTAAGTCTTTTGGTTAAACAGAGGAGCTATTATTTTGTTTTGTGGAAAAGGGCACTATTTTATTTTCATAATTTTAAAAGCCCTTTTGAATCTGGCCTACATTTCAAACAGGGGTGGAGCAAGGTGTGTCTGACTCCCTGTTTCCCACCATGGCTTGAGTTAGATTTTTTTTAGGTTTCTTTGGTAGTTCCTTTGGCCACAGAGCTTGGAATGAAAACATTTATAGCCAATTAAATATTTTAGGCCAGACAGCATGGAGGTGGGCAGGCACTCATTAGCCCTTAAGCAGGCAGATCATGAGGTCAGGAGATACAGGCCATCCTGGCTAACATGGTGAAACCCCATCTCTACTAAAAATAAAAAAAATTAGCTGGGCATGGTGGCATGTGTCTGTAGTCCCAGCTACTCGGGAGGCTGAGGCAGGAGAATCCCTTGAACCCAGGAGGCAGGGGTTGCAGTGAGCCGAGGTCGCACCACTGCACTGCAGCTTGGGTGACAGAGTGAGACTCCATCTCAAAGAAGAATATATGTATTTTTAAAGCTGTATAAAAATAAAAAAGTAAGGCCCCAAATAAGGTTATATATGTTAAAAAACCAAGTACGTAGAATAATACTATACTGGGGGAAAACATTGCTTCCAGAGACGCCTAAGACAAAACACTTTAGCATCAAGTCCGCAACAACAGTCAGAACCGGAGGTGAAAAAGCCACAGGAGCTGATGAAGAAGCAAAAGGAGACAGCAATGATCTCAGGCCTTTTTAAAGGGAGAATAAGCTGAAAGCAGCAAAACACCACAGTTGAATCTCTAAGACACTAATCTCAGAAGTTTTAAAAGAAACTCATTATTGCATCAAAGGCAAAATTTTCTGTTTTACTTTTTGTTTGTTTGTTTTTCGAGATAGTCTCACTCTGTCACTCAGGCTGCAGTGCAATAGCACAATCTTGGCTCACCACAAGTTCTGCCTCCCGGGTTCCAGCCATTCTCCTGCCTCAGCCTCCCAAGTTGCTAGGATTACAGGTACGTACCACTGTGCCTAGCTAATTTTTGTATTTTTAGTAGAGATGGGGTTTTACCATGTTGGCCAGGCTGGTCTTGTACTCCTGACCTCAAATGGTCCACCCGCCTCAGCCTCCCAAAGTGCCGGGATTACAGGCATGAGCCACTGCACCTGGCCTGTATAATTTTCAATAATGTAGCAAATTAATAACTTAAGAAAACCCAGTTTCAATATGCAGACGATTTTCTAGAAAGTGACTGGGCCATCATTGTTCTCATCTCAGATTTCCACTTCCTGTATAGAAGGTGTAAGAAGAGGTAGCAAGACATTATGAAACTAAATTGTAAGCATTTGTTAGTGAACAAAATATGACTAAAGCGCTACTTTTTTTAAAAAATTTTTATTTATTGTTATTATTTTTTGATACAGGGTGTCACTCTTTTACCAGGCTGGAGTGTAGTTGTGCCATCTTGGCTCACTGCAACCTTCGCCTCCTGGGTTTAAGCAATTCTCATGCCTCAGCCTCCCAAGTAGCTGGAATTACAGGCATGCATCACTATGTCCAGTCTATTTTTAGTAGAGACAACACTTCACAGTGTTGGCTAGGTTGGTCTTGAACTCCTGACCTCAAATGATCTACCCACCTCGGCCTCCCAAAGTGTTGGGATTACAGGCGTGAGCCACCATGCCCGGCCTTAAAGCAGTATTTTTATTAAATAAAGTGTAGAAGAAAAAGTGTAAATAAAGTGACAAAAAGAAAACACAAGGCCGTTATGGAAAATGATAACTTTAGGGAAGAAAACAAGAAAAGGCAAACCAAGATTCCCATAGGGTGAGTCTCCAATCCACAATCCTCAGACAAATGTCAATGCTGGAAACCCTGGAGCATCCAGGGAGTGACCGAAAATACCAAATGCTGAAAACCCAGAGTACCCGCGTATCAGCCTATGAGTGTCCCACACCAAATGCCAGGAAACCCTGGAGTATCCAGGGGCTGACCAGTGCAGAAAATCCTGGAGCCTCAGTGGGGTGGCCAACAGTGAGCCCCAAAGGCCTGGTTGGGGCCACAGAACAATGTGACTCTGGCTTCTTAGAGTCAACAGAACAGGAGAATTCTTACATCCAAGTGTCCTGCCTTAAACAATTGCACAAACATAATTAGTAGGGACCCAAAGAAAAAACTGCAAAGCAAACACATATATCAGGGTAGAAAATAAGATAAATTGGCTAATGGATAGATAAAATGGCATTAGAGGAGAAATGACTAAGAGAAGGAGCAATGAGGATGTAGTCAGGTGTGCTATGGGGGACTTCAAATGGACTATTTAGCCAAAGGCCTTATTTCCTGGATCATCTGACATAGGGCAGGTGGGTAGATGGGACACTTACAGGTGTGCAGGAGCCAAAATGGTGCCAAGCAGTGTCTAACGTGGGGCCTGTGTGAAGATCTCTCCAGGCCCCCCAGCTTGGGTGGGTTGAGCTCCCGTGGGTGAACTGGTGCATGCAGCAGCTGGCCTGCATGAAGCAGTGGCTCTGTGGCCACTTACCTAACTGCTCAGCTCCACCGCCTGTCAGGAAAGATGATGGCTCTTAAAACAGCCTTTGGCTAGTGTTAACAGCTCTGCAATGTTAGCAACTCTGTAGCTTTGCTCGCTGTAGTGCTGATCCCCATCACACCCTCTCTCACTGATCACTGTCTTGCCACTTCTCCAATAGCTGTCTTGCCCATTGCTGATCGCTATGTCCATCTTCTCACAAAATGCCATCTCTTGCTGTCTCTTGCTGTCTTGCTTCTCCGCTGTTTCCACTGACTCACTGGCACATCAAACGCTGCCTCTCACCATGTCACATTTATCCTCCCTCCTCATTAAACATCCATCTTCATGTCCAGCCCTTGCATCACCAGGCTGATGTCTCTGTACTGGGCCAGGTACTGGAGAGTATTGTTCCTCCATCTTCACCATTAAGCCATGGTTCTCTCAAATCAAACCTTCTCACTGCACCAATTTTGCCAAGAAGGTTTGCTGTGCACTGGTTGCCAACTTACCCAAATCCGGTGACACACAGCACCCATGCACAACCAGTTACATGAAGTGGATTACTACTTACAGAGAGTCAGCCAGAGAGAGCACAAAGCTGCGGGGACCTGATTGACACTAGACTGTGTGTACCCCACAAGGACTGCAGCTGAGGGACCCTGGAATACAGCCCACCCTGGGTTTTATGTCTTAGAATCACATGACACACTGGGCTAGAGTGTTGAAGGAATTCCTGTTTCTAGTAGGGACAGAAACGGAACCCAGGCTGTTCTGGCCAATCATGCCCTATCTCAGAATGTTACATTTCCAGAACATTCTACAGTTATTCCAGAAAACTACAATCAAGAAAGGGAAGGGGACTGGGTTGATTCAAGACAAAATGAAAACTATTCTGCAAATACCATAGTGAAATCACAGCTCAGTAATCTTTTTGTGACTGGCTTATTTCATTTAGCGTAATGTCCTCTAGTTTCATCCATGTTATAGCATGTGTGAGAATTTCCCTTTTTAAAGCTAAATAATATGCTATTGTATGTATATATCACATTTGGATTACCAGTTCACTCCTTTGTGAACATTTGAGTTGCTCTACCTGTTGGCTACTATGAATAATTCGGTTCTGAATGTGGGTATACAAATATCTCCTCAAGTTAATGTCTTCAATTACTTGGGTATATGTCCAAAAGTGGAATTGCTGGATTATATAGTATTTCCATTATTAATTCTTCGAGGAATTGCCATCTGGTTTCCCACAGCAGGTGGGCCATTTACATCACCACGACAGTGTCCACAGGAGTTCCAGTTCCCTAAGTTCTCACCATGACTGGTCATTTTCTGTTGGAAAAAAAAATCCTAATAGGTGTGAGGTGGGTTTTGTTTTTATTTTTCTAAGGATTAATAATATTAAGCATCTTTTCCTATGCTAGTTATCTAATTATCTCTAAAGAATATTCTCCAGAGAAATGTCGATTCATATACTTTTCTCGTTTTTAATCAGGTATTTTATTTTAATGTTGACATGTAGGACTTATTTTTATGTACTAGATATTATTAACCCCTTATCAGATATACGATTTACAAATATTTTCTTCTATTCCACATGTTGCATTTTCACTGTGTTGGTTATGTCTTTTGATGCCCATTTTACATTTTTATGTAGTCCAATTTATCTTCTTTTCTACTTTTGCCTGTATTATGGTATTAAAGGTGTTAGTATTCAAATGTCTATAAATACTGACTTACTATGCTGAGAAGGTCACTCTAGACCATCTCTCTGATGGTGGAGCTAAGAATTTTACACTCTCTCATTTTGTACCAGGGCACAGTGCAGCTAGGTGAGAACACAGTGGCTTTCTCGAGCTTATTTGTCTTGCATTTTTGGCGACAAGGATTGTTGTTCACATTGGCCTCCTCTGGCAGGTCCACCTGGAAAGCATTATATTTAGCAAGAAAAAAGGAGGCTGTGAATGATGTCAACTGTGTATATTCCCTGTTGCAAGTGTCAAATCCATGAAGCATAAAAGGATTTACTAGAGGATATTAAATTCCTTGCAAAGTGTTGAAAAACCTGAAGGAATAGGCTCCAGGCAAAGCCTCTAGAACAATTCCAAGAATGGCACTGCTGGCGCAGGCTGGGGAGGAGCTCCTGCTGCCTGAGACTCCACATTCAAGCTGTCTCCTGCAGGAAAGAGAGCAGCTCTTCTCACTACTGCCCCCTGAAGGACAGCAGCTCTGCTATCAACTACTAGAGACCTGACCCCTTTCCCTGCAGCCCTGCCTGTGTTGATTATATCTTCATGTCAGACTCATGTAGATTCATCTGTTTTCAAGGGTACAGGGGTTATTTCTGCCCAAGTCCACACTGTGGCTTTCTATCATAAATACACGTTTCTACACTTGAATTTCCAGGAATTACTAGTATCAACAGCAAAATGCTACAACCCAACATAAAGATTTCCTTTACAAAGAACATCATGCTCCCCATGTAGCATTGTGCTCCCCAAAATGTGGGGAAACTCCAATCTGTTCATCCCAACACCATCTAGGAAAAAATGTTCTTCTCTCATGAGCCATTAATCTGTCTACTTATTGTTTAATTTTTGGCCTAAATTGTAAAGGTGGCTAAAAATAGCACTTTGAATTTTTTTAAAGAAAGGGTATATAGAAAATATTAAATTATTTAAAATACATATATGCATGACACATTTAGTTATTGTCACCAGCTTCTTTCACATTTATTTTATTCTGTAGTTTCTGGCAATACTTTCTCTATGGTAGAGTCTGGAAATGCTACTCCTCATGTCCTTGGCTTCCTAAGTCCCAGATGTGGTGAAGAATGCACATCAGCTGTGTTACTACAGAATGCTTTTGGATTGAGATGGGGGAGGGGACGTGCTTGATCTCACTCAAATGTGCTCAATTTCCTGGTCTGGGTCACAGCCAGGCAGCCCAGTCCTATGGGCACAATATCTTCACTCGCCAGGTTTCTATCAAAATGAGAGTGTCCTTCTTGACTGTGGAAAACACGGGGCAGGGAGAGGATCAAGAAATAGCAAAAGGAGTATTTGGACTTGCCTGAGCTGCCACTCTGGTTTCCCCAAATGTTTTCATTCCATTTCATTCATGATAATAAACACCTTTCTGCCTAACCAGCCATAATCACTTTTCTTAGATCCAGCTGATTCAGTGATAAAACTAAAGGGAAAAAATAAATACAGTTTTCAACGTTTAAGCTGACCAGGTGGCTGTCTCTGGTGTTTATACCTCCATATCCCACTATGCATTTCATCTTCTCTTTGCCTCACTGGAGATCCAAGTGCAGGGAATGCTTCACGTGACTGTGATCCCTAGAACTTCATCTTCATGACTGTTGAAATCTTCTCTGAGTTTTACCAGTGGAAATGGCAATAAATAGAAAGATTCCAGAAGGTCCCCTAGGGTCCATATTTTCTGTACTTCTTCTCTAAAATAAGTAAAATCAATTCCATTTGCTCTTGCTTTATATTGGCTACATCTATGTGCCCAGGACACACCCTAAAGCCCTGTGTTGACAACTTATCCAGTATTGTATTAAGTCTAAATGGTCACATGCTTATCATATCATTTCTTCCAATTTCATGGAATAATTGTCATGTCAACTCTTTGGATTAAGAACCATCAACCAGATAACCACAGCCCTGAATAAATAGAAACAGAATATTTCAAGCTGTTCAGTTGGCATAACAGTGATGAGTCTATAGCTCATTTTCAAGATATAAATATTCTATTTATGGGAGTAAAAGCACGAATCATGGTTAGTGTTTCAGAGCCTCCACCACATCTGACAGCATAGCAATTCAACAGCACAAGGTTTGTGTGCCAGCTGTGCCTGACTAATAATGTTTTTTTCCCCTGTCTATAGGGAAATCTGCACCTGTGCACATGACAAGAGCATGAGCTACACTTTTTTCACTTTTTCTGAGGTAAATACATTGCTTGATCCAAAACCGTATTATGGAATAATTTCCTGACTCTGATGAAAGCATTTGGAAAATCCTCAAATAATATTTGTGCAGAAATACAACCAAAAAGAAAGGCAAATTCATATATAGGAAAATAACCAGTGCTCTCCTCATGTTACATGAGGTCCACTAGTATCACCTGACCCCAGCTGTTCATCTGATCCCTGATGTGTTGTACAATGTTAGGGGTTCAGGAGGGGTCATTCTTCTTGGCAAATGAGGTGTTCAGAAGAGCCAGTAGCCCTTTAAGTCTCAGTTAGTTGAAATTCATAATTGAGTCCCCAAAGGGACCTCCATAACATTGGTTCATGAGACTCCCTGGTAAAGCTGGGAAAGGTGACTGACTGAAGTCCATGTGTTGAATCATCCTCATTATTAAAAGCCCCTGCTCATTAATAGCATTTTGATTAATATTCACTGGGAAAGCATTTTTTTTTTATTTTGGCTCATCTTTGAAAAGTCTAGTCATAGCTTTTCAATCACTTTGTCTGCAATCGTTTTGTTGCATTTCTTTGAAGGCCTGATGATCTGTCAAAACCAACAGCCAATATTATTACATTGCCGTTATGTTGGGAAAAGCTGAATGTTGGGAGAAGCTGAGGCAGGGCTTGCATGTCTGACGTAATGTAAAAGAGTCTTGGAACACGTCCGGGGTCCAGGGTCTAAAACCCCTTGTGGCCTTTAGTACACCAAGCTCTGTGCTAAAGGGTGGAAGGCTACCCTGACGCACCATAATCTAAGCCCAGGGCATAAAATCCCTTGTGACTTGGATAGAATCCAGGACTCGTGGCTCTGGAGTGTGTCTACACTTGCTGGCTCCTTTCTCTTTGCTCTCCAAGGATCGATTGTATCTTGAGTTAAAAGAACCTGCTCTCCATTATCTCAAGTAGTAGAGCAAATGCTAAACCATCACAGGTGTAAATCATGTGCTTAATGCAATGCATCCTTTTGGCCTCCACATTCTTACCACGTGTTTCTTTGTTGGATTACCAATAAATAGCATGGGATCCCAGGGCTCAGGGCCTTCTTAGCCTCCATACACTACGATGGTCCCTGGTGCCCACATTTCTCTCTCAAACTGTCTTTTTCTCAATCTTTGACTCCACCAGACTTTGTCACCCCCACGACCTGGTGTTGGGTCTGATCACCCCAAAACTGTTATCGTTGCAATGTGATCATCAGATATAACCCTTGCAGTTTACTCATTGTTATGATTTTTACATTTGCAGGGCTTCCTTGACAATGGCACTAATGTGACGCCATCCAGCATCCATTATTGTGAGAACTCTATTTGGAATATCACCATTGTGGGCATGAACAGAATGGAGACTTTCATAGGATGCAATGTTTAATATTCAACATTAGTCAAAATTTGTTCTAGTCCTACCCTTGGAGCTCCATTGAGTTGGAAAAATATAAATAAATTTATTTTAAATATAATATAAATGTAAATATAAACAAATTTAAATATAATATAAATATAATATAAATATACATAAATTTAAACATAATATAAATATAAATATAAATAAATAAATAAACAAAAAAATTTTCTGTAGCAAGAGTAAGAACTACATGTGGTCCAGAATACCATTATTTTATGGAAGGTTACAAAAAATTTTAAATGTATTTAATTCAGATAAGAATTTTATAAATATGCATATATTGCATATATGATAGAATAAATGTACTTAAATATGAATACTATATATATTTGTAGCCAACATTTTATCAAAAACATATATATTCACTTCTATGTATCTTATATACATGTATGCATACTTTTCCGTAAGATAAATTTTAATTTTTTATTGAAATACTAATTAGTTTTAATTTTGTCTTTAATTTTCTTTTAATAACTTCATAATTTGATTACTGGATATTCACATTTAAATCACCAATTTAAGAAAAAATACATGTGTGTACATATAGGTAGAGGTGTAAATACTGTATCAGGAAGCTTTTATGCATTACTGATTGGTAACTGGTTAAATACACAACTCAGTGACTGATAACAGTAAACATTTGTTTTCATGTTCACGGATGCTCATGTTCACAATCCTCTGACTGATCAAGGAAGGGCTCAGCTGAGTGGATCCTCTGAAGGACACAGACCTCATCTTCAGCCTATAGATATCAATTGTCTGAGGACTAAGCTGAACACCAGTGACTACACATGATACAAGATTCTTGTGGCAGGTCACAGGAGTGAACATCCCAAACCAAACTGGACAGTTGAATTTAAGTCCAATAATTTCTAACATAGCTTCAGATATTTAAAATATATTCCTTTATTTCAGTGAGTACAAATTTTCAAGAAAATGTTTACTCCATTTAATTATAGAGGTGTTTGATCATTCCATGGACAAATAATTATGTTTTCATCCTTTACAATCTTGAAAATATTTGCAAATGTAAATTTGCATTAATAAGAAAATAAAGCTGGATGTGTTTTCAACATGTGGCTTTAAATATAATTTTTTAAAATGGCCTCATTGGGGGAAAATCATTTTAACTTATATGAATATCCTTTTTTGCCTCTCTTGTGTTCTATAGAGTGGCCCAATAAGAGGTCCTCCCATGAGATTTGGAATCAGGAAAGGATGGCTCAATATTCTCCATTGGTACCTAGGACAGACACAGGGACAGAGATGAGGACTGGAGAAACACCTGGAAAGATGCTGTAGGAAGCTGAGAGCATCAGCACCCCCACCCCTAAGCTTCCAGACAGGACTGAGGACCACATGGTTAGATAGCCCATACTTCAGGGGAAGATGCATTCAGTTTTCTGAGGGAGCAACAGAGATTCCTGCTTCTAATATCAACTTTCCTGACTACTATATCCTTGGCTTTGAAAGGTTGTAGTGGGAAAGTTAATCGTAGGAATTGGGTCATTCTTGTCATACCCAACAGAGCCAAGAAACCAGGAGGGAAAGACACTCAGGGTGCAAAATATTGTCTGAAGAATGTAATTGAAATAGGCCCTATTATCCCATGGAACTAATGTTTATGGTTTTTTGAAGGAACATAGAAATTGACTCCTCCAGTCTTAAAAACTCAAGATAGTTATATTTTTCTTATCTGAGGAGTTCTTTTGTCAGGAAACCAACCATCAGGCCTCCAGATACTATCAAAAGGAGCTGAAACTTACATATCACTGAATCGGGACAGTGAGACATCAGACTCTTCACCCATTGTGATTGCCTAACTGACCTCCTGCTTCCTGTTGACCAAATCATCTTCCTTACCCCTCCCTAATTCCTGTTTTCCCACATTTCTTCCCTGATATATATACCCCTCATTTTAGTAGTTCAGGGAGATACATTTGAGAATGGTGTCCCATCTCCTCGGCTGCAGCACCTGATTAAAGCCTGTTCCTTGGCAATACTTGTCTTAGTGATTGTTTTTCTGTGTGGTGAGCAGCAGGATCTACACTGAATCCCTGGCATTTCAGTAACAAAATTCTCTGCAAGCTTCACTGCCTTTGGCTTATTGTAACCTGAAATCAAATTTATCCACAACTTCTGAGATAACTTGATATAACTGTAGGATTCACTTTGTCCACCACTGCTTCCCAGTCTGAGCTTGCCAGCTCCCAACCCTTCCTAGTGCCCATGAACTTTCTCAAAGAGCCATAGGTAACATGTTCCCTTTTTCGTAAAACTCTAACCTTCTCTTTGTTCTTCCAACATATTGAAGACCACTGAGTTTTCCTGTATGCCCCATTTGGCAAATATTTCTTTGCACGTAAAACATTAAATTTAGAGATTCATCTCTACATTTTATTTAGACTTCAGTAGTTTAGACTCTAATTGTCTGTATTAAGACAATTCCTGCTTTGAATATCTATAGTGGCCTCTTCTCTGTTATATAAAGTCCAGCTGAAGCCATAAACTAGACTCTTCAGGTGTCATGATCTCTGTCTTTATTAAATCAGGAGAGGCATTGCTAGATCTGTGCAGTTGGGGCTGAGAAAGAGAAAAGAATTAGGGTGCAGAGGTGACTCCATGTCCCCCTCTACCAACACCATCAGAGTGTGGCTGCATCTGAGGACCACTCTCAGCTGATAGAGGCATCAGGAGGAGCAGCTGGGGCAGCCCTGCCTCACACATCTGCTTCCCTGGGGGTTTATGTTCGGGTGTGTAACACTGTGGGAGAATAACTATTATACTGTTGGCAGTAATAAGTTGCAAAATCATCAGGCTGCAGGCTGCTGATGGTGAGAGTGAATTCTGTCCCAGATCCACTGCCGCTGAACCTTGATGGGACCCCACTTTCTAAACTAGACGCCTTATAGATCAGGAGCTTAGGGGCTTTCCCTGGTTTCTGCTGATACCAGGCCAACCAGCTACTAATACTCTGACTGGCCCGGCAAGTGATGGTGACTCTGTCTCCTACAGATGCAGACAGGGTGGAAGGAGACTGGGTCATCTGGATGTCACATTTGGCACCTGAGATTGGAAATAGAAACACAAATATTCATACTATTGATCATATTATAGGAAGACTTCCCTGAATAACCAGGCAGTACTGAGCACACTGGGCTGAGTAAATTCCTAGTGTTCTCCTTCCTTACCTGGGAGCCAGAGCAGCAGGAGCCCCAGGAGCTGAGCGGGGACCCTCATGTCCATGCTGTGTCCTGACTGGGTCTGACTCCTGCACAAAGTGTGACCAGCCTATTAATAAGGCTTCAGGGCAGGAGGTTGTGCTCTGGGAACATGCAAATGAGCAGGGGATGGGGCAGGCTGGGCACAGCTGCAGAGCTGGCTCATCTCAGTAACTCAGCACCAGCTCAGTGTCCCCAGGTGTCCCAGGTAAGACCAGGGTAGCACAAATTTGTCTGCAGAGAATGTGTTTCTACTGGGGACTATTTTATTATGAGAAACAATTTTTAGGTATTTTTTTGAGAATTTTAAATATTCCTCAGGAGCCGATAGAGTAATGTATTTCATTGGTGTATCAGGATTATTTAGGAGAATATTCTTGTTTGTAGGAAACACATAGTAAAATGTTAGATGGTAGGATTCTCAAGTCTTCAAAAGACTCTCATAAGATTCCGGGTAGGGAAGGGGGTAATTGTGCTATACCTGCAACATTTCTGTGAGTTTAACATTGTTCCTTTCTAAAAAAAATTAAAAATAAAATGTATCGGCATGATGCTATATATTTGTAAGTATTAGGTAATGGTGTTATGCCTTTGTTCTTACTAGTATTAGATCAAGCAATTTATTACAGATATACAAAGATGATACCGTGTTGTCTCCATGCATGCAGCACTCACAGATCCACCACTATCAAGAACTGCAGGTCTCTTTAATACCCAGAGACTAAATGAGGTGCACCTTATTCTTGTTTTGGGTACCTTCATAGTCTACCTTCTTTTCTGCCATTGGGTATTATTTCCCAAAGTTCATCTGTCTTAGTGAGGGTGGCCACTGCACGGAGCATGTCCCTGCCATGCACCATCAATGACACTTTCTTCTTATACTTTTTATCAGTGCATGGGGACATCATCCTGACCCAGACACCAGCCTCCCTGTTAACACCTTTAGGAAAAACATACTCAATCTCTTATCAAGCAATTGTCTATGTACATGGAGAAATCAGTTGGATCCAGATGAAACTGGACATGGATTTGCATTCATTATATCTCATATCTCTAATGTACCCTGAACGTCCCAGCCTGACTCAGTAGCAGGGGAAGTGGATGTAACCACATCAGCATCAGTGGGCTGCAGCCTCGGGCTCCACAAAATTTTACTGATGCCTGACTAGGGGA
Source organism: Homo sapiens (assembly GCF_000001405.40). NCBI lineage: Eukaryota > Metazoa > Chordata > Mammalia > Primates > Hominidae > Homo > Homo sapiens. The sequence goes on from NC_000002.12 coordinate 88,948,925, forward strand.
GCAAAATCACAGTGCTGCAGCCCATGCACAAACATTTCTGCTGCTTTGTAAGCAGCCTGAATTTTAAGGGAACTTGCTTATATTGGAAGAAAGGAAGAAAGTTCCATTTGTCCTCTAAATGTTTGCTGAAAATGAACCGACAAAAGAATAATGAATAAGAGAAAAGGCAAACAAAATTCACTTAGAGTGCGGTGGGATATCATAGTGGGGTGATTACCCAGATAACTCAATGAGATCCAGTTGTTCATATTTCCTTTCTAGGGAAGAGGGAATTGGGAAGTGTAGGCAACCTGGAGAGAATAGATGAAAAAAGAAATGCATCCTCAAAAGAACAGGCAATAGCCTGCCTGGATAAAGCATCAACTTGCAGTCTCTTCTATTTTTGATTCATGTTTTGTGTTAATCTTCCCTGATATAAAATTTCCCAGGAAGAATTTCCTTGACAATTGTTTTTCTTCTGGAGAATTTGCTTTTAGGCAGATAAGGGATATTTAGGAAAAGACTTCTTGTGCATTTGCTGCTTTCTAAATGCCTTTGGCTTTACATAATCATCATACCAATGCAGCATAGTTTGAGATGTTATTTTCTGGATTCCTTTACTTGCAGCCACCTGCCAAGATCCTGTTTCAGAGAGATGCAGCTGCAGATTGAGTGAGCAGTTGACCCCTGAACAACATGGAGGTTGGGGCACTGACCACAGGTGCAGATGAAAACCTGTGTAGAAGTTTTGCATTTCTAACTTAAGTACTAATAGCTTACTTTTGACTGGAAGCCTTAGTGATAAAATAAATAGTTGATTACACTTTTTTACATTTTATATATATTTTATACTCTATTCTTCCAATAAAGTATGGTAAAGAAAAAAATGTTCTTAAGAAAACCATAAAAATGAGAAAATATATTTACTACTGATTAAGTACTTGCTTTCAGGTGACACAGAAGAAAATATAAGTGTATCTGCAAACTTCAAACCCAAGTTATTCAAGGGTTAACTGTACCATGATGAATGTAGCAGTCCCCATCTGTAGTCTAGGGCTTTCTCCTTTGCTGTACCTCTGCTCACTTCCAATGGCCATATATATGTCTTATGTTCTTTATGATCTTGGGCAGAGAGGTCTGCCTACATGCATTGCTGGCCAGATGTCCTGGAATGTGTATCTCTGAGGAAAGTGCTATGGTTTGACTGTGTCCTCCAAAATCCATCTGTTGTAAAGTTCATTCTCAGTGAAATGGTTTTTGCCAGGTGGGCCCTATTGGGATGTGTTTAGGTCATGAGGGTGGAGCCCTCTAGTGGAATACATTAATGCCAGTATAAACAGGGTTTATAGGGCTGGAATCTTTCTCTCTCTTCTGCTGGTCTGTCCTGATAAGACATGGCCTTCCTTCCATTGAAGGACTCAATGCCCCAGGCATCGTCTTGAAAGCAGAGAAAGCTGACCTTAACCTGCCCATGCCTTGATCTCAAACTTTCCGTACTCCAGAAGTGTGAGAAAATATATTTCTGTTTTTTATGAATTACACAGCGACAAGGAACCTGTTATAGCAGCTTGAAAGAGAACAGGAGAGACAGCTCACAATCAGTGAGGATAAGATGAGGTATATACATATCCCAGCTTTCTCATCTCTCAGGTGGAATAGCCCAGAGGAATTTAGTCCATGTTTCCACATGTGGTTGATCTTCAGTTATCCTGAGTCAGGTGGGTGGTTGATGTGTCTTTTACCATTCATCTTCTGCTCCTGCCTCACTTTCTTCCTTTCCTCCCAGTGTAAATTTGCTGCCTAAACAGGAATACTCATTGCTGGTGGACCCAAAATAAGACAGAAAAAAAAAATCATTGTACTTTTGTATGAGGGATATTTCTCATCTGAATTCTTATCACTTCTCTTTCTTTGACATCTAGGAATATTCAGAAAACACTTTTTTTTAACCAATCTATTTTAGATTGAATTTATTGATTTTTTTTCCTGTGTGTTTTGTGAACCAAAAATTAAGTTGTAAGCCACCAACGAGCTAAATGGACTCCCCTTTTGGCAGAGAGAACTTCAAAGAAATCTGAAAAACTAGGTTAGGCCATGACTGGCAGGTGGGTTTGGATGTGTCTCATTATGCTCTCTTCCCTTTGGAGTTCAGGCACAACTGACCAGCATTATCATTATAACAGAGATCTTTGGACTGAGGAAACAGATGCTTGTAGCAATAAGATACCATACTCCAACATGACAGATAATAGGCCCTGAAGAAAATCTAAAAATTTTACTCTAAAAATATTTCTTTTTCTTTTTCTTTTTTTTGTTTTTTTTTGAGATGGAGTCGCGCTCTGTGCCCAGGCTGGAGAGCAGTGGCGCAATCTTGGCTCACTGCAAGCTCCGCCTCCTGAGTTCATGCCATTCTCCTGCCTCAGCCTTCCAAGCAGCTGGAACTACAGGTGCCCACCACCATGCCCGACTAATTTTTTTTGTATTTTTAGTAGAGATGGGGTTTCACCCTGTTAGCCAGGATGGTCTCGATCTCCTGACCTCGTGATCTACCCACCTCGGCCTCCCAAAGTGCTGAGATTACAGGAGTGAGCCACCGCACCCAACCTATTTCTCTGAAATATTCTGAAGTGGCCCTGCAAAGCTGCGCGTTGTGGGAGAAATTTGCATTCTGTAGAGAATCTCCTATGCTTACTAATCATTTTCCAAAGGTCTGACTTTTTTTTTTTAAGGTCTGACAAGCAACGTCTACTTTTTCTGCTACCCATAGGATTCATCTACACGAAAAGAACCTTGGCTTATCTAAACTCAAGCACACCCCGTTATCTAAACTCAAGCATTTCTTTATGGTGAATTCAACTCTTTAGGCAGAGCTTAACTCTTTCAACCAGTTGCCAATCAGGAAAACTTTGAAGCCACCTGTGACCTGGAAGCCCCTGCTTCAAGATATCCCACCTTTCCAGTACAAACTAATGTATATCTTATATGTATTGATTTATGTCTTTGCCTGTAATTTCTGTGTCTCCCTAAAATGTATAAAACCAACGTGTAATCCAACCACCTTGGGCACATGTTTACAGGACCCCCTAAGGCTGTGTCACAGGCCATAATCCTTATCTTTGGCAAAATAAATCTATAACTTGATTGAGACCTGTCTCAGATACTGTTTTGCTTACACTGGGTCACAAAATTTAAAAATCCTCTAAAACTATCTACACATCCATAAATCTACATTAGAGGCAGTGGAGTGAGCACACTCCAACAGTCAAAACTCACAAGTTAGAGGAACCTGAGTCTAAGATTTTGTCCAGCTCTCTTGCTTCATAAAAATAATTTGTGATTTTTTTAAATTTTACTCTAGAGAAGGACAATTTTGGGGAATATGTTTATGGTCAGTGGAATGAATAATGTCCCCACCCCAAAAGATGTCCATATCCTCGTCTCTGGAACCCATGTTATACGAGTTATTAAGAAACTATTTTAGGCATATAGAGAGGAAACAGGGTCCTTGGGAAGGTTTTGTTTCTTTTAAAGCAGCTCCAGAAATGTTTCTTGTTTAGCAGGAAAGCCCTGGCTCTTAGAGCTGGTCCGGCAAGCTTTTTTTTCTTTTTTAGAGAGGGAGTCTCGCTCTGTAGCCCAGGCTGGAGTGCAGTGGCACGATCTCGGCTCACTGCAAGCTCCGCCCTCTGGTTTCCTCATGCCTCAGCCTCCCAAGTAGCTGGGACTACAGGCGCCCGCCACCACGGCCGGCTAATTTTTTGTATTTTTCAGTAGAGACGGGGTTTCACTGTGTTAGCCAGGATGGTCTCGATCTCCTCACCTCCTGATCTGCCCGCCTCGGCCTCCCAAAGTGCTGGGATTACAGGCGGCAAGCTTTGATATACAAATACTGGCCATTAGAAACTGGGTCCAGCCAAACATGGAGATTCCCACATTCTTCTTCTTTTTTTTTTTTTTTTTTGAGATGGAGTCTCGCTCTGTCGCCCAGGCTGGAGTGCAGTGGAACGATCTCGGCTGACTGCAACCTCTGCCTCCTGGGTTCAAGCGATTCTTCTGCCTCAGTCTCCTGAGTAGCTGGGATTACAGGCACATGCCACCACGCCCAGCTACTTTTTGTGTTTTTAGTAGAGACGGGGTTTCACCATATTGGCCAGGATGGTCTCCATCTCTTGACCTCATGATCCACCTTCCTTGGCCTCCCAAAGTGCTGAGATTACAGGTGTGAGCCACGGCGTCCAGCTCCCACGGTCTTCTTCCTTGCCCCGACATTTGCCTGACAACATGGCTGCCCCCACATATCCCCATGTGTGTAGAACTTTATGGCACCCTGCATTTGCATATTAAAACACTAGGGTGGGAGGGCCAGTTTTTTCTCAAGCTACATGAATGACATGCTTGGTAAAACCAATCCCCTAAGCCCTATGCAAATCAGACACCACCTCCTTCAGCCTCCTCATATAAGCAGCCACTTTTCCACCGCACATGGAGTTTTCTCTTAGTTCTAATCTCCCCTCTCTCTGTCTCTGTACGGTGGAGCTGTTTTCTTCTTCCTTCCTTCTTGCGTATTAAACTTTTCGCTCCTTAAAACAACCCCACGCATGTCCGTTTCTTTTTAAACAAACCCGCGTGAGACTAAGAACGGTGGTGGTCCTCCAGTCATCAGAGCCCTATCATAAGGATTCTACCTTACATAGCAAAAGAAGAACTTGACAGGTGTAAGTTAACGACTTTGAGAATAAGCAACCTGGTTATCCAGATGAAACCAATATAATCACAAAGGTCATTAAAATAGAGGAGGAGGCTTGCAGAGAGGAGCTGGGACAATATGGAAGGATGTGGTTTGAGGAGGGAAGGGGCCATAGAGCCAGAAATGTGGGAGCACCTGGAAGATAAAAGCAGAGGATTCAGTTCTTTCCTCTGGAGCCTCCAGAAGGAATGCAGCCCTACTGACACCTTAACATTAGCTCAGTGAGAATGCTGACCTCCAGAACTACAGGGTAATACATTTATGTTGTGTGAAGCCAATAAGACTGTGGCGATTTAAACAGCAGCATTGGAAACTAATGCAAGGGGAAGAAATGTCTTTCAGCTCACTGAGCGCGTGCTTGTCTTCTGTTCTTGGAAATATTTCCACCTTGTTTTCTGGTGTCAGTTATGACAAGAGACAGAGAAAATTTTTCCGAGAGAAGAGCTACCACGAGAATTCGTTTTTAGCTAGAAAATCTCCTGGGTAAAATCTCATGATTATCTGTTATACGATCTGGGTATCACAGAGTTTGGGGTCAGATCTCACAACATGTGATAGGAGGAAGAGGGTTTTGTTAGTTTGTTTTCATATTGCGAGGGAAAATTAGATTTTCAGGACACAATCTGAGAAGGACAGACAGAGTCAGAGATATTGTAAGAGAAAGAGGAGATGTGGAAGGAGTCAGGGCAATGAAACACGTGTCCCAGCTCCCAAATCTAAAATAAAGTCATTGATTTTACAAGGTGAAGAAAAGCTCTTCACCTTCCATCTTCTTAGGAAGGATCAAATTCTTCCCAGAGTCCCTGCCCCTCCTTCACCCCCCTGACATTGCATTGTGGAGCTAATCACATGTGCCCTTAATCCCTGCTCCTGTCCCAGGCTGGGAGAGGCTCACTGTCCTCACCATGCCCAGCAGGCTAGAGCTGGTGCCCTAAGCACCAAAGGAGAAGAGGATGATTTCTGTGCAGGCAATAAGAGCTTTACCGCATTTTACATTTCCCTAAAATTCTAAGCAAAGTTCTGTGGAGAGAAGAGAACATGGGGCAACTTTATCTGGTGGGGCTGGAAGAGACCAGGCTCTGAGAATGACAATTAATTCACATTTCTACTTTTCCAGATGCCAAATGCTAGCTTTATCAATTGTGGAAATGTGGACTTTGAGTTTAAGAACAGGTTTCAGGTACTGCAATAATTGAGGAGACATTTGGAATAGAGTCCTTAGTCTAGGGCTAAAGTCAGACTGGCAGTGCCTGAGAGCTTCCAGGCGCTGGCCCTGGGCTGTGAGGGAAGCAGCAGTTCTCCTGAGCCACAGGGCTGAGGACCTGGGAGCAACCACAGGCCTTGGCCACAGGGCTGCCTGGCAGGGGCTTGAGGGAAGGAAACTGCTCACAAATTCACAGGAGCTGCATTAAGCATATATCCCGCAGCCTGGCAAGAGTGAAAGTCTCAGAGACCCAGACCTTAGGGCTGGGGCTGGGATTCTGGGCTGGCTGCTGTCGGCTCTGCCCTCCCTTGTCCTGAATGACTGGCACCCTGCTGGAGCCAAAAATGGAGGGTCGGCCAATGTCCTCAAAGTCTTTACTCAGCCAGACCCTGTTCTGCTTGGAAAGAAAATGAACACATGGTATACAAATAAACATAAAATCATGTGTATCTGTAATAAGAATTTCTAATATAAATTTTACATATTGAATACATATATTTTAGAAATAAGTTGTACTTATACATTTGCCTATACTATGTGTCTATTTATGGATAAATATGTGGTACATGTTTATATATAAAGATATATAACTTTGGTTGCTAGTATAAGGTATAGTTTTAAACTTTAATAAAGTAAACACGAACATTGAAAATGAGCACTGGGTGCACCACTTCATGGCCCTCCTCACTCCAGGGCCTAAGGGTGATAAAGCTCAGGACCCTCTTCCATGTCCCCCGGCATGGACAGCAGTGAACTACCCATTGCTGAGGATCATGAGTGACCTGAGGGGGATCTGCAGAATCACAGAGCAGCAGATGCCCAGAAGATTGATAGTTTGGACCCTGAATGGAGGGACATTTTGATCACAGGGCTCAGCATAGACAAGTACTCTTCTGGTCATTTCTGTCAAACAAAACAGCACATGTAGCTCAGAGGCTGCATGATCACAGGATGAAGCACCTCCATGAGTCATTGCCAGCTTCCCCTCTGACTGGGGTGATGTGGGATCTCTCTGCCCCACTTTCATGGCTCACCAGCTGCTGGGACTCTGTTGACAGTGGTCTACATCTGTCCCACGCACAAACTTCTCAATAGTTGTCATTTTACTTACTGGTCTCCAATAACCACAAATTGCCAGCCATGACCCTTCCACAAAAATTGATGGAGTGGGGTTGGAACTATGGGTTCAGCAATGTGCCAGGGCATGTATATAAGAGAAACAAGGTGTGGCCAGCCCATGTCTGAAGTGAGGATGAATTTTCACCATGAATTCGGAGTAGGAGGTGGAAGAAAACATCCTGACATGCTCCAGGCAGTGATGCCCACAAGATACACTAGAAGCGCCCACAGAGGAGGTGGGAAGGGGGTGTGAGAAAAAGAGGGAGTGTGAATTTACAGGTGTCTCCAGACTGTTCACCTGAAAAGAGATCAGACCCTTAACAACACCTGGGACCCCAGGCAGAGCTGTTGCTATGGAAGATTTGTGCAGGACAGGGATAGGAGGAGGGAGCACCTACCTGTGATGGCATCTTGGTTGCTGTTGGCCAGAATGACATCTTTTCAGGCCTACTGTCCCTGACCCAGGCAGGGATCATGTCCAGGAGGGCAGCAGGAGCTCAGAGCCAGGCCCTGGTTCTGCTAGTGCCAGGCTAGGATGTTCTTCATACTCTGGCCAGCTCTACAGGTGACAGTGACCCTCTCCCCTGAGACACAAGGAGGAGGACAACGATGGCATCCACATAACATGCTCACTGTCATCCAAGTGGGGGAACAAACATGCAGATCCCCAAATATTAATACCGAGTTTGTAGTTCCTCCAACTTGGTGCAATTCTGATCAGAAGGAAAAACAGGCTAACAACTTCATCAGCAGGGAAAGTTCATGTTTAATACAAACTATCTGAGGCTGAAGCCTGAGTTTCCCTTCCTCACCAGGCAGTCAGGACAGCAGGAGCAAAAGGAGAAAAGCTGGGTCCCAAAGTCCACAAGGTGCCTCCTGAGACTGATCCTGCTTAGAGAAGGTGGTGACAGTGGATGAGTCTTCTGGGACTCCCACACCAACATACCCTGAGCTGGATGGCTTGAGCCATAGACATTTATTGCTAATTTATTAAACGTTTATTGTGAATGTATTAGAACCCTGGAAAGTTCAAGATCAAAGTCCAGAAGGATTTGCTTTCTGGTGAGAACCCTGCTTCTTGTTTTCAGATGTCACCCCTGGATACATCCTCACGTGTGTTCAGCAATGTGCCGGGCATGTGTAAGTAGGAGAAGCAAGTACATGCTTTCTTCAGTGCATGCTTGGAGGCTGGTGAGGGGTTAAGGAACAGATCGATGATGTTTATTTTTACTAGGACACAAATCCTATTAAATCAGAGCCCCAAGGTTTTCACTTCATTTCACCCTAATTACCCCTTCATAACCTCTATGTCTAAATACAGTAATTTTGCAGGTTGGAGATTCAAAATATGAATTTGTGAAACACAATTCAGTTCATAGCAGGTGTGCTTTGAGGACATGCCCAAGGCAGTAGGAAGGGCAAGGCGAGGCTTCCAGTCTCAGAGCACAGAAGGCGTTTTCCCACCACTCAGCACACTGGCAGCTCCTCTTAGGTGATCCAGGTCACACATGAGACGCCATTCCCGCCTTGGGGGCTGCCTGCTGATAATGGAACAATATCACCCTTAATTTTCACTATTTCTAAGATCAGACTTCTATTTTATGTTTATTATGGAGTTTGTCCAATGGCCAGGTTTGTAACATAACCTCCAATGTTTGGTTTGTGACATAACATCTTATAGAATTTTAGATGCTGGTTTCCAGTGAGACTTGATGGAGTTTTTTCATGGGTTTTCATGGAGTTGATCTTATTACATCCACCATTATGCTGCATTCTGTAGGGAACACAAAATGATTCCTCTCCTCAATAAACCAGTCACCTAGTTGAAGATAAAGGGTGTTCAGAAAAGATGGTCACAAAACAATTAGGGGCTAGATTCTGTGATCCATGTGAGATGCCAATGATGTGATTCTGGAAAGCAGAAGGTGAGGTTGTGAGATACCCTGCAGCACATAATGCCCAAGGCTAGGGTGGCGAGTAGAGGGCCCCTGGTCTGGATCTGTCTACCCAGCTTCATTCCTCCCATTCGTGAAACAGTGGCTGCACCAGCCAGGAAGCATCTGAGACCACCTGATTCTCTGGAATAATAGCTGCTGAGGTTTGTGCTGTGAGCTATAACACTGTGAGTCTCTAACTGTAACCATTTAGATTAGCACTAATGAAAATAATTTTTAAGATGGTGAAAATGTCTATATCTATGCTTTGCAAGTGTAGCCGTTATATGTCATATGTGACTCCTGAACACTTGAAATGTAGTGAAAACAACTAAGGAACTATATTGTTAATTTTAATTAATTCCAATATACATGTTTGTGGCTGGGTACTGCTAATGTTGGCCATGTGAGTCAGGGAAGTTTTAGATGGTAATAAACAGCAATGTCATCAGGACAACCAATCTGCTAAATGTTAAGCAAAGATGATCCCAGGACCATTGCACCAAGCTGGAGTGGACAAGGTGGAAAGAGCACGTAGGTGGATCTTTGGAACCCAGATTCTGCTTCCTCCAGGTGAATGATGTAAACTCTCTGTCTTGAAGACACTGACATTGAAGCTAGCGACTGGGGAGCTGAGTGTTTCTCCTGGAAGCTGCAGTGGAAACAGAACATAGATCTTCCTTAGTATTACTCATGTCCCTCTCCATAGGCTTCCCAGCAGAGAGGTGCTGTCTGATCAAGTGGGAGGTGAATGCTGTGCTCCCTAATCAATAGTCTTTCTCAGTCCCATGGGACATATGAACCCTGTCACATGCAGCCCACGCAGTTGAAGCCAGAGCCCCATGTCCAGTGTCCAGTGTTGCCTCTGCCTTCGGTGATCCCACCCTACAGGACCCAGTGATGAAGGCTTGAGTGGCAGGGAAGAGCTTTGGGGAGCCTGCCAACTAGCAATAAGGGTGCAGACTTGGGCTTCCAGCTTCTGAGCAAGGGAACATTGTATGTCCTAGGTGTGATCCAGGTCAAGGTGTTTGATAAAAGATATTACAATAAATTATTTTCTTAAGAAAATAAAAACACAGAAGGCATCTGATTATTATAGGACTGTTTGGGTTTTATACCACTAAAGTGGTAAAAATAAATTTTTCAATGCGCAGTGGTTTATCAGGAATCTCCCAGCCCCTGCCCTTCCCGTGATGATTCTGTAGTCTTTGCAGGTTGTATGGTCACTTGGTGGCCTCCTTACCGATCAGATGCATCTACAGCACAACCCTAAGATCTTCCCCGATTAACATAGATGAGCAACTTCAACCTCCAGATACCACATACCATTGGCTGATTTTTATGCAATTTATCAACACTGAAAGTATTCTATTCCATTTCATTATGTAGTTATTATTCTGTGCATGGCTCATTCCCCTACTGAGTATCAGTATTTGCGATCAAAAATTGTTTTATTTACTTACATGCACTAAACCTTAAATGATAGCATTTATTAGTTCTGAAAACTCTGACATTAAGTTAAAATCCCTTAAAAGCAACTATATGCTTCTTTTTTTAATTAGAATAAATATGGTGCAATCACCTCAACTAAGGATACTAAACTACTTTTACAGTTGAAAATGATTAATTGGACATGGGGAAACATATTGACAAAAGTAACAAGCATTATTATGATGTTGAATAAACACAGTTTGCATGTAAAGTGTACAGTTATGATTAATTGTATTAAAACACAGGAGGAAGAAAGGTGGGGATTGCTGGATTGGTTGGTGATTCAGTCCTTAGAAGCAAGGGGGAGCTGATGAGTGATCTCAGGCAGGCATCCAATATAAGGTCCAAATATGATTAATTACAATGTTCTTTTCCTTAAGGTTTGATATTTTAAGCTGGTCCTGCTGGGGAAGTTTTGAGCACATTCATGGAATATGTGGAATAAAGATTAAAAACAGTATATTTCAAAATACTCTTAAAAAGCTCAGAAACACCCAAAGAAAACTATTTTATAAAATATCATGCCTTCCTCGCCCATTCTTGATATTTGTGTTTAACCAAGCATGACTCACAATTCAACTTTTCTCCACATTGTTGCCTAGAGTGTTGAAGAAATTCCTCTAATAGGACAGAAATGGAGTCAATCTTGCAATATCTGGCCAATCGTGTTCTGGCCAGTCTTGCTTTATCTCAGAATGTTACATTTCCAGAAACTTCTACAGTTATTCCTGAAAACTACAAGCAAGAAAGGGAAGGAGACTGGGATCATTCAAGGCAAAATGGAACCTGTTCTGCAAATACTGTAGTGAAATCATAACTCAGTAATCGTTTTGTGACTGGCTTATTTCACTTAGTGTAATGTCCTCTAGTTTCATCCAAGTTGTAGCATGTGTCAGAATTTCCCTTTTTAAAGCTAATTTTGCCTTTTTAAAGCTACAATATGCTACTGTATGTATATACCACATTTGGATTACCAGTTCCCTCCTTTGTGAACATTTGAGTTGCTTCTACCTTTTGGCTATTGTGAATAATTCGGTTCTGAATGTGGATATACAAATATATCCTCAAGTTAATGTCTTCAGTTACTTGGGTATATGTCCAAAAGTGGAATTGCTGAATTATATAGTATTTCTATTTTTAATTCTTCGAGGAATTGCCATCTGGTTTCCCACAGCAGGTGGGCCATTTACATCACCACGACAGTGTCCACAGGAGTTCCAGTTCCCTAAGTTCTCACCAAGACTGGTCATTTTCTGTTGGAAAAAAAATCCTAATAGGTGTGAGGTGGGTTTTGTTTTTATTTTTCTAAGGATTAATAATGTTGACCATGTTTTCCTATGCTAGTTTTCTAATTATCTCTATAGAATCTTCTTTAGAGAAATGTCGATTCATGTACTTTCCTCATTTTTAATCAGGTATTTTATTTTAAGGTTCACATATAAGACTTATTTTTGTATAGTAGATATTATTAACCCCTTATCAAATATAAGATTTACAAATGTTTTCTTCTATTCCACATGTTGCATTTTCACTGTGTTGATTATGTCTTTTGATGCCCATTTTACATTTTTATGAAGTCCAATTTATCTTCTTTTCTACTTTTGCCTGTATTTTGGTATTAAAGTTGTTAGTATTTAAATGTCTATAAATACTGACTTACTATGCTGAGAAGGTCACACTGCACCATCTCTCTGATGGTGGAGCTAAGAGTTTTACACTCTCCCATTTTGTACCGGGGGACAGTGCAGCTATGTGAGAACCCAGTGGCTTTACCCAGCTTATTTGTCTTGCATTTTTGGTGACATGGATTGTTATTCACATTGGCTTCCTCTGGCAGGTCCACCTGGAAAGCATTATATTTAGCAAGAAAAAAGGAGGCAGTGAATGATGTCACTGTGGACTGTGTATATTCCCTGTTGCAAATGTCAAATTCGTGAAGCATAAAGGGATTTACTAGAGGATATTAAATTCCTTGCAAATTGTTGAAAAGCCTTAAGGAACAGGCTCCAGGCAAAGCCTCTAGAACAATTCCAAGAATGGCACTGCTGGCACAGGCTGGGGAGGAGCTCCTCCTGCCTGAGACTCCACAACATTCAAGCTGTCTCCTGCAGAAAAGAGAGCAGCTCTTCTCACTACTGCCCCCAGAAGGACAGCCGCTCTGCTATCAACTACGAGAGATCTGACCCCTTTCTCTGACTGCCCATCAGATGTGTTACTACAGAGTGCTTTTGGATTGAGATGAGGGAGGGAAAATGCCTGATCTCACTCAAATGTGCTCATTTTCCTGGTCTGGGTCTCAGCCAGGCAGCACAGTCCTGTGGGCACAGTATCTTCACTTGCCAGGTTCCTATAAAATGAGAGTATCTTTCTTGACTGTGGAAAATATGGGGATGGTAAGGGTCAAGGAATAGGAAAAGGAGTACTTGGAGTTGCCTGAGCTGCCACTCTGGTTTCCCCAAATGTTTTCAATCCATTAAATTCATGATAATAAACACCTTTCTGCCTAACCAGCCATAATCGCTTTTCTTAGATCCAAATGATTCTGTGATAAAACTAAAGAGAAAAAATAAATACACTTTTCAACGTTTAAGCTGACCAGGAGGCTGTCTCTGGTGTTTACATGTCCATATCCCACTATGCATTTCGTCTTCCCTTTGCCTCACTGGAGATCCAAGTGCAGGGAATGCTTCATATGACTGTGATCCCTAGAACTTCATCCTCATGACTGTTGAAATCTTCTCTGAGTTTTACCAGTGGAAATGGCAATAAATAGAAAGATTCCAGAAGGTCCCCTAGGGTCCATATTTTCTGTACTTCCTCTCTAAAATATGTAAAATCAATTATATTTGCTCTTGCTTTATATGGGCTACATCTGTGTCCCCAGCACACACCCTAACGCCCTGCGTTGACAACTTATCCAGTATTGTATTAAGTCTAAATAGGCACATGTTTATCATATTATTTCTTCCAATTTAATGAGATAATTGTCATGTCAAATCTTTGGATTAAGAACCATCAGCCAGAAAACCACAGCCCTGAGAAAATAGAAATAGAGTATTTCAAGCTGTTCAGTTTGCACAACAATGATGATTCTATAGCTCATTTACAAGATATAAATATTCTGTTTATGGGAGTAAGAGCAACATTCACGGTGAGTGTTGTAGACCCTCCGCCACATCTGACAGCATAGCAATTCAATAGCACAAGGGTTTGTGTGCCAGCAGTGCTTGACTAATAATGGGTTTTTTTTCTATAGGGAAAGCTGCACCTGTGCACATGACAGGATCATGAGCTACACTTTACTTCACTTTTTTTGAAGTCAATTACCTTCTTGATCCAAAGCCACAGTATGGAAGAACTTCCTGACTCTGATGAAGGCATTTGGAAAATCCTCAAATAATATTTTATGCAGTAACATAACCAAAGACAAAGGAAAATTCATATATAGGATAATAACCACTGCTCTCCTCATGTTACATGAAGTGCACTTGAATCACCTGACATCAGCTGTTAGTATGAGCCCTGATGTGTGGTAGAATGTTAGGGGCTCAGGAAGGGTCAATTTTCTTGGCAAATTAGTGTTCAAGAGAGCCAGTAGCCCTGTACATCTCAGTTAGTTGAAACTCATATTATTGAGTCCCCACAGGGACCTCCGTAACAGTGGTTCATGAGGTTACCTGGGAAAGTGGGCAAAGGTGACTGACTGAAGTCCATGTGTTCAATCATCCTCATTATGAAAAGCCCCCTGCTCATTAATGGCATTTGGATTAATATTCACTGAGAAAGCATGTTTTTCGATTATGGCTCATTTTTGAAACATCTAGTCATAGCTCTTCCAAAATGACTTTGTCTGCAATCATCCTGTTGTGTTTCTTTTAAGGCCTGATGATCTGTCAAAACCAACAACCAATATTATTAAATTGCTGTTCTCTTTGCAATGTGGCAATGTGATCATCAGATGTAGGCCTTGCAGTTTACCCACGGTTAGGATTTTTACATTTCCAGGGATTCCTTGACAATGGCACTAATGTGACGCCATCTAGCATCCATTGTTGTGAGAACTCTATTTGGAATATCATCATTGTGGGCATGAACATAATGGAGACTTTCATAGGATGCAATGATTAATATTCAACATTAGTCAAAATCTGCTGTAGTCCTACCCTTGGAGATCTACTGGTTTGGAAAAATATTTTAGGTAAGGACAACAATTTGGTAAAGTTTTAAAAATAAAGGCTAAAAAGAAATTTTCTTTAGCAAGAGTATGAACTATCTGTGGTCCAGAATACCATTTTTTTACAGATGCAAGAAAAAATTATTTAAATGTATATAATTTAGATAATAATTTTGTAAATTTGTATATATTGCATATATAATAGAATAAACATAATTAAATATGAATACTATATATACTTATAGCCAACATTTTATCAAATAAATATATATTAACTTCTATGTATCTTATATATATGCACATTTTTCCATAAATAAGGTAAATTTTAATTTTTTAATGAAATACTAATTAGTTTTAATTTCATCTTTAATTTTCTCTTAATAACTTCATAATTTGATTACTTAATGTTCACATTTATACCACCAATTTAAGAAAAAACACATGTATCTATATATAGGCAGAGGTGTAAATACTGTATCAGTAAGCTTTTATGCATTAATGATTGATAATCGGTTAAATATACAACTCAGTGGCTGATAACTGTAAATATTTGTTTTCATCTTCATGGATGCTCATGTTCACAATCATCTGGCTGATTAAGGAAGGGCTCAGCTGATTGATTCCTCCGCAGGGCACTGAGCTTGTCTTTAGCCTACAGATACCAATTTTCTGAGGACGAGGCTGAACAGCAGTGACTACACGTGACACAAGATTCTTGTGACAGGTCACAGGAGTGAACAACATCCCAAACCGAACTGCACAGTTGAATTTAAGTCCAATAATTTCTAACATAGCTTCACACATTTTAAATATATTTTTTGATTTCAGTGAGTACAAATTTTCAAGAAAATGTTTACTCCAATTAATTATAGAGGTGTTTGATCATTCCATGGACAAGTAATTATGTTTTCAACCTTTACAATCCTGAAAATATTTGCAAACGTAAATTTGCATTAATAAGAAAATAAAGCTGGATGTGTTTTCAACATGTGCTTTTAAATATAATTTTTGAAATGACCTCAAAGGGGGAAAATCATTTTAACTTATGTAACTATCCCTTTTTACCTCTCTTGTGTCCTATAGAGTTGCCCAATAAGAGGTCCTCCCATGAGATTTGGAATCAGAAAAGGATGACTCAATATTCTCCATTGGTACCTAAGGCAGACACAGGAACAGAGGTGAGGACTAGAGAAACACCTGAAAAGATGCTGTAGGAAGCTGAGAGCATCAGCACCCCCACCCCTAAGCTTCCAGACAGGACTGAGGACCACATGGTTAGAAAGCCCTTACTTCAGGGACAGATGCATTCTGTTTTCTGAGGGAGCACCAGAGATTCCTGCTTCTAATATCAGCTTTCCTGACTACTATATCCTTGGCTTTGAAAGGTCATAGTGGGAAAGTTAATCATAGGAATTCGGTCATTCTTGTGATACCCGACAGAGCCAAGAAACCAGGAGGGAAAGGCACTCAGGGTGAAAAATACTGTTTCTAGAATGCAATTGAAATAGGCCCTATTATCCCATGGAACTAAAGTTTATGGTTTTTTGAATAAACAGAAATCGACTCCTCCAGTCTTAAAACTCAAGATAGCAACATTTATCTTACCTTTCTTTTTTTTTTTTTTTTTTTTTTAAATTTCAGGAAAGCAACCATCAGGCCTCCCAGATACTATCAATTTGCTGAAACTTATATATCACTGAATCGGGACAGTGAGACATCAGACCCTTCACCCATTATGATTGCCTAACTGACCTCCTGCTTCCTGTTGACCCAATTATCTTTCTTAACCCTCCCTAACTCCTGTTTTTCCACATTTCTTCCTTGTTATATAAACCCCTAATTTCAGTTGGTCAGAGAGATACATTTGAGAATGGCATCCCATCTCCTCAGCTGCAGCACCTGATTAAAGCCTGTTCCTTGAAAATACTTGTCTTAGTGATTGGCTTTCTGTGTGACGAGCTGCAGGATCTACACCGAATCCCTGGCATTTCAGTAACAAAATTCTCTGCAAGCTTCACCGTTTTGGTTTATTGTAACCTGAAATCAAATTTATCCAAAACTTCTGAGATAACTTGATATAATTCTAGGATTCACTTTGTCCACCACTGCTTACCAGTCTGAGCTTGCCAGCTCCCAACCCTTCCTAGTGCCAATGAGCTTTCTCAAAAGAGCCATAGGTAACATTTTCCCTTTTTCATAAAATGCTAAATTTCTCTTTGTTCTTCCAACATATTGAAGACCACTGAGTTTTCCTGTATGCCCCATTTGGCAAATATTTCTTTGCAAATAAAACATTAAATTTAGAGATTCATCTCTACATTTTATTTAGACTTCAGTAGTTTACTCTAATTCTCTGTATTAAGACTATATCTGCTTCAAATATCTATAGTGGCTTCTTCTCTGTTATACGAATTCCAACTGAAGCCATAAACTAGACTCTTCAGGTGTCATGATCTCTGTCTTTATTAAATCAAGAGAGGCATTGCTAGAACTGTGCAGTTGGGGCTGAGAAAGAGAAAAGAATTAGGGTGCAGAGGTGACTTCGTGTCCCCCTCTACCAACACCATCAGAGTGTGGCTGCATCTGAGGAACAATCTCAGCCAATGGAGGCATCAGGAGGAGCAGCTGGGGCAGCCCAGTCTCACACATCTGCTTCCCTGGGGGTTTCTGTTCGGGTGTGTAACACTGTGGGAGGGTAATTGTAATCTTGTAGACAGTAATAAGTTGCAAAATCTTCAGGCTGCAGGCTGCTGATGGTGAGAGTGAAATCTGTGCCAGATCCACTGCCGCTGAACCTTGATGGGACCCCACTTTGTAAACTGGATGCAGCATAGATCAGGAGCTTAGGGGCTTTCCCTGGTTTCTGCTGATACCAGCCTAAATCATTTCTAATGCCCTGACTTGCCCGGCAAGTGATGGTGACTCTGTCTCCAACAGATGCAGACAGGGAGGATGGAGACTGGGTCATCTGGATGGCACATCTGGCACCTGAGATTGGAAACACAAAAACAAATGGTCCACACAATTAATCATGTAGTAAGAGAATTTCCCTGAATAGCCAGGCTGTGCTGAGCACCCTGGGCTGAGTAAACTGCCAGTGTTCTCCATCCTTACCTGGGAGCCAGAGCAGCAGGAGCCCCAGGAGCTGAGCGGGGACCCTCATGTCCATGCTGTGTCCTGAGTGGGTCTGACTCCTGCACAGGGTGTGATCAGCCTGTTAATAAGTCTTCAGGTCAGGAGACTGTGCTCTGGGAACATGCAAATGAGCAGGGGAAGGGGCAGGCTGGGCACAGCTGCAGGGCTGGCTCATCTCAGTAACTCAGCACCGGCTCAGTGTCCCCAGGTGTCCCAGGTAAGACCAGGGTAGCACAAATTTGTCTGCAGAGAATGTGTTTCTACTGGGGACTATTTTGTTATGAGAAACATTTTAAAGATATTTTTTGACAATATTCCTCGAGAGTCAATGGGGTAATATATTTCATTGGTGTATGGGGATTATTTTGGAGAATATTCTTGTTTGTAGGAAACACAGTACATATTAGATGGTACGATTCTCAGGTCTTCAAAAGACTGTTATAAGATTCCATTTAGGGAAGGGGGTAATTGTGCTATACTTGAAACATTTCTGTGAGTTTAACATTGTTCCTTTCTAAAAAATTAAAAATAAAATTTATTGACATGATGCTATATATATTTGTAAGTATTAGGTAATGGTGTTATGCCATTGTTCTTACCAGTATAAGATCAAACAATTTACTACAGATACACAAAGATGATGCCGTGCTTCTTCAATGCATGTGGCACTAACAGCCCCACCATTATCAAGAGCTACAGGTCTTTTTAATACCCAGAGACTAAATGGGCTGCACCTGTGTAGAATTTTTGCATCCCTAACTTAAGTACTAATAGATTGCTTTTGATTGGAAGCCTTAGCAATAAAATAAATAGTTGATTAACATGTTTTTTAATGTTATATATATTATATACTCTATTATTCCAATAAAGTATGCTAAAGAAAAAAATGTTATTAAGGAAACCATAAAATAGAGAAAATATATTTACTACTTATTAAGCATTTGCTTACAGGTGACACACACAGAACAAAATATAAGTGTATCTGCAAATTTCAAACCCAAGTTATTCAAGGGTTAACTGTACCATGATGAACGTAGCAGTCCCCATCTGTAATCTAGGGCTTTCCCCTTTGCTGTACCTCTACTCATTTCCAATGACCATATATATGTCTTATGTTCTTTATGATCTTGGGCAGAGAACTCTGCCTGGATGCATTGCTGGCCAGATGGCCTGGAATGTGTATCTCTTAGGAAAGTGCTATGGTTTGACTGTGTCCTCCAGAATCCATCTATTGTAAAGTTAATTCTCAGTGTAATGGTTTTTGCCAGGTGGGGCCTATTGGGATGTGTTTAGGTCATGAGGCTGGAGCCCTCTAGCGGAATACATTAATGCCACTATAAACAGGAATTACAGGGCTGAGATCTCTCTCCTGCTCCTCTGACATGTTAAGACATGGCCTTCCTTCCTTTGAAGAACTCAACGCTCCAGGCATCATCTTGAAAGCGGAGAAAGCAGACCATGTGGTTGATCTTCAGTTATCCTGAGTCAGGTAGGTTGTTGATGTGTCTTTTACCATTCATTTTCTGTTCCCTCCCTCACTTTCCTCCTTTCCTCCCAGTATAAATTTGCTACCTAACAGGAATCCTTATTGCTGGTGGATCCAAACTGAGAGAGTAAAAAAGAAAAGTCATTAATCTTTTGTATGAGGGGTATTTCTCATCTGAAATCTTACCATTTCTCTTTCTTTGATATGTACAAATATTCAGGAAGCACCTAATTTTTTTTTTTTTACCAATGTATCTTAGATTGAATTTACGCTGTGATTTTTTTTCTGTGTGTTAAAACAAAAAATCAAGTTGTAAGCCACCAACCTACTCAATGGGCTTCTCTTTTGGCAGAGAGAACGTCAAAGAAATCTGAAAAACTAGGTTAGGCCATGACTGGCAGGTGGGTTTAGATGTAACTCATTATACTCTCCTCCCTTTGGAGTTCAGACAAAACTGACCAGTGTTATCATTACAACAGAGATCTTTAGACTGACAAATCAAATGCTTTGTAGCAATAAGATACCATACTCCAACATGACAGATAATAGGCCCTGAAGAAAATCTAAATATTGTACCCTAAAAATATTTTTTTTGATGTATTCTGAAGTGGCCCTGCAAAGCTGCCTGTTATGGGGGAAATTTGCATTCTGCAGAGCATCTCCTCCTCTTACTATGTCTTTTCCAAAGAGTTGGACATTTCTTTAAAGGTCTGATAAGCAACATTCACCATCTACTTTACTGTTACCTGCAAGGTTCATCTAAGTGACAAGAACCTTGACTTCCACACCCCCTTATCTAAACTCAAGGATTTCTTTATGATGAATTCAACTCTTTAGGCAGAGCTTAACTCTTTCAACCAGTTGCCAATCAGGAAAACTTTGAAGCCACCTGTGACCTGGAAGCCCCTGCTTCAAGATATCCCACCTTTCCAGGACAAACTAATGTATATCTTATATGTACTGACTTAGGTCTTTCCCTGTAATTTTTGTGTCTCCCTAAAATGTATAAAACCAACGTGTAATCCAGCCACCTTGGGCACATATTTGCAGGGCCTCCTAAAGCTGTGTCACAGGCCATAAGCCTTATCTTTGGCAAAATAAACCTATACATTGATTGAGACCTGTCTCAGATACTGTTTTGTTTACACTGGGTCACAAAAGTTAAAAATCCTCTAAAACTCTCTACACATCTATAAATCTACATTAGAGACAGTGGAGTGAGTATACCTCAACTCAAGTCATACTTTGAGTTTAAGAACCAGACAGATTTTCAGGTACTTCGATAAATGAGGAGACATTTGGAATAGGGTCCTTAGCCCAGAGCTAAGGTCAGGCTGGCAGTGCCTGAGCGCTTCCAGGCCCTGGCCCTGGTCTGTGGAGGAAGCCACTGTTCTCCTGAGCCACAGGGCTGAGAACCTGGGATGAGCCACAGGCCTTGGCCGCAGGGCTGCCTGGCAGGGTCTTCAGGGAGGGAAACTGCTCACAAATTCGCGGGAGCTGCATTAAGCATATATCCCCCCAGCCTGGCAAGAGTGAAAGTCTCAGGACACAGACCTTAGGGCTGGGGCTGGGATCCTGGGCTGGCTGCTGTCAGCTGTGTCCTCCCTTGTCCTGAATGACTGGGACCCTGCTGGAGCCAAAGAGGGAGGGTCAGCAAATGTCCTCAAGGTCTTCACTCAGCCAGACTCTGTTCTGCTTGGAAAGAAAAGGAACACATGCTACAAAAATAAACATAAAATTATGTGTATTTGTAATATGAATTTCTAGTATAAACTTTACATATTAAATACATACATTTTAGAAATAAGTTATATTTATATATTTGTATATACTATGTATCTGTGGATAAATATGTGATGCATGTTTATGTATAAAGAGATGCAAGTTTCATTGCTAGTATAAGGTATAGTTTTAAACTTTAATAAATTGAACGTGAACATTGAAAACAAGCACTGGGTGCACCACCTCATGGCCCCTCCTCACTCCAGGGCCTGAGGGTCATAAAGCTCGGGACTCTCTTCCATGTGCCCCCTGGGCCGATAGCAGTGAGCTACCCATTGCTGAGGATCATGAGTGACCTGAGGGGGATCTGCAGAATCACAGGGCAGCAGATGCCCAGGAGATGGATAGTGAATTTGGACCCTGAATGGAGGGACGTTTTGTCCACAGGGCTCAGCACAGACAAGTCCTTTTCTGGTCATTTCTGTCAAGCAAAGCAGCACACATGGCTCAGAGGCTGCATGGTCAGAGGAATAAGCCCCTCCATGGCTCATTCCCAGCTTCCCCTCTGACTGGGGTGATGTGGGATCTCTCTGCCCAGCTTTCATGACTGACCAGCTGCTGGGACCCTGTTAACAATGGCCTATGTCAGTGCCATGCACAAGCTTCTTGATAGTTACCATTTTACTTTCTGGTCTCCAATAACCACAAATTGCCAACCATGACCGTTTCACAAAGATTCATGGAGAGGGGTCAGAATTATGGGTTGAGCAACGTGCCGGGGCATGTATGTAAGAGAAACAAGGTGTGGCCAGCCCATGTGGAAGTGAGGATGAATTTTCATCATGAATTCAGAGAAGGAGGTGGGAGAAAGCATCTGACATGCTTCAGGCAGTGATGGCCACAAGATACATTAGAGATGTTCATAGAAGAGGTGGCAAGTGGGTTTGAGATGAAAAGGGAATGTGAATTCAGAGGTGTCCCCCAGCCTGTTCCCCTGAGAAGATTTCAGACCCTTAGCAACCCCTGGGCCCCCAGGTAGAGCTGTTGCTAGGGAAGATTTGTACATGATAGGGGACAGGAAGAGGGATCACCTACCTCTGAAGGCATCTTGGTTGGTAGTGGCCAGAGTGACATCTGTTCAGGCCCATTATTATCCCTGACCCAGGCAGGGATCATGTCCAGGAGGGCAGTAGGAGCCAGCAGGAGCTCAGAGCCATGCCCCAGTTCTGCTGGTGCCAGGCTAGGATGTTCTTCATACTCTGGCCAGCCCTGCAGGTGACAGTGACCCTCTAACCTGAGAGACAAGGAAGAGGATGAAGATGGCATCCACATAACATGCTCACTGTCATCCAAGTGGGGGAACAAGCATGCAGATTCCCAAATATTAATACCAAGCTTTTATTTCATCCAACTTGATGAAATTCTGATCAGAAGGAGAAACAGTCTAACAAATTCATCATCAAGGAAAGTTCATGTTTAATACAAACTATCTGAGGCTGAAACCTGACTTCCCCTTCCTCACCAGGCAGTCAGGACAGCAGGAGCAAAAGGAGAAAAGCTGGGTCCCAAAGTCCACAAGGTGACTCCTGGGGCTGATCCTGCTCAGAGAACGTGGCAACAGTGGATAAGTCTGCCGAGAATGCCACACCATCATACTCTGAGCTGGAGGGCTTCAACCACAGACATTTATTGCTAATTTATTAGACATTTATTGCGAATATATTAGAACCATGGAAGGTTCAAGATCAAAGTCCAGAAGGATTTGCTTTCTGGTGAGAACCCTGTTTGTTTCCAGATGTCCTCTCTGGATACATCCTCATGTGTGTTCAGCAATGTGCCAGGCATGTGTAAGAGAAGCAAGTGCATGCTTTACTCAGTACACGCTTGGAGGCTGGTGAGGGGTTCAGTAACAGCTCAATGATATTTCTTTTTATTAGGACACAAATCCTATTAAATCAGAACCCCGATGTTTTCACCTCATTTCACCCTAATTACCTCTTCATAACCTCTATGTCTAAATGCAGTAATATTGGAGGTTGGAGATTCAAAATATGAATTTGTGAAACACCATTCAGTTCATAGCAGGTGCACTTTGAGGATATGGCCAAGGCAGTAGGAAGGGCAAGGCAAGGCTTCCAGTCTCAGAGCACAGAGGGCATTTTCCCACCACTCAGCACACTGGCAGCTCCTCCCAGGTGATCCAGGTCACACATGAGACCCCATTCCTGCCTTGGGGGCTGCCTGCTGATAATGAAACAACATCACCCTTAATTTCACTATTTCTAAGATCAGGCTTCTATTTTGTGTTTATTATGGGGTTTGTCCAATGGCCAGGTTTGTGACATACCACCCAATGGCAGGTTTGTGACATAACATCTTATAGAATTTTAGATGCTGGTTTCCAGTGAGACTTGATGGAGTTTTTTCATGGGTTTTCATGGAGTTGATCTTATTACATCCATCAATAGGCTGCATTCTGTAGGGAATACAAAACGATTCCTCTCCTCAATAAACCAGTCACCTAGTTGAAGATAAAGAGTTGAGAAAAGATGGTCACAAAACAATCAGGTGTTAAATTCTGTGATCCATGTGAGATGCCAACAATGTGGTTCTGGGAAAGAGAGAGTGAGGTTGTGAGGGGCCCTGCAGAGCACAATGTCCAGGGCTAGGGTCGGGAGTAGAGGGCCCCTGGTCTGGATCTGTCTACTCAGCTTCATTCCTCCCATTGTTGAAACAGTGGCTGCACCAGCCAGCAAGCATCTGAGACCACCTGATTCTCTGGACTAACAGCTGCTGAGGTTTGTGCTCTGAGCTATAACACTGTGAGGGTCTAACTGTAACCATTTAGATCAGCACTAATGAAAATAATTTTTTAATATGGTGAAAATGTCTGCAAATTTCTAACAGAAAAATTGATGAAAAGATGGTTTTAATTAGGCCCCCACAGCAGTCTCTGCCTGGGACCTGACTTTGTCTTTGAGCCAGTGGAATCTATGCTGAGATTGTAAGCTGGGCAGGGAAATCACAGCAGGGCAGGCTGTGCTCTGGGTGCTGAGGAGGACAGGAGGACACTCCTTCAGGGTTAGTGATGCTGGGAGTTCGAGGGGAGAGACTGCATGGAGCTGCCTGTGAATCGCCCTAGCAATGCCCTCTGGACACTGCTCATCTCACAAGTGTACTCGGATGCCAGTGGATGGCCCAAACATGGGCTCAGGTTGGACAAGGACAAAGATTTAGGGATGAATATATGGGGCTCATTTGATACTCTGAAGTTTCAGCACAAGCATAACGAATTATATGGGGAGAGAAAGAAGTCACAAGGTTGTGATTTTTCATTTGGTATTAAAATATATCCCCTCTGCTCATTTTTCCCTGCAGAATGTAACTACTGATACATATTTAAGCAAAGTCACTGTTTTTAATTGTTTTAGTAACTGACAGCCTGTGTGCACAGTTCCTAAGTAACTGGGTAGCCAGACCATCATTCCTATGGTAAAGCCAGGAAGTGACTGTGGATGTGAACAAATGTGAGTTTAATGTACATGTCTCCAAAGCCACGGGCCACTGATCTAGGGAGAACCTGCAGTCAGTTTGCTTTCCCATGCCCAGATGAGAGGACACCTTGATCTGTGTTCTTCTGATGAACTCTAAAAACTCTAAAAACTGATGAACTCTAAAAACTAATATTCTGAAGGTCTAGTTCATACTTCTTTTCTTTGCTAGAGGGACTCTCTCACTCACATGTATTGTACTCTCTGCATAGAACAGTATGTGATACATACAACTTGTTTTCTGCTAAATACCCATCAATCATGTCATTCATGAGTCTTCCATAGATGTTACCTGCCCTATGAATCTGGGCTCTTCCAAAAGAATGGGCCAGAGGTGGAGCTGTGCTTTCACATTCTCTTGTGCTTCCCTCGTGGACAACCTTTGCTAGTTGTCACCCTTCCCACCCAGCAAAAGTAACTGTCTTTCTGACATCTACACAATCATTTAGGTTTTCCTGTCTTAAACTTCATATAAATAGCATTATGTGTATTTTTATCTTTTTAGTCTTGGTATTATTCCTTACTACTTTTGAGGCCTTCATTTCTTCCAGTGGACTCAAGGTCCTGTCTGATGTCATTTCCTGTGATTCTGAAGGATTTTCTCTCAAATGTTTTATAAGACATAGCTGCTATGAATGAATGTATTTTGTTTACCAAAATTTTTTTTTTTGCCTTTTTGTTAGATTTGAAGGATATTTTCACTGGATAGATTTCCTGGCTGCCTTCTTTTTTTTCCTTTTCAGCATTTAAATATGTCATTTTACTGCTTCTAGCCTCTATTGGTCCCGATGAAAACTTAGCCAATGGCTACGTTGTTGTGTCTCTGTATATAGTGTCTGCTTTTATTCTGATGCAATGAAGATTTTTTCTTTGTCTTTCAACATTTTAATATAGTGTGTTCACTTATTAATTTCTATTGACTATCTAAAAGGGTTTTATTGAATTATTTCATCTAAGAATATTTTTTATTACTTTTGAAAAGTTTTTGTCATTGTATCTCCAAATATTTTTTCAGCCACTTTCTCTGTCTCTCCTTCTTTGTGACTCTCATTATACATTTGTTGGTATCCTTCACTCTGAGCTATAAATCTCTGACATTTCTTCCTTTTTTTCTAAACATTTTCTTTAGGCTCAAACATTTCCATTCCTCTATTTTCAAGTTAACTGATTGTTCTGTCATCTCAATTTGCTATTAGACCTAGCTAATAAATATTTAAATTGTATTATGGTACTTTTCATTTCTAGAGTTCCCATTTGGTCATTTTTTATACTTTCCATTTCTTTTCTTGAGGTCCTACTTGCTGAATCTTCTTTTTAAAAATATTTTCGTTTTTATGTCAATGATCATAGTTTTAAAAATAATTATTTGAACATCTGCATATTAACTGCTTTGTAGTCTTTGCTAAAGCCAATAATGAGGACAAGTTAGAATCAGCTTTCATTGGCTATTTTCTGTTGTCATTATTGTAGTTGCTTTACTTTGTTCCTTCAATATAAATCATACTCCTCTGTTTTTTTTTCAGGATTTTTTAAAACTGAAAGCTGCACACTTTTGATAATATATTATAGTACCTCTCTTTAGATTGTGGGGTTTTTATTTTAATTTTAATTTTTTTAGAAACAGGGTCTCACTCTGTCACCCAGGCTGGAGTGTGGTGGTGTGATCATAGCTCGCTGCAGCGTCAACCTCTTGGGCTCCAGTGATCCTCCAGCTTCATCCTCCTGAGTAGCTGGGACTATAGGTGCATGCCACCACTCTCTGCTATTTAAAAAAAAAAATTTGTAGAGATAAGGGTGTCACTATTTTGGCCAGCCTGGTCTTGAACTCCTGGCTTCATGTAATCCTTCTGCATCAGGCTCTAAAGTAGTGGGATTACAGGCTTGAGCTACCATGTCAGGCCTGGAACTGGTTTCATTTTTCTGAGCATTTTAAAATTTTTTTCTTAGTTACTTGTCAGAACTTACTTCTGGTACCTGACTTATGATAGTTGGAGTTATCATTTTTTGACTTTCAGATGGTGTGAAAGTGATATGCATTCAAGTAGAAATAGTACTTCTAGTATTTATACAACTATTCTATCTTCTCTTTCAATAGAGTATTCAATAAATTGCATGAGATATTCAACACTTTGTTGTAAGATAAGGTTTGTGTTAGATAATGTTGCCCTACTGTAAACTAATGTAAGTGTACTGAGCACATTTAGGATAGAATAGGCTGAGCTAGTGGATTACATATATTAAATGTATTTTCAATGCATGATATTGAAAAATCTATATCTCATATGGTGTTTGACCACTGATATCTCTGCTTTTTATTCTTAATATTTAGTTTGAATTTATAGAAACTGCACATGTATCTGCACAGCTTAGTGGTCACCAATGATTTGAGAAGAAGTTTTGCTCAAATATCTGGAGGTTATAAATCTATCTTCTGTCAATCCATCTGTGTGTAGTTTAAAAAGCTCCTGCAAAATGCAGCTAGTTCTTACCTCCCTCTGGTTTTACTTTGCACCGGGCACTTCTGGGTCTCATCACTCATATCTATAGCTTCTAAGTCACCAGGAATGTGTGTAGAGATTGTTTCAGCAATATGGCTCTATCTTACCCAGGAATCTGCTATTTACTGTTAGCAGGTGTACTACTTGCCCCAAACAGGGCATCATCTTTGACTAACAAAGCTGTGGGCTTTTTCTGTTCATTCCCTATGGAGTTCTGCATGTTTAGCTGGAAACACTGAAGAATTTTACTTCATTCCTTGGCTTTACTCAAGTTCACCCGCTTTGGCAGCAAGCTGCTAGCTTTATTTGCTATCCTCATATTGGTAAAACTCCAGTTCTGTATTTCATGCTGACTGAGCTGGGGGTAGAAGGGTGCTGTCACAGGCAAAAGGCTACAGACTTTTTCTGTCCTTACTCAAAGCACTAGTACTTTTTTTTCTATAAAGAATATACATCTTTAATTATTTTATGCTTCACCAATTTTCAGAGTGCTGAAATAGTTTTGATATTTTAGCTTTATATGTGTGTTTGTTATTTATTTTTGCACAGAAGATTTATTAAACTCTTTGTGATGCCATAAACAGAGATGCCTTCTAAAATGCATTTAAATGAACATAATAGCCATGCTGAAATGGAATGAGGTTATTTACTAACATAAGTAATTTTGGACTTGAGAACTTGAACTCTTCACCCTCAGTTTAAAGAGAAACCAAGGACTTAAAAAATAGAGAATCCTGGTCCCTGGATTTCACATTCATGAAGAAATGCACAGTCAATTTTTAAGATGCCTTCTTTGTATTCTAGAACTGAGCAAATTAGTGATTACACTCTACATAATGGGAGCTATGATTGTCTTTAATAGAGATAAGAATTAGAAATAGGAAAAGGTAGCTGGGTGCGGTGGCTCATGCCTATAATCCCAGCACTTTGGGAGGCTGAGACGGGTGGATCACGAGGTCAGGAGATCGAGACCATCCTGGCTAACATGGTGAAACCCCGTCTCTACTAAAAAAATACAAAAAAATTAGTCAGGCGTGGTGGCGGGTGCCTGTAGTCCCAGCCACTTGGGAGGCTGAGGCAGGAGAATGGCGTGAACCTGGGAGGCAGAGGTTGCAGTGAGCCGAGATCATCATACCACTGCACTCCAGCCTGGGTGATAGAGCAAGATTCCATCTGAAAAAAAAAAAAAAAAGAAAGAAAGAAATAGGAAAGTGCAAAATAGGAGGAAACTTGTGGAATTGTTTAAAAACTACCTTTTTCTTATTTTTTAGTTACTTGTGTGTGTGTTTTAAGTTTATGTGGAAATACTTTTAGACCTAAAATTTGAAAAATATGGTAAAAATGATTCCCATATGCGCCTCTTTCAGCTTGCTCTAATGTCAGCATCATAAATAACCACAGTATAAGTATCACAACCATGAAATGAACATAGATATAATGTTATTTGTTAACTCATTTAAAATACCATATGGATTTCACTGATTTTTCCTGTTGATGACTTTTTTTATGTTACAAGATAAAATTCAGGTTTCTGTATTTTATTTGGTTATCCTGTCCTCAATATCTTTAAATCTGTGATAGTTTTTCACTTTTGTTTCTCTTTCATGGCCTTCAAACATTTGAAGTTTACTGTCCAGGTATGTTGAAGAATGTCCTCCTAGTTGGGTTTGTATATGGTGTTTACTACTGATTCAATTCACACCATTAATTTTTGGCAAGAATAATACAGACAGGATGTATCCTCAGTGCTTCACATCAGATGTTACATAATGTCAACATGTCTTATAGGTGGTAATAAACGAATATGATCAATGAAATCCCATTTGGAAGGAAGTTTTGGACAAAAATAATGAAAACAACTGCTTCTATCACTCTTTCTACTAGGTCATTGCAGACGTCATTAGGAATAATCTATTTCTTCCTTATCGAATATGTACTTTATTTTAACAAACTTTAATCTTTTTACAGTCTACTGCATCACAGAGAAAATTGAAGAAATAATTTAGTTAACTTTTAAATGGCAAATGTTTCCATAATAACCATTTGCCACTGAAATGTTGATAGCCTGAAGAAAGAAAAAGAATGGGATTTATTCAGCCATGGTAGTATCTTCACATGAACAGCTTTTACCGAGTCAACTATTTGGATAAATAAATAGAATTTTCTACTACTTAGAATGTTGCAAAATTCAAATGGAGCAGTGTAGCATGCACTGAGCTACCTCTACTGGGAAAGTTAAGAACCACTGAGGCTATATAAGGATTCATACAGTGAGTCACTATTTCTGGAAACCTGGGATTCTGGTGCCTCAGTTGAACAGAGTCCAAGAATCAAAGTCCAAATTGTTCAATGATTTTTTTTTAGAACTGCAAAATGTCCAAATAGAGCAGAGACGCTAAAACTGAGTGGCCACCACATTAGCTGTCTGTAAAGGAAGCAGCTGGTAAAATCTAGTAAACACTGATGGTCTTGTTGAGGTTTTTGTTTCATGTTGAATCACTGTGGGAGGTAAGTTATAATCCTGCTGACAGTAATAAACTGCAAAATCTTCAGGCTGCAGGCTGCTGATGGTGAGAGTGAAGTCTGTCCCAGACCCACTGCCACTGAACCTGGCTGGGATGCTAGTGGCCCTGGTGGATGCACCATAGATGAGGAGCCTGGGCGCCTGGCCAGGTTTCTGCTGATACCAGGTTAAGTAGCTGCTGCTAACACTCTGACTGGCCCTGCAGGAGAGGGTGACTCTTTCCCCTGGAGACAAAGACAGGGTGGGTGGAGACTGTGTCATTACAATTTCTCTGGTGGTATCCAAGATTGGAAATAAAACAGAAATGCACTCATGTAATCTAGATCAAACCAGCTGTCTTTGAGTAGAGCCAAAATTGTTGATCTACATTGAATTTTAATTATATTTCTTGCTGAGCAGAGGTGGCAGGAGTTTTCACTGATGTGCAAAACCACCTCATGTTCCCCTCACCTGGGAGCCAGAGTAGCAGGAGGAAGAGAAGCTGAGCTGGGGCTTCCATGGTTCCGTCTGGGTCCTAACTGAGCAGTTCCTTCCCAGGGCTCTGACCCAGGCATTGATATGGGCTCTGGAAGGTAGGGCAGCTGGGAGGGACATGCAAAGCAGCTGGGTGGGAGCTGAGCTTCCAGCTGCAGAGACCACCTGCTTCTTCCTCTCTGCACTGAGCGTCCTGTGCCTCCCTGGTTGTCAGGCCAGAAAAGTCTGTTGGCTCAGTCTGAGTGTAGAACTCCTCCCTTGTGCTCACATAATTTCACTCCTGTGCCTTTCTTCTCTTCAATCACCTAAATACACCCGTATGATATTTGGCACAAGTCTGTTAAGAACAATATAAAAGGCTGTGTTTTCATTTCTCTCTTCCTGTCCTCAGTATGCCCAGTCATCTCCCTAAGTGCATTATTGGATCTATGGAAATGAAGAGTCTGTTAGAACTTAATCTTCCAGATAGACATTTTTTTTTTTTTTT
This sequence comes from Homo sapiens, assembly GCF_000001405.40. NCBI lineage: Eukaryota > Metazoa > Chordata > Mammalia > Primates > Hominidae > Homo > Homo sapiens. The sequence goes on from NC_000002.12 coordinate 88,979,447, forward strand.
TCTGAGACGGAGTCTCGCTCTGTCTTCCAGGCTAGAGGGCAGTGGTGCGATCTCCACTCACTGCAAGCTCTGCCTCCCGGGTTCATGCCATTCTCCTGCCTCAGCCTCCCAAGTGCCTGGGATTACAAGCGCCTGCCACCACGCCCAGCTAATTTTTTGTATTTTTAGTAGAGACGGGGTTTCACCATGTTAGCCAGGATGGTCTCGATCTCCTGACCTGGTGATCCACCCGCCTTGGCCTCCCAAAGTGCTGGGATTACAGGCATGAGCCACCGCGCCCGGCCCAGATACACCTTTCATTTGCTTATTAGTAATGTTTTCTGAGGGTCCTGAAGCTTTCCATTAACCCAGACACATACCCTCTTTGAGTTAAAAACTTCTGTTTACAGTCACATGTCCTGGCAGCCCTGACATAGATGCTCCATGGCTTGCCGATTGCTTGAAATTAATCAAGTAACTTAACTTCCCTGTGTCTCGGTTTCCATATCTGTGTAACTGTGACAATAGTGGTACCTGCCTTACAGTGCTGTAGACAGTTTAAAGAAAATAAGATAAAACATTTACAATAGTATTCAGGACATTATGTATGTGGCAATTAATTTTGTTTTCATTGTTTAAATATTCAGCACTACAGTCATCATCATTATAAATATACTTAGCATGGAAAATAGTCTTAAATCTAATCCAAGAATGTTTTATCCACAGTCAAATTAAATTCTAAGGCATTTTCTTCAGTAACTGTACACAACTCTTAAAATCCTAATGATTTGATCTTAATCTGTGCTAAAGTACTCAGACCTTCCATCATTCCCATCCATCCCTGTCTAACGCATTACTTCTCATCATCCATTATTTAAATGTTACCCTATAAACGGTCCCCATGTCCTGTTGCTGTCCTTCTTTCTTATGTAATCTTTATTCTACCTTGTTATCTTTTATGTTATTCTTGCCCCAGGACTGACAATAAGGAAAAGCTACCATCATTTCTTGTAGACTTGCTCCAGTATAATTTTTTCAGGCTTGTTGTCTTGGAAATGAGGATTGTGTCTTGCAAAGAAACATATTCATTGGGTCAATGTGTTATGAAATAAAAGATTTTATCTACTTATGATCCAATAATTAATTTAGACTGACTTGAACAGATTTTTAATGACAAAAAGGAGAAGACGATATAAGAGAAAAATTTAATACAATAGAAAACACAAGCTAATATAACGCTTGCTTCATGGATTTTTACATGTATATTAGACATATGCTGGGTATATGTGCGCAACGACAATCTAAAAACTGAATGATAACTAGCTTAAGGAATGCCTGCATTACACTGAGTCTTGCCCACTTTTCCAGTTATGAAAAGAAAGCTACAGCACTATTTGTATGAGTATCAAACCTTCTAGATGCTGTGATAGAGGTAGAGAAGATTTACTGAGACCAAAGCCTTGGAAGTAGTAGATGCTTGTTCTATGATATTATGTGGCTGTGGTTGCCGTTGTTAGGAAATACAGTGGGAGTGAAAGCAAGGAGAAGATTTACAAGCTCTGCTCTTCCTCATACTCACAACCCCCTCTAGAGATGGACAGATGTTGGTCCAGGAATCTCTGACACCTCTTAGAAGCCTTTTGCTCTTTCCAGAATGTTTCCTGACAAGTATTGTTTTGAGTCACAGATTAGGTGAAACTAGGTGTAGAAGAAAGGACTAGAGCAAGGGAAGAAGTTTTCCATCCCAGACAGTTGTTGTAGGAACAGGGAAATTGAATTTTTCATAGATTTATGTGACACTTGTATCATGTTGGGGAGAGAGGCATCAAACCAGGCTCATTACTGAAAGAATTATTACGTTATTTAAGAGAGAAAGAACTGTGAATTTCTTGTCAAATAGATGTTTAAAATTCAAAACTACTATTTTTTTTTTGGAGATAGAATCTCACTCTGTCACCCAGGCTGGAGTGCAGTGGCACAATCTTGGCTCGCTGCAACCTCCCTCTCTCCATTTAAAGCAATTCTCCTGCCTCAGACTCCCAAGTAGCTGGGATTACAGGTGTGTGCCAACATACCCAGCTAATTTTCATATTTTTAGTAGAGACGGGATTTTGCCATGTTGGCCCGGCTGGTCTCAAACTCCTGACCTCAGGTGATCTGCCTGCCTCGGCCTCCCAAAGTGCTGGAATTGTAGGATTGAGCCACTGTGCCTGGCCCTACTGATGTATTAATATTATTCATCTTCTTGAATACACCAAGTGGTAAAGTGCAAATCCACACTTTAAACTTGAGATTTCTCCTCCTATGTGAATTATACTAGTGAGGAACAAAAAAATTCTCTGTTGGTGGGGAGATGATGTTTGACAGCGGTCAGTTTGTGAAGCAGAGGCTTATGTCACAGGACTTTTTACAGTATTACATATAAACATGGTGAATGGCCTCAAACACAGAAGAATCAGCTTTTTTCATGAGCCATACTACCACCAAGAAAGAACTGAATTGAAACCTGTGACTACTTGATGAAGGGTGTATAAAGAAGAGGGAAAGATTTGGGAGGCCAAGGCGGGTGGACCACGAGGTCAGGAGATCAAAACCATCCTGGCTAACATGGTGAAACCCCATCTCTATTAAAAATACAAAAAAATTAGCTGGGCGTGGTGGAGTCCCAGCTACTCGGGAGGCTGAGGCAGGAGAATGGCATGAACTGGGGAGTCGGAGGTTGCAGTGAGCCAAGATTGCACCACTGCACTCCAGCCTGGGTGACAGAACAAGAATCTGTCTCAAAAAAAAAGAAGAGGGAAAGAAAAATGACACAAAACACAATGTCATAAATGGAAAGGAAGAAGTCATTACACAGCCTACAGGAGTAAAAAAATAAAGAGAGGATATTATGAGTAATTTTATGTCAACTAACTTGACAAAAGTGGTGCAGGGCAGGTTCTTGGCTACACTCAGGAAGGAATGCAGCGTAAGCTGGTGGTAGAAGAAAACAGCTTTACTGAGGTGGCAGTGTTACAGCTTTGTGTCTGTTCTTGTGAAACAGAGCTACCACATAGGCATTGTGCCAAGAGCAGTAGCGTAGGGGCAGTTTTGCAGTCATATTTATCCCCACTTTTAATGACATGCTAATAAAGGAGTGGGTTATTCAGGAATAGCTAGAAAATGGGCAGTAACTTTCAGGTTTTGCCATGGCAATGGTAAACTGATATGGCACTGGTGGGCATGTGTTATGGACAGGTGCTTCCAGTGTCTCTTCCTTGTGTCAGCCAGTCTTCAATCTGGTCCTGGGTTGAGTCCCACCTACCTCCTATCTCATTGCTCCCTCAGAGATTAGATACTCCTCCTTAATCTTAAGGGGACTGCAGAAGAGCAGAGTCCCTTTTCTGTAAGTGCTTCCTGCTGACTTTATGGGGGCAGGCCTTCCCTAGCCTTTGAGGAGTAAAAATCTTTGGTACCTGAACTAAGGGGTCCAATGGCACGATGCATTCATTTGTGGGGTCAGAAGACAGAATGGGTTGGAAGACTTATGACAGACCGTATCATCTTTACATGAAATTTAGAAGACATAAACTTTACTAGGATGTTAAACAAGAAAATTATAATTGGAAGAGAGGGAAAAATTAATGCTCCTAGGTCCACCTACGGAACCATGTTATTAATCCATGTGTTTGCAAAACAACAACCTTAAGTTTTCTGTTTTATAAATGGAGGTTGTGGTGTCCCCCTTTTGTGGCTGTAGGACCTTGTAAGAAACAGGTTTAATCCTGGGCAGCTGTACCCAACTAGTGGCTTCCTGAAGCCTAACAGTAATTAAGAGTAATAAAGAATATCTGATAATGGCTCCTTATTCTGGTTATTATTGATTCTTGGGGGATCATTTTGTTGTTGTTGTTGTTGTTGTTGTTGTTTTTTGAGATGGAGTCTCGCTCTGTTGCCCAGGCTAGAGTGCAGTGGCACAATCTTGGCTGGGCTCACTGGAACCTCTGCCTCCAGTTTTCAAGCTATTTTCATGCCTCAGCCTCCTGAGTGGCTGGGATTACAGGCATGTACCACCATGCCCAGCTAATTTTGTAATATTAGTAAAGATATGGTTTTGCTATGTTGGCAAGGCTGATTTCGAACTCCTGGCCTAAGTGATCCGCCCATCTCAGCCTCCCAAAGTGTTGAGATGAAAACGTCACAGGAGCTGATGAAAAAGGAAAAGGAGACAGCAATGATCCCAGGCCTTTTTAAAGGGAGAACAAGCTGAAAGCAGCAAAATACAACAGTTAAATCTCTAAGACACTAATCTCAGAAGTTTTAAAAGAAACTCATTATCGTATCACAGGCAAAATTTTTTGTTTTACTTGTTTTTTTTTTTTTTTTTTTTTTTTCTTTTTTTTGAGATAGAGTCTCGCTTTGTCACCCAGGCTGGAGTGCAATAGCGTGATCTTGGTTCACTGCAACCTCCACCTCCCAGGTTTCAGCCATTCTCCTGCCTCAGCCTCCTGAGTTGCTAGGGTTACAGGTACATGCCACTGTGCCTGGCTAATTTTTGTATTTTTAGTAGAGACAAGGTTTTACTATGTTTGCCAGGCTGGTCTTGAACTCCTGACCTCAAATGATCCTCCCACCTTGGGATTACAGGCATGTAATCCCAAAGTGCTGGGATTACAGGCATGGGCCACCATGCTCAGCCTTAAAGCTGTATTTTTATTAAGTAAAGTGTAGAAGAAAAAGTGTAAATAAAGTGACAGAAGGAAAACACAAGGCTGTTATGGAAAATGATAACCTTAGGGCAGAAAACAAGAAAAGGCAAACCAAGATTTCCATAGGGTGAGGCTCCAATCCACAATCCTCGGATGAATGTCAATGCTAAAAACCCTGGAGCCTCCAGGGAGTGGCCAACAGTACTAAATGCTGAAAACCCAGAGTACACGAGTATCAGCCTATGAATGTCCCACACCAAATGCCAGGAAACCCTGGAGTATCCAGGGGCTGACCAGTGCAGAAAATCCTGGAGCCTCAGTGGGGTGGCCAACAATGAGCCCCAAAGGCCTGGTTGGGGCCATAGAACAATGTGACTCTGGCTTCTTAGAGTCAACAGAACAGGAGAATTCTTACATCCAAGTGTCCTGCCTTAAACAATTGCACAAACATAATTAGTAGGGACCCAAAGAAAAAACTGCAAAGCAAACACATATATCAGGACAGAAAATAAGATAAAATGGCTGATGGATAAATAAAATGTCATTAGAGGAGAAATGACTAAGAGAAAGATCAATGAGGATGTAGTCAGGTGTGCTATGGGGGACTTCAAATGGACTATTTAGCCAAAGGCCTTATTTCCTGGACCATCTGACATAGGGCAGGTGGGTAGATGGGACACTTACAGGTGTGCAGGAGCCAAAATGGTGCCAAGCAGTCTCTAACATGAGGCCTGCGTGAAGATCTCTCCAGGCTCCCCAGCTTGGGTGGGTTGAACTCCCACGGGTGAACTGGTGCATGGAGCGGCTGGCCTGCATGAAGCAGTGGCTCTGTGGCCACTTACCTAACTGCTCAGCTCCACCGCCTGTCAGGAAAGATGATGGCTCTTAAAACAGCCTTTGGCCAGTGTTAACAGCTCTGCAATGTTAGCAACTATGTAGCTTTAATCGCTGTAGCGCCGATCTCGCCCTCTCTCACTGATCGCTGACTTGCCACTTCTCCAATAGCTGTCTCGCCCATTGCTGATCGCTATGTCCATCTTCTCACAAAATGCCATCTCTTGCTGTCTCTTGCTGTCTTGCTTCTCCACTGTTTCTGCTGTCTCACCACCACATCAAACACTGCCTCTCACCATGTCCCATTTATCCTCCCTCCTTATTAAACATCCATCTGCATGTCCAGGCCTGGCATCCCCAGGCTGATGTCTCTGTCCTGGGCCAGGTACTGGAGAGTATTGTTCCTCCAACTTCACCAATAAGCCATGGTTCTCTCAAATCAAATTATCTCACTGCACCAATTTTGCCAAGGTTTGCAGTGTACTGGTCACCAACTTACCCAAATCTACTGGGACACAATTCCCATGCACAACGAGTAACATGAAGTGGATTACTACCTACAGAGAGTCAGTCAGAGAGAGCACAAAGCTGCCGGGGCCTGATTGACACTAGACTGTGCCTACCCCACAAGGACTGCAGCTGAGGGACCCTGGAATGCAGCCTACCCTGGGTTTTATGTCTTAGAATCACATGACACACTGGGCTGGAGTGTTGAAGGAATTCCTGTTTCTAGTAGGGACAGAAACAGAACCCAGGCTGTTCTGGCCAATCATGCCCTATCTCAGAATGTTACAGTTCCAGAACATTCTACAGTTATTCCTGAAAACTACAATCAAGAAAAGGAAGGAGACTGGGTTGATTCATGACTAAATGGAAACTGTTCTGCAAATACCACAGTGAAATCAAAACTCAGTATTTTTGAGACTGGGTTATTTCACTTAGTGTAATGTCCTCTAGTTCCATCCATGTTGTAGCATGTGTCAGAATTTCCCTTTTTAAAACTAAATAATATGGAATAGTATGTATATACCACATTTGGATTACCAGTTCCCTCCTTTGTGAACATTTGAGTTGCTTCTACATTTAGCTACTGTGAATAATTTGCTTCTGTATGTGGATATACAAATATCTCCTCAATTTAATGTCTTCCATTACTTGGGTATATGTCCAAAAGTGGAATTGCTGAATTATATAGTATTTCTATTTTTAATCCTTTGAGGAATTGCCATCTTGTTTCCCACAGCAGGTGGGCCATTTACATCACCACGACAGTGTCCACAGGAGTTCCAGTTCCCTAAATTCTCACCAAGACTGGTCATCCTCTGTTGGAAAAAAACATTCTAACAGGCATCAGGTGGGTTTTGTTTTTATTTTTCTAAGGATTAATAATATTGAGCATCGTTTCCTATGCTAGTTATCTAAATATCTCTAAAGTATCTTCTTTAGGGAAATGTCTATTCATATACTTTTCTCATTTTTAACCAGTTATTTTATTTTTACTGTTCACATGTAGAACTTATTTTTGTATAGTAGATATTATTAACCCCTTATCAGATATGATTTTCAAATATTTTCTTCTATTCCACATGTTGCATTTTCACTGTGTAGGTTTTATCTCTTGATGCCCATTTTAAATTTTTATGTAGTCCAATTTAATTTTTTCTTCTTTTGCCTGTATTTTGGTGTTAAAGGTGTTAGTATTTAAATGTCTGTAAATATTCACTTACTACGCTGAGAATGTCACACTTCACCTTCTCTCTCTGATGGTGGAGCTAAGAGTGTTACACTCTCCCATTTTGTCCTAGGGGACAGTGAAGCTAGGTGAGAACCCAGTGGCTTTTCTGAGCTTATTTGTCTTGCATTTTTGGTGACATGGATTGTTGTTCACATCAGCTTCCTCTGGCAAGTCCACCTGGAAAGCATTATATTTAGCAAGAAAAAAGGAGGCTCTGAATGATGTCACTGTAAGCTGTTTATATTCCCTGTTACAAATGTCAAATCCGTGAAGCATAAAGGGATTTACTAGAGGATATTAAATTCCTTAGAAATTGTTGAAAAGCCTTAAGCAACAGGCTCCAGGCAAAGCCTCTGGAACAATTCCAAGAATGGCACTGCTGGCGCAGGTTGGGGAGGAGCTCCTGCTGCCTGAGACTCCACATTCAAGCTGTCTCCTGCAGGAAAGAGAGCAGCTCTTCTCACTACTGCCCCCCGAAGGACAGCTGCTCCGCTATCAACTACTAGAGACCTGACCCCTTTCTCTGCAGACCTGCCTGTGTTGATTACATCTTCATTTCAGTCTCATGTAGATTCATCTGTTTTCATGGATTCAGGGGCTATTTCTGCCCAAGTCCACCCTGTGGCTTTCTATCATAAATACACATCTTTCTACACTCGAATTTCTAGTCATTACTAGTATCAACAGCAACATGCTAGAACCTCACATAAAGATTTCCTTTACAAAGAACATCATGCTCCCCACGTAGCATTGTGCTCCCCAGAATGTGGGGAAAGTCCAATCTGTTCAGCCCAACACCATGTAGGAAAAAAGGCTCTTCTCTCATGAGCCGTTAATCTGTCTACTTATTATTAATTTGTGGGCTAAACTATAAAGACTGGTAAAAATAGCACTTCGAATTCTTTTAACAAAAGGGTGTAAAGAAAAGATTAAATTATTTAACATGCATATATGCATGACTCATTTCGTTATTGTCACCAGCTTCTTTCATATTTATTTTATTCTCTAGTTTCTGGCAATACTTTCTCTATGGTAGAGTCTGGAAAGGCTACTCCTCATGTCCTTGGCTTCCTAAGTCCCAGATGTGGTGAAGAATGCCCATCAGCTGTGTTACTACGGAGTGCTTTTGGATTGAGATGAGGGAGGGGAAATGGCTGAACTCACTCAAATGTGATCATTTTCTTGGTCTAGGTCACAGCCAGGCAACACAGTCCTCTGGGCACAATATCATCACTTGCCATGTTTCTATCAAAATGAAAGTATCTTTCTTGACTGTGGAAAACATAGGGGTGGGGGCGGGGAGGGTCAAGTAATAGCAAAAGGAGTACTTGGAGTTGCCTGAGCTGCCACTCTGGTTTCCCCAAATGTTTTCAATCCATTTCATTCATGATAATAAACACCTTTCTGCCTAACCAGTCATAATGACTTTTCTCAGATCCAACTGATTCAGTGATAAACCTATAGAGAAAAAATAACTACACTTCTCCATGTTTAAGCTGACCAGGATGCTGTCCCTGGTGTTTACACCTCCATATCCCACTATGCGTTTCATCTTCTCTTTGCCTCACTGGTGATCCAAGTACAGGGAATGCTTCACATGACTGTGATCCCTAGAACTTCGTCCTGATGACGGTTGAAATCTTCTCTGAGTTTTACCAGTGGAAATGGCAATAAATAGAAACATTCCAGAAGGTCCCCTAGGTTCCATATTTTCTGTACTTCCTCTCTAAAATATGTAAAATCAATTATGTTTGCTCTTGCTTTTATGGACTCTATCTATGGCCCCAGCACACACGCTAATGCCCTGTCTTGACAATTTATCCAGTATTTTAATAAATGTAAATGGTCACATGCTTATCATATCATTTCTTCCAATTTCATGGAATAATTTCACATCAACTCTTTGGATTAAGAGCCGTCAACCAAAAAACCACAGCCCTGAATAAATAGAAATAGAGTATTTCAAGCTGTTCATTTGGCATAACAATGATGAGTCTACAGCTCATTTTCAAGATATAAATATTCTGTTTATGGGAGTGACAGCACCATTCATACAGTTACTGTTTCAGAGCCTCCACCATATCTGACAGGACAGCAATTCAATAGCACAAGGGTTTGTGTGCCAGCTTTGCTTGACTAATAATGGGTTTTTCTCTGTCTATAGGGAAAGCACATGACAAGAGCATGAGCTACACTTCACTTCACTTTTTTTGAGGTTAATAAGTTGCTTGATCCAAAGCTATATTACAGAAGAACTTCCTGACTCTGATGAAAGCTCTTGGAAAATCCTCAAATAATATTTTATGCAGAAATATAACCAAAAAGGAAGGCAAATTCATATATAGGAAAATAACCAGTGCCCTCCTCACGTTACATGAGGTCTACTAGTATCACCCGACACCAGCTGTTAGTCTGAGCCCTGATGTGTGGCGCAATGTTAGGGGTTCAAGAGACGTCATTCTTCTTGACAAATTAGGTGTTCAGAAGAGCCAGTAGCCCTGTATGTCTCAGTTAGTTGAAACTCATATTATTGAGTCCCCACAGGGACCTCCATAACCTTGGTTCAGGAGACACCTTGGAAACCTGGGAAAGGTGATTGACTGAAGTCCATCTGTTGAATCATCCTCATTATTAAAAGCCTCCTACTCATTAACGGCATTTCGATTAATATTCGCTTGGAAAGCATGTTTTTATTTTGGCTCATTTTTGAAACGTCTAGTCATAGTTCTTCCTGAACCACTTTGTCTGCAATCATCCTGTTGCATTTCTTTTAAGGGCTGATGATCTGTCAAAAGCAACAGCCAATATTATTACATTGCTGTTCTCTTTGCAATGTTATCATCAGATGTAACCCTTGCAGATTAACCACTGTTACGATTTTTACATTTCCAGGGATTTCTTGACAATGGCAATGATGTGACGCCATCCAGCATCTATTTGTGAGAACTCTATTTGACAAATCATCACTGTGGGTGTGAACATAATGGAGACTTTCATAGGATGCAATGGTTAATATTCAACATTAGTCAAAATTTACTCTAGTCCTACCCTTGGAGCTCTACTGGGTTGGAAAAATATTTTAGATAAGGACAATCATTTCATAGAGTTTTAAAAATAAAGGCTAAAATAAATTTTCTGTAGCAAGAGTATGAACTATATGTAGCCAGCATACCCTTTTTTAGTGGCATATAACAAAAATTATTTAAATGTATTTAATTTAAATAATTGTATAAATATGCATATATAATAAACATACTTAAATATAAATACTATACATGTATATTTGTAGCCAACATTTTATCAGATAAATATATGTAACTTTTATGTATCTTATATACATATATGCACATTTTCCATAAATAAGGTAAATTTTAATTTTTTATTGAATACTAGTTTTAATTTTGTCTTTAATTTTCTCTTAATAACTTCATAATTTAATACTAAATGTTCACATTTATACCACCAACTTAAGAAAAAATCGTGTGTGTAGGTAGAGGTGTAAATACTGTATCAGGAAGCTTTTATGCATTACTGATTGGTAACTGGTTAAATCCACAACTCAGTGGCTGATAACAGTAAACATTTGTTTTCGTGTTCATGGATGCTCATGTTCACAATCATCTGGCTGATCAAGAAAGGGCTCAGCTGAGTGGTTTCTCTGCAGGGCACTGAGCTCATCTTCAGCCTACAGATATGAATTGTCTGAGGACGAGGCTGAACAGCAGTGACTACACATGACACAATATTCTTATGGCAGGTCACAGGAGTGAACAACATCCCAAAACAAACTGCACAGTTGAATTTAAGTCCAATAACTTCTAACATAGCTTCACATATTTTAAATATATTCCTTTATTTCAATGAGTACAAATTTTGAAGAAAATGTTTACTCCATTTAATTATAGAGGTATTTGATCATTCCATGGACAAATAATTATGCTTTCAACTTTTACAATTCTGAAAATACTTGCAAATGTAAATTTGCATTAATAAGAAAATAAAGCTGGATGTGTTTTCAACATGTAGCTTTAAGTATATATATATTTTAATGGCCTCAGTGGGGGAAAATCATTTTAACTTATGTAAATATCCCTTTTTGCCTCTCTTGTGTCCTATAAAGTTGCCCAACAAGAGGTCCTCCCATAAGATTTGGAAATCAGAAAAGGATGACTCAATATTCTCCATTGGTACCTAAGGCAGACACAGGAACAGAGGTGAGGGCTGGAGAAACACCTGGAAGGATGCTGCAGGAAGCTGAGAACATCAACACTCCCACCCCTAAGCTTCCAGACAGGACTGAGGACCACATGGTTAGATAGCCCATACTTCAAGGGCAGATGCATTCTGTTTTCTGAGTGAGCGCCATTCAATCCTGCTTCTAATATCAACTTTCCTGACTACTATATCCTTGGCTTTGAAAGGTTGTAGTCTGAACGTTAATCATAGGCATCGGTTCATTCTTGTTATACCCAAAAGAGCCAAGACACCCAGTGGGGAAAGGCACTCAGGGTGTAAAATATTGTTTCTAGAATGCAATTGAAATAGGCCCTGTTATCCCATGGAACTAAGGTTTATGGTTTTTTGAATAAACAGAAATTGACTCCCCCAGTCTTAAAACTCAAGATAGTTACATTTGTCTTATCTGAGTTCTTTTTTCAGTAAACCAACCATCAGGCCTCGTAGATACTATCAAGGAGCTGAAACATACATATCACTGAATCCGGACACTGAGACATCAGAACCTTCACCCATTATGATTGCATAACTGACCTCTTGCTTCCTGTTGACCAAATTATCTTCCTTACCCCTCCCAAATTCCTGTTTTCCCACATTTTGTCCCTGTTATATAAAGTCTTAATTTTAGTTGGTCAGGGAGATACATTCGCAAATGGTGTCCCATCTCCTCGGCTGCAGTACCTGATTAAAGCCTGTTTCTTGGCAATACTTGTTTTAGAGATTGGCTTTCTGCGTGGTGAGCAGCAGGGTGTACAATGAATCCTTGGCATTTTAGTAAGAAAATTCTCTGCAACCTTCACTGCTTTGGCTTCTTGTAACCTGAATTCACATTTAACTGCAACTTCTGAGACAACTTGATATAATTGATATAATTAGTGAATCCTAATTCACTTTGTCCACCACTGCTTACCAGTCTGAGCTTGCCAGCTCCCAACCCTTACTAGTGCCAGTGAACTTTCTGAAAATGCAAAAGGTAATATTTTCCCTTTTTCATAAAACACTAACCTTCTCTTCGTACTTCCAATATATTGAAGACCACTGAGTTTTCCTGTGTGTCCAATTTGGCAAACATTTCTTTGCAAATAAAACATGAAATTTAGAGATTCCGCTCTACATTTTATTTAGACTTCAGTAGTTTAGACTCTAATTTTCTGTATTAAGACAATTCCTGCTTAGAATATCTATAGTGGTTTCTTCTCTGTTATTTGAATTCCAACCAAAGCCCTAAACTAGACTCCTTAGGTGTCAAGATCTCTGCCTTTATTAAATCAGGAGAGGCATTGTTATGTCTGTGCAGCTGGGGCTTACAAAGAAAAAGGAATTGGGTTGCAGAGGTGATTTCAGGTCCCCCTCTACCAACACCATCAGAGTGTGGTTGCATCTGAGGAACACTCTCAGGCGATGGAGGCATCAGGAGGAGCAGCTGGGGCAGCCCAGCCTCACACATTTGCTTCCCTGGGGGTTTTTGTTTGGGTGTGTAACACTGTGGGAGGGTAACTATAATACTGTTGACAGTAATAAGTTGCAAAATCTTCAGACTGCAGGCAGCTGATGGTGAGAGTGAAATCTGTCCCAGATCCACTGCCGCTGAACCTTGATGGGACCCCACTTTGCAAAGTGGATGCAGCATAGATCAGGAGCTTAGGGGCTTTCCCTGGTTTTTGCTGATACCAGGCTAAATAACTGCTAATACCCTGACTCGCCCGACAAGTGATGGTGACTCTGTCTCCTGTAGATGCAGAGAATGAGGATGGAGACTGGGTCATCCGGATGGCACATCTGGCACCTGAGATTGGAAACATAAAAACAAATGTCCATACAATTAATCATGTTGTAAGAGAACTTCCCTGAAGGGCCAGGCTGTACCAAGCACACTGGGCTGAGTAAATTCCTAGTGTTCTCCTTCCTTACCTGGGAGCCAGAGCAGCAGGAGCCCCAGGAGCTGAGCGGGGACCCTCATGTCTATGCTGTGTCCTGACAGGGTCTGACTCCTGCATGAAGTGTGTCCAGCCTATTAATAAGTCTTCAGGGCAGGAGGTTGTGCCCTGGGAACATGCAAATGAGCAGGGGATGGGGCTGACTGGGCACAGCTGCAGGGCTGGCTCATCTCAGTAACTCAGCACCAGCTCAGTATCCCCAGGTGTCCCAGGAAAGACCAGGGTAGCACAAATTTGTCTGTGGTGAATGTGTTTCTACTGGAGAGTAGTTTGTTATGAGAAACATTTTTTATGTATTTTTTTGAAAATTTGAAATATTCCTCAGGAGTCGACGGAGTAATGTATTTCATTGGCACATGGGGATTATTTGGAATATCTTGTTTGTAGGAAATACATAGTAAAATGTTAAACAGTATGATTCTCAGGACTTCAAAAGACTCTCATATGATTCGGGTTAGGGAAGGAGGTACTTTGTCCTATACTTCAACATTTCTGTGAGTTTTAACATTGTTCCTTTCTAAAAATATTAAAAATAAAATTTATTGACATGATGCTATACATATTTGTAAGTATTAGGTAATGGTGTTATGCCATTGTTCTTACCACTATAAGATCAAGCAATTTACTACAGATACAGAGAGATGATACCGAGTTTCCTCAATGCATGCAGCACTCACACATCCACCATTATCAAGAGCTACAGGTCTCTTTAATACCCAGAGACTAAATTCACTTCACCTTATTCTTGTTTTGGGCACCTTCATTGTCTACCTTCTTTTCTGTCATTGAGTATTACTTTCCAAAGTTCTTCTCTCTTATTGAGGGTGACCACTGCATGGAGCATGTCCCTGTCATGCACCAACAATGCCACTTTCTTCTTTTACGTTTTATCAGGGACATCATCCTGACCCAGACACCATCCTCCCTGTTAACATCTTTAGGAAAGAGACAATCCCTTATCAAGCAATTGCCAACTTACATGGAGAAATCAGCTGGATCCAGATGAAACTGGACATGGATTTGCAGTCATTATATCTCACATCTCTACTGTGCCAAAAATGTCCCAGCCTGGCTTAGTAGCAGGGGACGTGGATCCAACTACATCAGCATCAGTGGGCTGCAGCCTAGGACTCCACAAAATTTTACTGATGCCTGACTAGGGGAGACAAATCACAGTGCTGTAGCCCATGCACAAACCTTCCTGCTGCTTTGTAAGCCACCTGAATTTTAAGGGAACTTGCTTATATTGGGAGAAGGGAAGAAAGCTCCATTTGTCCTCTAAATGTTTGCTGAAAATGAACTGACAAAAGAAAGACTAATAAGAGAAAAGGCAAGCAAAATTCACTTAAAGTGCAGTGGGATATCATAGCGGTGTGATTACTCAGATAACTCAATGAGATCCAGTTGTTCATACTTCCTTTCTAGCGAAGAGGTAATTGGGAAGTGTAGGCAACCTGGAGAGAATAGATGAGGATAGAAGTGCATCCTCAAAAGAACAGGTAATAGCCTGTCTGGATAAAGCATCAACTTCTAATCTCTTCTATTTTTGATTCCTATTTTGTGTTAATCTTCCCTGATATAAAATTTCCCAGGAAGAATTTTCTTGACAATCAGTTTCCTTCTGGAGAAGCTGCTTTTAAGCAGATAAAGGAGTGAGATAAAGGAGTGGAGTGAGCATACCCCAACAGCTAAAACTCACAAGTTAGAGGATTTATAAGTCAGACTCTAAGTCTCAGATTTTGTACCGCCCTCTTGCTTCATAAAAATGCTTTGTTATTTTTTAAATTTTACTTTAAAGAAGGACAATTTTGGAGAATATATTAATTTTTGGTGGAATGAATAATGTCCCCACCCCAAAAGATATCCAGGTCCTTGTCTCTGGAACCCAAGTTTTATAGGAGTTATTAAGAAATTATTTTAGGCAGATAGAGAGGAAAAGGCATCCTTGGTAAGATTTTGTTTCTTTTAAAGCAACTCCAGACATGTTTCTTGTCTAATAGGAAAGCTCCGGCTCTTAGAGCCAGGCTGGCAAGATTTGATATGCAAATGAAGGCCATTAGAAACTGGGTCCACCCTAACATGGCTATTCCTACCTTCTTCTTCCTTGCCCCTACATGTGCCTGGCAACATGGCTGCCCCCACATATCCCCATGTGTGTAGAACATTATGATGCCCTACATGTGCATATTGAAAGGCTAGGGTGGGAGGGCCAGTTTTTGCTCAGGCTATGTGAATAACATGCCTGGTCAAACCAATCCCTTGAGCCCTTTGCAAATCAGACACCACCTCCTTCATTCTCCTCATATAAGCAGCCACTTTTCCACCACAGATGGAGTTTTCTCTTTGTTGGAATCCCCTGTCCCTCTGTCTTTGTACAGGGTAGCTGTTTAGCTGTTTTATTCTTCCTTCCTTCTTACATATTAAACTTTTCTCTCCTTAAAACCACTCCACATCTTTCTGTGGCATTTTATCCAAAGCAGTGTGAAACAGCAAGAACCCTGGTGTTCCTCCAGTCATTGGAGCCATATCATAAGGATTCTACCTTATGATAGATAGCAAAAAATGACCTTGATAGATGTAAGTTAAGGACTTTGAGAATAAGCTTCCTGGTTATCCAGATGAAATCAATACAATCACAAAGGTCCTTAAAATAGAGGAGGAGGATTGCAGTCAGAGAGGAGCTGGGACAATGGGGACGGATGTTGTTTGAGGAAGGAAGGGGCCATGGAACCAGAAATATGGGAGCACATTGAAGATAAGAAGCAGAGAATCCAGTTCTCTCCTCTGGAGCCTCCAGAAGGATTACAGCCCCACTGACACCTTAGCATTAGCTCAGTGAGACTTCTGACCTCCAGAACTACAGGGTAATACATTTATGTTGTGTGAAGCCAATAAGACTGTGGCAATTTAAACAGCAGCGTTGGAAACTAATGCAAGGGGAAGAGATGTCTTTCAGCTCACTGAGAGCATGCTTGTCCTCTGTTCTTGGAAATATTTCCACCTTGTTATCTGGTGTCAGACAAGAGACAGAGAAAATTTTTTCTGAGAGAAGAGCTCGTACAAAAATTCTTTTTAGCTAGAAATTCTCTTTGGAAAATCCCATGATTATCTCTTATACGATCTGGGTATCACAGAGTTTAGGGGTCAGAACTCACAGCACATGATAGGAGGAAGAGGGTTTTGTTAGTTTGTTTTCATATTAGGAGGGAAAATTAGATTTTCAGGACACAATCTGAGAGGGACAGACTGGGACAGGGATATTGTAAGAGAAAGAGGAGATGTGGAAGGTGTCAGAGCAATGAAACATGTGTCCCTGCTTCCAAATCTAAAATAAAGTCATTGATTTTAGAAGGTGAAGCAAAGCTCTTCACCTTCCATCTTCTTATGAAGGATCAAATTCTACCCAGAGTTCCTGTCCCTCCTTTACTCCCCTGACATTGTATTGTGGAGCTAATCACATGTGCCTTAATCCCTGCTCCTGTCCCGGGCTGGGAGAGGCTCACTGTCCTCACCATGCCCAGCAGGCTAGAGCTCATGCCCTAGACACCAAAGGAGAAGAGGATGGTTTCTGTACAGGAGGTAAGAGCTTTACCACATGTTACATTTCACTATAATTCTAAGTAAAGTTGTGTGGAGAGAAGAGAACATATGGGCAACTCTGTCTGGTAGAGTTGGAAGAGGGCAGTTTCTGAGAGTGACAATGAATTCACATTTCTAAATTTTCAGATGGCAAATGCTAGCTTTAGCAATTGTGGAAATGTGGACTTTGAGTTTAAGAACAAGACAGACTTTCAGATACTGCAATAAATGAGGAGACATTTGGAATAGGGTCCTTAGCCCAGGGCTAAGGTCAGGCTGGCAGTGCCTGAGAGATGCCAGGCACTGGCCCTGGGCTGTGGAGGAAGCAGCTGCTCTCCTGAGCCACAGGGCTGAGAATCTGGGAGGAACCACAGGCCCTGGCCACAGGGCTGCCTGGCAGGGCTTCAGGGAAGGAAACTGCTCACAAATTCAGGGGAGCTGCATTAAGCATATATCCCCCAGCCTGGCAAGAGTAAAAGTCTCAGAGACCCAGACCTTAGGGCTGGTGCTGGGATCCTGGGCTGGCTGCTGTCAGCTCTGCCCTCCCTGGTGCTGAATGACTGGGACCCTGCTGGAGCCAAAAACGGACAGTCAGCAAATGTCCTTAAAGTCTTTACTCAGCCAGACTCTATTCTGCTTGGTCAGAAAAGAAACACACGCTACACAAATAAGCATAAAATTATATGTATCTGTAATATGAATTTCTATTGTGAACTTTACATATTGAATACATATTTAAGAAATAAGTTGTATTTATATATTTGTATATACTATGTATTTATGAATAAATATGTGATGCATGTTTATATATAAAGAGATATAACTTTGGTTGCTAGTATAAGGTATAGTTTTAAACTTAAATAAATTTAACATGAACATTGAAAATGAGCACTGGGTGCACCACCTCATGGCCCTCCTCACTCCAGGACCTGAGGGTCATAAAGCTCAGTACCCTCTTCCATGTTCCCCCTGGGCTGAGAGAAGTGAACTGCCCGTTGCTGAGGATCATGAGTGACCTGAGGGGGGTCTACGGAATCACAGAACAGCAGATGCCCAGGAAATGGATAGTGGGTCTGGGCCCTGAATGGAGGGACGTTTTGTTTCCAGAGCTCAGCATAGACAAGTCCTCCTCTGGTCATTTCTGTCAAACAAAGCAGCATATATGGCTCAGAGGCTGCATTGTCACAGGATGAAGCCCCTCCATGGCTCATTCCCAGCTTCCCCTCTGACTGGGGTGATGTGGGATCTCTGCCCAGCTTTCATGGCTCACCAGCTGCTGGGACTCTGTTGACAATGGCCTATGTCTGCCCCATGCACAAGCTTCTCAATAGTTGCCATTTTACTTTCTGGTCTCCAATAACCACAACTTGCCAACCATGACCCTTCCACAAAGATTCATAGAGTGGGGTCAGAACTATGGGTTCAGCAACGTGCCGGGGCATGCAGGTAAGAGACACAAGGCGTGGCCAGCCCGTGTCTGAAGTGAGGATGAATTTGCATCATGAATTCAGAGTAGGAGATGGGAGAAAACATCCTGACATGCTCCAGGCAGTGATGCCCACAAGATACACTAGAGGTGCCCATAGAGGAGGTGGGAAGGGGATTTCAGGCAGAGGGGATGCGAATTTAGAGATGTCCCCCAGCCTGTTCCCCTGAGAAGATTTCAGACACTTAGTAGCCCCTGGGCACTTTGAGAGACCGAGGAGAAAGGACCATGTAAGGCCAAGAATTTGATGCCAGCCTGGGCAACACAGGGAGACCCCATGTCTACAAAACACACACACACACACACACACACACACACAATTTGTTAAAATGTGTGAAAAATAGCATCACAAAGTGATTATGTATGAACATTTGCTCAGAAAATTAGAAAACAAAGCAATGTCTTCTGAGCTAACAATACTATAATAAAGATGTCAATTTTTTAGCTATAGTAATACAGAGAACATGATATTGTCTATCTTAACCATTTCTAAGAGTGTAGTGCAATGCCATTAAATATATTCACATTGCTCTGCTATTATTACTGATACTAAATCCAGAACCATTTTCATCTGAATAAAATTAATATCTATATCCTTTAAACAATACTCCCCCCCATTTCCTCTATCCCTACCGCCAGCAACCTCCATTCCAGTTCTGTCTCTATGTCATTGACATATTTGAAGCAGGTTCACTCTGCACTGGTTACCAACATACTTGAGTGTGGGGAACACAACACCCCCACACAGCAAGTTACATGAAATGGGTTTATTATTTACAGATAAGCAGCAAGGGAACACCACAAAAGTCTTGGACTTATTATGGGTCAGTCCCTCAAGGCACAGGAAAGCCATGTGGAGCTGATGGAGTTGACTATGTGTACCCCACATGCACCACAGCTCAGGAATCCAGGAAAGCAGCCACTCAGGGTTTTATATCCTGAGCTAAGAAGACACACAGGGCTAAAGTGCTAACGGACATCCTATTCTATGGGAAACTGGTATAGAGCACAGGTAGGTTGTTCTGCTCAGTTCCTCTCCATCTCAGGATGTTACGATTCCAGCAAATTCTACAATTATTCTTGAGAACTCATAAAATAAGCAAGAAAGTGGAGAGAACTAAGTCAGTCCAGGGTCATTGGAGAACTGTTTTGCAATTACCCCACCACCTAGACATCCCCCTTAGCAAAGCTAGCATATTTCATATGCCCACCAACTTCCCTTGAACTGGAGGCAGAAGTTTATCTTTTCAGATTGATGAAGCACCTTGACTAACACAACTTCAATGCAGATTATGAAGCCATAGTGAGAGTACATTTCACTGGGCCACGAAAAGCTAGTACCACTGGTGTAGGGTCCAGCCCTGTGGGGCTTAGTGGGGGTTCTCCCCATGTGCAGAGATGAGAGATTGTAATAAAGAAAGACACAAGACAAAGAGATAAAGAGAAAGCAGCTTGGCCTGGGGGACCACTACCATCAAGACGTGGAGACTGGTAGTGGCTCTGGACGGCTGGGCACACTAATATTTATTACATACAAGACAAGGGGGGCAGGGTAAGGAGGGTGGATCTTCCAAGTGATTGATAAGGTGAAGCAAGTCACGTGATCATAGGACAGGGGGCCCTTCCCTTTTAGGTAGCCGAAGCAGAGAGAGAGAAGACAGCATACGTCAGCATTTTCTTCTACGCACTTATAAGAAAGATCAAAGACTTTAAGACTTTCAGTATTTCTTCTACCGCTACCTACTACGAACGTCAAAGAGGAACCCGGAGTATGGGAGGAACATGAATGTGGACAAAGAGTGTGACCATTGAGGCACAGCACCACAGGGAATGGTTTAGGCTTCCGGATGACTGTGGGCAGGCCTGGATAATATCCAGCCTTCCACAAGAAGCTGGGGGAGCAGAGTGTTCCCTGACTCCTCCAAGGAAAGGAGACTCCCTTTCGCGGTCTGCTAAGTAAAGGGTGTCTTCCTAGACACTGGCATTACTGCTTGACCAAGGAGCCCTCAAGTGGCCTTTATGCAGGTGTGACAGAGGGCTCACCTCTTGCCTTCTAGGTCACTTCTAGCAATGTCCCTTCAGTACCTGACACTATACTCTTAGGTTATTCCTAGGTTATATTAGTAATGCGACAAAGAGTAATATTAAAAGCTAATGATTAATAATGTTTATAATAGTGATTGATAATTGTCCATGATCATCTCTATATCTAATTTGTGTTATGACTATTCTTATTCTAACTATTTTCTTTATTCTACTGAAACAGTTTTGCCTGCAGTCTTTTCCTCGGCACCTACGTAATCTTTCACACACACACTGGCAGGAGGGTAAGACTCCCCAAAGCAGTGACTAAGATGTTAAGAAGTGAAAGGGGGATCTTTCAGATGCCCTATTCTCTGCAGCCAGTGGGCCTGCTTTAGGATCACCTCTACTTGTATTTCTAGAATACCCGAGGTGTTTATCCAGGCACAGCAGGTAGTATTGGGTGTTGGTAATTGCGTGGAAAGTCTCCGTTGGGTTCCTCAAGAATGTGCCCATTGTCATGCGGATTGGGCGGTTGTTTCTTGGTCAGAGTGAAGTCTCATGGGGTATCCAAAAACATGACATAAATTCCTTTCAAAGGTCACCATGGTAGCCCCAGCATCTAACTGAGTGACATACATTTAGCTGTCCAGGAAGCAAGCTATGGCCATAGTCCTTTTCCCTACACAGGGGATCCTTTAATAGTTCTGCCACTCAGTTGCTATTTTCCTGACCAGATGGCTGGGTTGTTGGCAATGGCCCATGATTTAGTGGAAATGGAGCAAAATATAGTGTTGGGGGCAGCCTGCATGGCTACTATCATTGCATGAAGTTTGGCCCACTGGGCAGAATGTCCATGTTCAGTGTCAGTCAAAAGATGCCATCCCCTGGCTGGATGGTGGCCTCACCCAGTGGACCCACTGGCATGTATTTTGTACAATCATCAGGGCCCCATGCCATACTGACATAGGCATGTCTCTGAATCGTTGGCTCATTGTGGCCAAAGGAAAAACAAAATTGTCCCCTATGGGTCATTTGTTCCCTTCTAGGAAGCTTGCTATTTGTTTATGGGCATTCATCCATTTGCACATGGATCCTGTGGGAACTGGGTTAGGGCGAATTCTGACTGTACCAGTTCCATTTAATAATTTGGATCTGTTGGGCCTGTCCAGTTTTATTGATTGTGTTTGTAGGCACCAAAGTGAGAATGGGTAGTTAAGGTAGCAGCGTCATCCCTGATGCTCTAGCTATGAGATAATCAGCCCCTATCAGTTTCCTACAGCAAGAAGTTGCCATTCAAAAGAGGCACAACTGGTGGCTTCTGTTGCCACAGGCTCCAGTCAGCATATATAGAAATAGTGGACACCTGGATTTCCATTGAGCAAGCAGCCTCTGAAGGTCTTAAAGAAGTGCCTCAGTCATGCCTTGTTGAACAGATTCCAAGGGTGATTTTGACTAACATGACCAAAAGAACACCCAGGTAAGGTTTCTACTGTCCCCAGTACCCCAAAATACCTACTAGCTTCTGGGTCTCCATCTTATTAGTGGACGCCACCAGGACCAGCAATGATTAAATATACCTGGGATACCTCCTAGGTTTCTTTTTCAGGTGGCCTTGGCATTCAGCCTTCAACAATCCATCATTGGTCTGCCAAACTGGGTTGTTCCATTGTGACACCAGGCTTTGTGACATTTTAATCTTTTTGTAGCAACTATTAAATTTACTAGGTAGTGTTCCGATCTTCACTGAATATGCAGTCCTGCTTTGTGAACAACACTCTGGGACACGGGAAGCTTAGGTGGCAGGCAGGAGTGGATATGCCCCACTGTCGTGTCTTGAATACTTAGCTATGAGTGCGGATAGCCCCTCAGGCAGCAGTGATGTTTTGTGGCACAGCAGCAAAATGTCAGTACCTCTATTGCACTCTGCAGTGAGAACCATGGTCACCAGCACCCAACATAGCCCAAAGGGTGTGGTCCACATGCAGATCAGCACACAAGCACATACTCACCATGGGGTCCTCATTTGTCTTGACACCTTCTGATGTCTTCAGTTTATTTTTTTCCAGGGAGGACCTGGTAATATTGTCAGGTGGATTGCAGCATACAAAAATCCCAGAATAGTCTGAATTCTTTTTTTTTTTTTTCACCTTTTATCTTGAGAGGAATATAGGGCTGGTAGCCTCTGGTGGAGACCTTGGCCCTGTTCCTACCTGTGCCATTCAGACAGACATTTGGGTCTGCAATGTGGCTTAACCAAACAAACACACCGACCAGGCTGCATAAGACTTCCCTCGTGTTTTTCCATGTCTCTTTTATAGAGAGTGAGCCTCCTTTTCTGTGATGGCCATTGTTGTTCATTTTGGTTCCTTATCAGATGCTTCAGGGACCATTGAGATTATCTTTCTTGTGTCATCTTGGGTGACTCAGGGTCCATCTGATTACCCATGTCTTGAGCTCTCTTGCCTCAGGAATGAGCAATCATGCAACTGTCTAACAACTAGAAAATTGTGTACCCCATTCCTATTTCCACATTCTTTTTTCTATGTCTCAATTCAGTCAGCCAGCTGATCCATATTAATGGGAGGAGGACAAATGTCCTGTTTATCCTCCCTCCTCATTAAACATCCATCTGCATGTCCAGCCCTTGCATCTCCAGGCTGATATCTCTGTCCTGGGCCAGGTACTGGAGAGTATTGTTCCTCCAACTTCACCATAAGCCATAGTTCTCTCAAATCAAACCTTCTCACTGCACCAATTTTGCCAAGAAGGTTTGCTGTGCACTGGTTGCCAACTTACCCAAATCTAGTGAGACAGAACACCCATGCACAACCAGTTACATGAAGTGGATTACTACTTACAGAGAGTCAGCATGAGAGAGCACAAAGCTGTCAGGGCCTGATTGACTCTAGACCATACATACCCAACAAGGACTGCAGCTGAGGGACCCTGGAATGCAGTCCACCCTGGGTTTTATGTCTTAGAATCACATGACACACTGGGCTAGAGTGTTGAGGGAATTCCTCTTTGTAGTAGGGACAGAAACAGAGCCCAGGATATTTTGGCCAATCTTGTTCTAGCTCAGAATGCTACATTTCCAGAACATTCTACAGTTATTCCTGAAAACTACTAGCAAGAAAGGGAAGGAGACTGGGTTGATTCATGACTAAATGGAAACTTTTCTGCAAATACCAAAGTGAAATCATAACTCGGTATTTTTGAGACTGGGTTATTTCACTTAGTGTAGTGTCCTCTAGTTTTATCCATGTTGTAGCGTGTGTCAGAATTTCCCTCAGTAATGTGCTTTTGTATGTATATACCACATATGGATTACCAATTCCTTCCTTTGTGAACATTTGAGTTGCTTCTACCTTTTGGCTACTATGAACAATTCGGTTCTGAATGTGGGTATACAAATACGTCCTCAAGTTAATATCTTCAATTACTTGGGTATGTGTCCAAAAGTGTAATTGCTGAGTTATATAGTATTTCTATTTTTATTTCTTTGAGGAATTGCCATCTTGTTTCCCACAGCAGGTGGGCCATTTACATCACCAAGACAGTGTCCACAGGAGTTCCAGTTCCCTAAATTCTCACCAAGACTGGTCATTTTCTGTTGGAAAAAAATCCTAATATGTGCAAAGTGGGGTTTGTTTTTATTTTTCTAAGGATTAATAACATTGAGCATCTTTTCTTATTCTAGTTATCTAATTATCTCTAAAGAATCTTCTTTAGGGAAATGTCTATTCATGTACTTTTCTCACTTTTAATCAGTTATTTTATTTTTACTGTTGACATGTAGAAATTATTTTTGTATAGTAGATATTATTAACCCCTTATCAGATATGATTTAAAAATATTTTTTTCTGTTCCACATGTTGCATTTTCACTGTGTTGATTATGTCTTTTGATGCCCATTTTAAATTTTTATGAAGTCCAATTTATCTTCTTTTCTACCTTTGCCTGTATTTTGGTGTTAAAGGTGTTAGTATTTAAATGTCTATACATACTGACTTACTATACTGAGAAGGTCACACTCCACCATCTCTCTGATGGTGGAGCTAAGAGTTTTACACTCTCCCATTTTGTACCAGGGGACAGTGCAGCTATGTGAGAACCCAGTGACTTTCCCGAGCTTATTTGTCTTGCATTTTTGGTGACATGGATTGTTGTTCACATTGGCTTCCTCTGGCAGGTCCACCTGAAAAGCATTATATTTAGCAAGAAAAACAGGAGGCAGTGAATGATGTCACTGTGGATTGTGTATATTCCCTGTTGCAAATGTCAAATTCGTGAAGCATAAAGGGATTTACTAGGGATATTAAATTCCTTGCAAATTGTTGAAAAGTCTTAAGGAACATGCTCCTGGCAAAGCCTCTAGAACAATTCCAAGAATGGCACTGCTGGTGCAGGCTGGGGAGGAGCTCCTGCTGCCTTAGACTCCACATTCAAGCTGTCTCCTGCAGAAAAGAGAGCAGCTCTTCTCACTACTGCCCCCAGAAGGACAGCCGCTCTGCTATCAACTACTAGAAAACTGACCCCTTTCTCTGCATACCTGCCTGTGTTGATTACATCTTCATGTCAGTCTCACATAGATTCATCTGTTTTCAAGGCTGCAGGGTTTATTTCTGCCCAAGTCCATCCTGTGGCTTTCTATCATAAGTACACATCTTTCTACACTTGAATTTCCAGGCATTACTAGTATCAACCACAACAGGCTACAATCTAACATAAATATTTTCTTTACAAAGAACATCATGCTACCAATGTAGCACTGTGCTCCCCAAAATGTGAGGAATCTCCAATCTGTTCAGCCCAACACCATCCAGGAAAAAATGATCTTCTCTCATGAGCCATTAATCTGTGTACATATTATTTAATATGTGGTCTATATTATAAAGGTGGCTAAAAATAGCACTTTGATTTTTTTAAAGAAAGGGTGTATTGAAAAGACTAAATTATTTAACATACATATATGAATGGCTCATTTCGTTATTGTCACCAGCTTCTTCCGTATTTATTTTATTCTCTAGTTTCTGGCAATAATTTCTCTATGGTAGAGTCTGGAAAGGCTATTCCTCATGTCCTTGGCTTCCTAAGTCCCATAGGTGGTGAAGAATGCCCATCAGATGTGTTACTACAGAGTGCTTTTGGATTGAGATGAGGGAGGGGAAGTGCCTGATCTCACTCAAATGTACTCAATTTCCTGGTCTGGGTCACAGCCAGGCAGCACAGTCTTGTGGGCACAGTATCTTCACTTGCCATGTTTCTATCAAAATGAGAGTATCTTCCTTCACTGTGGAAAACACGGGGTGGGCAGGGTGAGGGAATAGCAAAGGGAGTACTTGGAGATCCCTAAGCTGCCACTGGTTTCTCCAAATGTTTTCAATCCATTTAATTCATGATAATAAACACCTTTCTACCTAACCAGTCATAATCGCTTTTCTCAGATCCAACTGATTCAGTGATAAATCTAAAGAGAAAAAATAAATACACTTTTCCACGTTTAAGCTGACCATGAATGTTTCCACCTCCATATCCCACTATGCGTTTCATCTTCCCTTTGCCTCACTGGCGATCCAAGTGCAAGTAATGCTTCACATGACTGTGATCCCTAGAACTTCTACCTGATGACTGTTGACGTCTTCTCTGAGTTTTACCAGTGGAAATGGCAATAAATAGAAACATTCCAGAAGGTCCCCTAGGGTGCATATTTTCTGTACTTCCTCTCTAAGATATGTAAAATCAATTCCATTTGCTCTTGCTTTATATGAACTAGACCTATGGCCCCAGCAAACAAACTAACACCCTGTGTTGACAACTTATCCAGTATTGTCTTAAGTCTAAATGGTCACATGCTTATATCATTTCTTCCAATTTCTTGGGATAATTGTCATGTCAACTCTTTGGATTAAGAATCATCAACCAGGCCAGGCGTGGTGGCTCATGCCTGTAATCCCAGCACTTTGGGAGGCAGAGGCAGGCAGATCACGAGGTCAAGAGATCAAGACCATTCCTGGCCCACATGTTGAAACCCCGTTTGTAGTAAAAATACAAAAATTAGCTGGGCTACAGGTGGTGTACCCCCTGTAGTCCCAGCTACTCGGGAGGCTGAGGCAGGAGAATAGCTTAAACCTGGGAGGCAGAGGTTACAGTGAAGCCGAGATGGCGCCATTGCACTCCAGCCTGGCAGCAGAGTGAGAGACCGTCTTAAAAAAAAAAAAGAACCATCAACCAGAAAACCACAGCCCTGAGAAAACAGAAATAGAGTATTTCAAGCTGTTCAGTTGGCGTTAACAATGGTAAGTCTACAGCTCATTTTCAAGATATATATATTCTGTTTAAGGGAGTAAAAGCACCCATCACGGTTAATGTTTCAGAGCCTCCACCACTTCTGATCGTATAGTAATTCAACAGCACAAGGGTTTGTGTGACAGCTTTGCTTGACTAATAATAGGTTTTTCCCTGTCTATAGGGAAAGTTGCACCTGTGCACAAGACAAGATCATAAGCTACACTTCGCTCTTCTTTTTTGAGGTAAATAACTTGCTTGATCCAAAGCCATTTTATGGAAGAATTTCCTGATTCTGATGAAAGCACTTGGAAAATCCTCAAATAATATTTTATGCAGAAACATAACCGATAAGAATGGCAAATTCATATATAGGAAAATAACCAGTGCTTTCCTTATGTTACATGAGGTCCACTAGTATCACCTAATACCAGCTGTTAGTCTGAGCCCTGATGTATCATACAATGTTAGGGGTTCTTCTTGACAAATTAGATGTTCAGAAAAGCCGGTAGCCCTGTAGGTCTCAGTTAGTTGAAAGTCATATTATTGAGCCCCCCAGAGACCTCCATAACATTGGTTCATGATACTCCCTGGGAAAGCTGGGAAAGGTGACTGACTGAAGTCCATGTGTTGAATCATCCTCATTATTAAAAGCCCCCTGCTCATTAATGGCATTTTGATTAATACTCACTTGGAAAGCATTTTTTTGGATTGTGGCTCATTTTTGAAACATCTCATCATAGCTCTTCCAGAATGGCTTTGTCTGCAATCATCCTGTTGTGTTTCTTTTAAGACCTGATGATCTGTTAAAACCAAAGGCCAATATTATAAAAATCCTCTTCTCTTTGCAATGGGATCATCAGATGTAACCTTACAGTTTACCCACGGTTAGGATTTTTACATTTCCAGGGCTTCCTTGACAATGGCACTGATGTGACTCCATCCAGCATCTATTGTTGTGAGGACTCTATCTGGCATATCATCATTGTGGGCATGAACATAATGGAGATTTTCACAGGATGCAATGGTTAATATTCAACGTTAGTCAAAATTTCTTCTAGTCCTACCCTTGGAGCTCTACTGGGTTGGAAAAATATTTTCATGTAAGGACAACCATTTGGTAGAGTTTTAAAAATAAAGGCTACCAATAAATTTTCTGTAGCAAGAGTATGAACTATTTGTGGTCCAGAATACAATTTTTTATGGAATGTAACAAAAATTATTTAAATGTATTCAATGTAGATAATAATTTTACAAATAGGCTTATATTGCATATATAATAGAAGAAACACAATTAAACATAAATACTATATATATGTAGCCATTTTAACAAATAAGTATATATTTATTTATACATATCTTACATACATTTATGCATATTTTTCCACAAATAAGGTAAATTTTAATTTTTTATTGAAATATTAGTTTTAATTTTGTCATTAATTTTCTTTTAATAACTTTATAATTTGATTACTAAATATTCACATTTATACCACCAATTTAAGAAAAAATACATGTGTGTATATATAGGTAGAGGTGTAAATAATGTATCAGGGAGCTTTTATGCATAATGATTGGTAACTGGCTAAATACACAACTCAGTGACTGATAACAGTAAATATTTGTTTTCATGTTCATGGATGCTCATGTTCACAATCATCTGGCTGATCAAGGAAGGGCTCAGGTAAGTGGTTTCTCTGCATGGCACTGAGCTTGTCTTCAGCCTATACATATTAATTGTCTTAGGACAAGGCTGAACAGCAGTGACTACCCATGACTCAAGATTCTTCTGGCAGGTCACAAGAGTGAACAACATCCCAAACCAAACTGCACAGCTGAGTTTAAGTCCAATAATTTCTAACATAGCTTCACACATTTTAAATATATTCCTTTATTTCAGTGAGTACAAATTTTTAAGAAAATGTTCACTCCATTTAATTATAGAGGTGTTTGATCATTCCATGGACAAATAACTATGATTTCAACTTACAGTATTGAAAATATTTGCAAATGTAAATTTGCATTAATAAGAAACTGAAGCTGGATGTGTTTTCAACACGTGGCTTTAAATATAATATACTTAAATGGCCTCATGGGAGAAAATTCATTTTAACTTACATAAATATCCCTTTTTGCCTCTCTTTTGTCCTATAGAGTTGCCCAATAAGAGGTCCTTCCATGAGATTTGGAAATCAGAAAAGGATGACTCAATATTCTCCATTGGTACCTAAGACAGACACAGGGACAGGGATGAGGACAGGAGAAACACCTGAAAAGATGCTGTAGGAAGCTGAGAGCATCAGCACCCCCACCCCTAAGCTTCCAGACAGGACTGAGGACCACATGGTTAGATAGCCCATACTTTAGGGGCAGATGGATTCTGTTTTCTGAGGGAGCACCAGAGAATCCTGCTTCTAATGTCAGCTTTCATGACTACTATATCCTTGGCCTTGAAAGGTTGCAGTGTGAACGTTAATGTAGGAATTGGGTCATTCTTGACATACCCAACAGAGCCAAGAAACCAGGAGGGAAAGACACTCAGGGTGTAAAATATTGTCTGAAGAATGCAATTGAAATAGGCCCTATTATCCCATGGAAGTAATGTTTATGGTTTTTTGAATAAACATAGAAATTGACTTCCCCAGTCTTAAAACTCAAGTTAGTTACATTTGTCTTATCTGAGTTCCTTTTTCAGGAAACCCACCAAGAGGCCTCCAGATACTATCAGAGAGCTGAAACTTACATATCACTGAATCAGGACAGTGAGACGTCAGACCCTTCACACATTGTGATTGCCTCACTGACCTTCTGCTTCCTGTTGACAAAATTAACTTCATTACCCCTCCCTAATTCCTGTTTGCCCACATTTCTTCCCTGCTATATAACCCCCTAATTTTAGTTTGTCAGGGAGATACATTTGAGAATGGGGTCCCATTTCCACAGCTGCAGCACCTGATTAAAGCCTGTTTCTTGGCAATACTTGTTGTCTTAGTGATTGGTTTTATATGTGGTGAGCAGCAGGATCTACACCAAATCCCTGGCATTTCAGTAACAAGATTCTCTGCAAGCTTCACTGCTTTGGCCTCTTGTAACCGGAAATCAAATTCAACCCCAACTTCTGAATAATTTAACATAATTCTAGGATTCAGTTTGTCCATCAGTGCTTACCATTCTGAGCTTGCCAGCTCCCAAAATTTTCTGGAGCCAATAAACTTTCTCAAAGAGCAATAGGTAACATTTTCCTTTTTTCATGAAACTCTAAGCTTCTCTTTGTTCTTTCAACATATTGAAGACCATTGAGTTTTTCTGTATGCCCCATTTAGCAAATATTTCTTAGCAAATAAAACATGAAATTTGAGATTCATCTCTATATTTTTATTT
Source organism: Homo sapiens (assembly GCF_000001405.40). NCBI lineage: Eukaryota > Metazoa > Chordata > Mammalia > Primates > Hominidae > Homo > Homo sapiens. Next base: position 89,009,615 of record NC_000002.12, read on the forward strand.
AGACTTCCATAGTTTATACTCTATTTCTCTGTATCAAGACAATTCCTGCTTAGAATATCTATAGTGGCTTCTTCTCTGTTACTTGAATTCCAACTGAAGCCATAAACTAGACTCCTCAGGTGTCATGATCCCTGCCTTTTTTAAATCAGGAGAGGAACTGTTATGTCTGTGCACCTGGTGCTGAGAAAGAAAAAGAAATTGGGATGCAGAGGTGACTTCACATCCCCCTCTACCAACACCATCAGAGTGTGCCTGCATCTGAGGAACACTCTCAGCTGATGGAGGAATCAGGAGGAGCAGCTGGGGCAGCCCGGCCTCACATGTCTGCTTCCCTGGGGGTTTATGTTCAGGTTTGTAACACTGTGGGAGGGTAACTATTAAGCTGTTGACAGTAATAAGTTGCAAAATCTTCAGGCTGCAGGCTGCTGATTGTGAGAGTGAATTCTGTCCCAGATCCACTGCCGCTGAACCTTGATGGGACCCCACTTTGCAAAGTGGATGCAGCATAGATCAGGAGCTTAGGGGCTTTCCCTGGTTTTTGCTGATACCAGGCTAAATAACTGCTAATGCCCTGACTGGCCCGGCAAGTGATGGTGACTCTGTCTCCTACAGATGCAGACAGGAAGGATGGAGACTGGGTCAACTGGATGTCACATCTGGCACCTGAGATTGGAAATATAAACACAAATGTCCATAGAATTAATCATGTTGTAAGAGAACTTCCCTCAAGAGCCAGGCTGTACGGAACACACTGGGCTGAGTAAATTCCTAGTGTTCTCCTTCCTTACCTGGGAGCCAGAGCAGCAGGAGCCCCAGGAGCTGAGCGGGGACCCTCATGTCCATGCTGTGTCCTGACTGGGACTGACTCCTGCACAGGTGTGACCAGCCTATTAAGAAGTCTTTAGGGCAGGGGGTGGTGCTCTGGGAACAAGCAAATCGGCAGGGGGTGGGGCAGGCTGGATACAGCTGCGTGGCTGGCTTATCTCAGTAACTCAGCACAGGGGCAGTGTCCCCAGTGTCCCAGGTCAGACCAGGGCACCTAGATTTGCCTGCAGAGAATGTTTCTTCCTAAAGGATATTTTGTTACCAAGTACATTTTTGAGCATTTATTGGCAAATCTCGAAGTGGTTGTGAGAACTAGATGGAATAATATATTTCAATGCCGTATTGGGCATAAGTAGGAGAATATCCTTGTTTGTAGAGAATTCTTAATAAAGTCTTAGAGAGTGGGGCTATCAGGTCTTCAACACACTGTGAAATTGTTCCAGTTGGGAGCGATACTTTGTGACATACATACTACATTTTTGTAAGCATGAAATTGATCTTTTTTTAAGTAAAAAAGAACACTTAGTCATGAGCAAGTAAAATGTTCTCAAAAGCATTTTGTAATGGCCCTAAACCAATGTTATTACCAGTCTAAGCTGAAGAGGTTTACTGCAGATTGACAAAGAAGATGATATTGGGATTCCTTAAAGCATATGACATCCACAGTTCCTGCATTGTCCAGAGCTATAAGTCTCTTTAATGCTCGAGTTTTAATGGGATTCATTTTATTCTCTGCTTGGGGACCCCCATATTCTACCCCCTTTTCTGTCATTGTGAATTATTTCCCATGGTCCATCAGCATAAAAGTCTGACTAGCAATGCTAAATCTGATTACTTTAAAACAATTTTTTTTCTTCTTCTACTACAGGAGCCTTGATTAGCATAAACTTGAATCTTTGTGTTAGTTTGCTTAGGATAATGGCCTCCAGCACCATCCACAGTGTTGCAAAAGACATGATCTCATTTTTCATAGCTGTATATTAAGTATTCCATGTTGCATATGTACCACATTTTCTTTATCCAATCTACAACTGATGGGCATTTAGGTTGCTTCCACGTCTTTGCTATTAGGAATAGTGCAGTGATGAACATACACATGCATGTGTCTTTATGGTAAAATGATTTATATTCCTTAGAGTATATATCCAATAAAGAGATTGCTGGGTCAAATGATATTTCTGTTTTAAGTTCTTTGCAAAATTGCCAAACTGCTTTTTATAATGGCTGAACTGATTTATATTCCCACCAGCAGTGTATAAGCATTCTCTTTTCTCCATAAACTCACTAGCATCTGTCATTTTTAAGTTTTTAATAATGGCCATTTTAACTGGTGTAAGATGGTATCTCACTGTGGTTTTGATTTGCATTTTTTTAATAATTAGTGATTTTGAGCACTTTTTCATACGCTTTTTGGCCGTTAATATGCTTTTTTGAAAAGTGTTTGGTCATATACTTTGTCCACTTTTTAAAATAGTTTTTTTTTGCTTGTTAATTTGCTTAAGTTAGTTGGAGGTTTTTTAAGGAAAAAACCAGAATAAGAGAAAAAGAGGAAAATATAATACCACAGAAAACACAGACTGTGGTAAGTATTGCCTCATGGATATATATGTGTGTGTGTGTGTGTGTGTGTGTGTGCATATATATATATATATTTATGATACATGCTGTGTTTATGTGTATAATGATGATCCAGAAACTAAAGGGTGACTGGTTTAAGGACTGCCTATGTTGCACTGAGGCTTCCTTCTTTTCAAATTATGAACTAAAGGGTACAGCAGTACTTGCATGACTCTCAAAAATTCTAGCAGCATGAGATAGAGGTAGAGGAGATTTACTGAGATAGATGCATTGGAAGCTGTAGAAGCTCGTCCTGTGCTGTTGTGGATGTTGTGATTGTAGTAGTTGTTGTTAGTACAGTGGGAGTAAAAGCAGCTTGAAGATTTACAAGCTCTTCTCTTCCTCATACTTACAACTCCCTCTAGAGATGCATCAGTGATTGTACAGGCATCTCTGACACCTCTGGAGAAATCTTGTTAGCTCAATCCAGAATCTTACCTGAGAAATGTTTTGAGTCTCAAATTATGTGAAACTAGGGTGTAGAAAAAGGACTAGAGCAAGGGAAAATAATGTTCATGCCTGCACAGTGGTTGTAGACAGGTAAATGGGGGGCTTTATAAGTGTGATGATGTGCCAAACCTCTGTCACCACGGGGAGAGAAGCATCAAACCAGGATCACTTCTGGAAGAATCATTAGGTTATTTTAGATGGAAGGAACTGTGAATTCCTTGCCAAATAGATTTTTAAAATTCAAAGCTACTCATTACGTGTTAATATTATTTAACTTCTTTAAATATACCATGTGGTAGAGGGCACATCCACTATTTCAATTCAGGGTTTGTATGCCTATGTGAATTACACCATTAAAAACACAGCAAATTCCATATTGGTTGGGGAAGAATGTTTGAACAGTAATCAATTTCGTGAAGAAGAGGTTTATGTCACAGCACTTTCCACAGTATTACATACAAAAACAGTGAATGATCTCATATCCACAAGAACCAGCATTTCTCATGTGCCACATATGCCCTCCCAGAAAGAATTGAAGCCTGTGACAAGTTGATGAAAGGGGTAGAAAAAAGAATAAAACCCCAAAACACAGCACTATAAATGGAAAGGGGAAAATCATTGCAGAGCCTATGATTATAAAAATACAAAAGGTGGATATTCTGAGTATTTTTATGGCAACTAGCTTGACAGAAGTAACAATAACTTTGTATTATAAATTTACCCAGAACGAAATTTCCAATTTTATATCTGCCTGACTGGTGTCTTGATACCTTATCAAAATTACACAAATTTTCAAGAGATTCAAAAAGAATAAATACTCCCAAACTTATCATATGAGATCACCATATACTCCAGTCCAAAAACAAACAAGGACGTAACAAACGGAGAAATTAAATGCTGGTATCTCTTGTGAACATAAACACAAATATTCTGAAAAATAGGGAAAGAAGGAAAATATAATCATTTTTATACCTATATGTTTGTGAACACACATGGTTAAGTGTATTACAGTTTTTATGCTAAGAACACTTGATATGTAATTACAAGTTCTAAAAAATTGATATGAAACGGAAGATGTGACAGTTCCATTTTCCTAACTTTTAAAAGAATATTTCATCTTATTTAAATATTATTTTTATTTTTGTATGACTTTTTGTTTTGCTTAGACTTTTAGTTGAAATGAATAATGAATGTGTATTAAAAGCCTACCATTTTGATTTAATCTATGAAGGGTATTTAAATTCTCATTCTATAGAAGAAAAATCCAAACTCCTTAGAAAAGAGAGATCTTGCCAAGAGCTACACAGTTCTTGTTTCGGAGCTGAGATTTTCTCTCAGATATTCTGGCTCATACAATTTTCAGTACACTACAGATAGAAGATGCAAAGACAACATTACCCAATTGGTCTTGCACTTACTTTGTTCACTGTTAACTAAGTTTACTGAAAAAAAATTACAATAAAATACACTGTCAAAGAACTGTCACAAATAAATACATCTGCAGAACCACCTCCAAAATCCAGACATAGAACATTTCTATAACTCCCAAAAGTTTTGACCTACTCTTTTGGAATCCACTTGCTTTCCACCACACAGATCAGGGAATTCTTGATCTGCTTATTGTCAGTGCAGATTCCAATTTCTTTTTAAGGGTTTCATATAAATGAAATATAGCATGTGCTCTTTTGCATCTGGTGAATTTTGTGCAGCATAACTGCTTCTCAGATTCATTGAGATGTCATGTGTTCCAGTTATGTGCTCCTTTTTATTTTTGAGTGTTATTTAACTGTTTGGTAATTTTATAATGGATCCTTTCACCTGTTGATTGCCATGTAAGTTGTTTCCACTTTGGGCTATTACGGATAAAGCTGCTATGAATGTTCTTGAACAAGACTTTGTATGAACATATCTCTTTATTTCTTTTGGGCTAATTCCTAGGCGTGTAGTTGCTGGGTCTTACAGTAAGTGTTTAATACTCTGTTCAACTTTTTCCAAAGTGGCTGAAACATTTTACATGTCCACCAATAACTTATTATAGCTCCACACCCTCCAACTGCTGTTTTGATTTTTTTTTTAAGATTTCACCTAATTGTCACTCAACAGTAACCAGAATAGCTAGTGATTATTAAGCTATGTTTTTCTGACTATTTTCTTGTCAATTTTGGTGGTTGATGTGTTTCAGGATATTGAGAATAGAATCAATGCCATCCAAGCTCCTTTTCAAATAATTTTATCAAGCCATAATATTTAAGATGGTAACAAGGTATATACAAGGTGTGTTGGGAGTAGTAATAAGTGTTTTCAACATTTATTATTATCGTACTCCATAAGGCAATATGTCTTCAATGAAATAGTGTTTAACTAGACTTAGGATAGAAAGGTTCTCATCTCAACCCTAGTATTCAATATTAGGAAAAGTTTAAGGAAAAAAAAAAACATCCAGGAAAATAAGTCAGAGAGTGTTTTGCTAGTCAAGAAAAACTGCAACACTGATGCTCTTTTAATGCCAGACCTTCACAATAATTTCCACTCAGATCATTTGGTGGCCTCCTTGCCTTGTTCTCCTTATGGGACTTCATTCTGAGGGCATGTGACATCACAGAGGGAGCAGTGCACTTGGGTACAGAAATATGGCTTAGGGGATTGTCTGGCCTTAGAGGTGGCTGCAATGGAATATACATTTTCAAGGAAGTTCCCTGTTAAAGCTGATAAATTGTTAGTTAAGGCAAGGTGCAGGGGCTTATGCCCGTTATCCTAGATGTTTGCAAAGTCAAGGATGGAGGACAGCTGAAAGCCAGGAGTCCAAGACCAGCCTCGAAAAAATAAGGAGATCCCCCTGTCTGTAGAAAAAAAAGAATGTTTGGTAAGATGTGGTGTGAACAATGACATCTATAAGAGATTATTTATTAACATTTGCTCAGAAAACTAGAAAATAGAATGATGTCTTATAATCCATCAATATCATAATAAAAATGCTAAGTTTTTCAACTATGGTAAATATAGAGAACATAACATTGCCCATCTTAGCCATTTTTAAGTGTACAGGGCAATGGCATTAAGTAAGTCACATTGTTGTGCTATCATCAATAATAGCAATCTCCAGAACTCTTTCCATCTTCTAAAACTGAAACTCTATTTCAATTAAATGACAACCCTCTCCCCATTTCCCCTGCTTCAAGTTCCTGGCAACCTCCATTCAAGTTCTGTCTCTATGACAGTGACTACTCTGAAGCAGGTTCACTGTGCCCTGGTTACCAACTTATCAGAGTCCAGGGAGACAGAACAATCATACACAACAAGTTACAAGAATCTGGTGTAGTATTTATAGGTGGCCAACAAGGGACTGCAGAAGCCTAGGATGTATTGTGGGTCTGTCCCCTGAGGCACAGGCATGTGGGTCTGATGGAATCTTGACTGTGTGTACCCCAGTTGGACCACAACTCAGCAACCCCAGAAAGAAGATGCTCTGGGTTTTTAATCCTGGTGTCACAGGACACATGGAGCTAAAGTACTGGAGGACTAAAGTACTGGAGGACAGTACTAGGAGAAGCTGGAACAGGGGCAGGCTCTTCTGACCAGTCTCTCCCTATTTCAGAATGTTACATTTCCAGCACATTCTACAGTTGTTCTTGAGAAGTGTAAGAAAGAGAGTGGGGAGAACTAACTGAGTCGAGAACCATTAGAGGACTGTACTGGAGTCACCCCCAACCCAAACACCCCCGTTAGAAAGCCATTCCATTTTATATGCCTACTAATAACCCTGAACTGGTGGCAGAGGTGTGTCTTGTTTGACTGATGAAGCCCCTCGACGAACACAATGTCAAAGCAACATCATAGAGCCAGAGCCAGAATAGATTTCACTGGGCCAATGAAAACTACTACCAGAGGCAGGATGATCAGGCCCACCTGAAGCAGTTATGTAGCCCAGGATCCAATGATCCACAGAAGAAGTTGCTAAAGGGGTGAAAGAAGAATCCTTCAGGTGGGACCATTTTCTTCAATTACGAGCCTGTTTCCAGATCTCCTCTCTTGAATTTCTAGGATACCTGAGGTGTTTGTCCAGGTACAACAGAAAGTGTTGGAAATTGTATACAATCCTCCCAGTTGGGATTTTAAAAAAGTCTAGAGCAACACTGTTATCTAAAACATCCATCCCGATGGAGTTAAGGGATGTCTGCTGGGCTACCAAGGCAGTGGCTATGGAGGAGGAGCCATATCTGCCATGGTCAGGGACACATTTCTTATCATTTCTCTTTTTTACATGAGCACTGACTCCTATACATAGTACCAAAAATATCACAAAAGACATAAACCCATAGTCTGTTATACCTTCTGGCAGGTCCCTAGTAAGTCTGAGGTACAGCTTTGGGCTGCAGGCTCAATGGTTCACCTAATTCCAAGGAGTAATATCCAGAGACAAGCCCAGCATGCCCAACATGCAGAATCTCACCATCCCACAGTTATCCAGAGATGGCATCACACATCCTGCATTTTGTTCACTCCCAGACCATTCACAGAGAAATATGTAGCCCTTGGGTGCATACAGCCCCCTTTCTCCCATTTTATTGTTTAATCACCCAGTCATGGTTATGCAGGTATTGGTGTGTTCATTAGCCAAGTCTCACTGATGGCAGAGTTGAAGGAGCAAAGTTTTGCTCAGACAATATTGTTCATAGACAGAGGGTAGCATTAGTCCTCTCCTTGTTTTTGTCTTTGCCATTGGGGCATTTCTTATCTATGCAATCAAAGAAATATGGTACATCAAAATATCAGTCCACCAATGTTTTTTTTAGTTGTGGTCATGACATTTGCCACAGAGTCAATTTAGTTAAATGGGGGGCCTCCAGTTTTCTCCCATGTGGTAGGTATCACATCCTCAGTTGGTAGGCCAGTGCCCGGGTCCTGTTGATGTACACCATGATATCAGTAATGTTGGTGTCATTTGCCTTCAGTAGAATGAAAGGAAACCTCTAGTTAGTGACAGAACGAGGTCAAGAATGGCAGATTCAGTATTTTGAAAGATTACACTCGGTGACTTGCAAGAAGCTAACAAAGATGTTATGCTTCTAGGCCTTTGCTGCCTCATTCTTGCCAAAATGCAGTGTGACAGGTTAGTGCATCATCTCTCACCCATCCCAGGGTCTCAGGTGTCTCCTACCCATCTACAAGGGTTAGGCTGTGTTGGTGTAAGAATGCGGCCTGGCTGTCCTTGCTCTGTGAAAAATCCATTGCCTTTGTCACTTGACCCAGACATTTCAGTCCTGATTGTCCACTGCAGGAAGGGAGATTATGCCCTGTAAAAACTTGACATATTTCATAATATCACCAATACTAAAGGAAGGATAAGATGGCCCTGGCACCAGAAGAGGGCCCCTAGCTCCCTGATATTTCTTAGTCTTGTCATCCATCCTGTGGGATCTTGTAGAAAAGAGGCATTTAGAGGAAACATAATCCCCATATTAGAGTTAGGGGGCCTGTCTGGGGTAAGATGATGGCCTGAATTGAAAATCACCCCAGGGCATGCATTCTAAAGGAAAAAAAGAAAAAGAATGGTTAGGAACACTGAAATAGCTTTCACAGGTCCAGACTAATAAAGGGTCTGCCTGGTCTACCTTCGTTTCCACTCAGCATTATGTTCCTTAACATTCATTATTTCCCTTGTTCTGGAGTGCGATATTTAATGCCCATATTGCTCTAGTAAGATGGGGTACCACCCCATTAGCAGACTTTCTAGATGTCCTTTCTAGATGTTGCTGTGTGAGTCCATTGTTCTAGCATTCACTAGATTCATTGGCCTGTGGATGCAGGGTGCATGGAAAGTTCATCGTGTTCCATGAGAGTGTGCCTATTGTCATGTTGCTTGGGCAGTGAAAGATGCTCCTTGGTCAGTGTGAAGTGTCATTGGGTATCCAAAAATATGATGTAAGTTCCTTTCAAGGGTGACCTTGGTAGTCCCGGCATCCAATTGAGCATCGTATCTCTTTTTCCTGCAGGTGGAAAGCTGTGGCCATAGTCCTTTCCTCCACACCAGGGATTCTTTAAAAGTCCAGTCTCTCAGTTGCCATTTTCCTGAACAGATGTTGAGGCTGTTGGCAATGGCCCATGATTTAGTGGGAATGTGGCATGGTACGATGTTGGAACAGCCTGCATGGCCATTACCACTGAATGTAGTTTGACCCACTGGGTTGAAATCCCATGCTAAGTTTCAGTTAAAAAAGTGGCCATCCATTGGCTGAATGGTGGCCACACCTGGTGGACCTGTCAGTTTGCGTTTTCCTCAGCCATCAGTGACTCCTGCTATATGGAAATCTCTGAATCTTGGGCTCGACATGGGTAAATGAAAATCCAAATTATCACCTACAAGTCATTTGGTCCCTTCAACAACCTCTCCATTTGTTCATGGAGCCACAGATCCTGTGGGGTCCTGACTAAGCCTGATCAAGAATGTGCCATTTCCATTTGATAACCTGACTCTGTTGAGATTGTTACTGCCTTGAAAGCCAGGCAGGCGCTTCTCAACTCTGTGATTCTTCCCAGGAAATACGTGAGAACTTCCATCTGGGTTCATATCTCAAACACAACCCACCAGTCTCTCACTTGCTGCCCTCTGCTCAAAATCTTCACATTGTAATTTTTCATGGGGTAAAAAGTTAGCTTATATATTATCTTGTATTCATTCAAATTCTGTTTAAATAACATACATATGTTCCTTTATTCTTTCGAACTTTGTCCTTATTTTTGAAACCCAGCTTTGGAGTTCAGAAAGCTACTTTTGTACTTCAATATGCTGTGAGTGAGACTGTGCAAACACTTTAGCAACTAGGTCTTTATTTTTGCATACATTTGCCACAACATATCTAGTAATTAAAAAATCTAGACTGTGAAGAGTTTTATTTGGCTTCTCCCTGAAAAAAGTAGGATAAAATACAGTGCTTGCTGCTGTTCTGGTCAAGGGTCGGCCTTACAAAAAGTGGAGGGGGGAGGTGGAGGAGGGGAGGGAAACTGATTTAATATCACCAGATCTTATCAATGTACATGTACTCTGGTAACTGCTAAACCAAATCAAAAGAATGTGTTAGTTTTGTGTTGCCAGTAATCAGTCTCAATTAGGTGCCTGTTATGCAGAATGAATTTAGTTGATGAATGAACATAGGGAAGGAAGAGAGGATTAGAATGAGCTCTCATTGAGCCTTCTCTTCTCTTGTGTCTCATTGCTCAGAGGGCACGTGGACCTCCTCCATACTGCAGACTCTGTCATGCAAAGGCTGCTGCAGCTGACGGGACCTTAAAATGTGGTGCCTGAGGTGTAGCCAAGAAATTTATGGTCATGAGCCCTCAGCTGCACCAAGTCCTCTGAGTTCTCCAACATCTTGGTCTTTAGGCATCTAAGAGAATCCACAGTGCCTGCTCTCCACAGAAACAGCACATCTGGGCAGCTAGGCCACAGCAAGTGGGGGGGTTTGTGTTCAAGACTATACCATTGTGGGAGGATAATGTGTACTTTGCTGGCAGCAATAAACCCCAACATCCTCAGCATCCATCCTCCTGATTTCAGCATGAAATCTGTCCCCAACCCACTGCCACTGAACCTGTCTGGGACTCCAGGGTCGTGATTGGAAACCAAATAGATTGGGAGCCAAGGAGGCTGGCCTGTCTTCTGTAGGTACCAGTTGAAATAGATGTATCCATTACTGTGAAGGGGGCTGTGACTAGACCTGCAGGAGATGGAGGCTGGCTCTCCAGGGGTGATGGGCAGGGAGAGTGGAGGTTGGGTCATCACAGCATCTCCATTGGATCATGAAATAATGAGAGAGAAGTGCAAGGTTATGTGCAAACATTGTGAGTCATTTTAATCATTTTCTGTCTGTTATTTATGTTTTGCTCAATTATTTTTGTGTGTGTGATTTTGATTAATCCTCCCAAAACATACAGATTTAAAAAGAACCAATATTTACATATCCTTGCTCCTTCTGGAATCTTCCTCACTCTCACAGATCTAGACATCACATGCCCCATCCTGGAGGACAAGACACATCTAACACGAGGACAGGACACACATGGGAGGTGGCGGGGTCCACAGAGTTCACCCTCCCACCCCATCATCCTCCCTCATTTCCCTTCTGCCCTTACCAGGGACCCAGAGCATTAGCAGCCCCAGGAGCTGAGCAGGGAGCCTCACTGTGAGAAGGTGAACTGAGGAGTCCTGATCAGTCAAGGCAAGGTTAGAGTGAGCTTTCGTCTCAGACTCACAAGGAAAGTCCTCCCTAGGGGACAGTATGCAAATCCCCTGGTGGGTGCAGTGGGGTGGAAAGAGCCAAGGAGAAGGTGGGGGCGTCTCTTGTGAGCAAAATGACATAAATATATTTTATGTTTTTAAGGAAATCAATAGAGGTAAAATCTGTGTTGCCTGAGTGGCAGAAGGGACGTATTTAGATTTTCCTGCTGTTTCCTCTACTAGACTTCTAGTTCTTTAGGACTTTCTCGGGCATGTTTTATGTTTCTTTTTAATAAGCTTGATCTTTCATAAATATTTGATGATTCTTATTTCTTTGTTTAGGTTTATTTAAAAGAGTCTAGGTTTGTTTATTTTATTTTATTTTATTTTATTTTATTTTATTTTATTTTATCTAAGGTAAAACACACAGTGCAAAGGGTGCAACTCTTAAGGGTGCAAATGAATGTCAAGATCCAGATCATTTCATATCATGATCCACATAGAAACGCAGAAGGTTTCCAATTCTCTCGCTGCTTTCATTATGCACCTTCCCAGTCAAAAACTGCTGCTCAAAACACAATCAATGTAAATGATATTCTGACATATAATTGTTTTAGTCCTGGACTTAATCTTTATATCAGGTAAAGTAAACATTTTTTGTAGCTTCTTTCTAACTTTTTTCATTTTTTGAGGCCTTGGTTCCTTCTTGTCAATTTGAGTTGCTGTCTGCTGTCATTCTCTGTTATTCTGAAGAATTTTCTCTTGAATCTCTTACAAGGCATATATGCTATTAATGAATTAATCTTTGTGTATGAAGGAATATTTCTACCTTGCTTTTATATTTAAACGATTGTTTTTCTGGATATAGAATTTGTGGCTGAGAATTTGTGGCTCAGTATTTAAAAATATCATTCCACTGTCTTCTCACCTCCATTTGTAATGGTGAAAATTTAGCCAATGATTTTAATATTGCTTCTTAGTATAAAGTAAGTCGGTATTTTAGTGATGCATTTCAAATTCTCTGGGTCTTTGTCTTTCAACACTGGTACTATAATGTGTATAGTTATGAATTGTACTGTGCTTATCCTAAAAGGGTTTCACTGAGTTTCTTTCATGTATAGATTAAGGTGTCTCATCACTGTAAAAAATGTTTTTCATTATTTCTCCATTTTTTTCTTTTTCAATTTTTATTTTAAAATCAGAGCATACATGTACAGATATGTTACAAAGTTATTTTGCATGATGCTGGGATTTGGGGTATGACTGAACTTATTAAACAGGTAGTGAGCACTGTACCCCATAGGTATTTTTTCAGCCTCTGCCCTTCCTCCCTTTGTCTCCCCTCTAGTAGTTCCCAGTGTCTATTGTGCCCATCAACCGTGGATTGGATAAAAAAAAAAACTGTGTATAGATACACCATGGAATCCTATGCAGCCATAAATAAGAAGAAAATCATGGTCCTGCAGAAACTTGGATGCAGCTGGAGGTCATTTACCTAAGTGAACTAATGCAGAAACAAAAAACCAAATACCACGTGTTCTCACTTATAAGCGGGAGCTAAACATGGGGTACACATGGGCGTAAAGATGAGAACACAGTTTTTAGCCTCTTCCTGTCTTCTCCTTTGTGATTCCTAATACAAATTTGTTGGTATTGTTCACAGGGACCTATAATGTCTGAGGTTTTATTCATTCTTCTTTATAATTTTTCCCTTCTTTATATGAGGTCATTTCTATTGACTTCTTTTTCAGATCACTGACTCTCGCGTCATGTTAAATTGCTGTTGAGTCTATCTAATACATTTTTCAATTGAGTTGTACCTTTCATTTTTCGGATTCCCAGTAGGTCTGTTTTCATAGTTTTGTCTCTGTTTGAGAGCCTCTATTTGTTGAATCATTGTCTTTACAAATTCCTTTTTAAGTCTTTTATTATAGGTTAAAATAATTATTTGAACATATATTTGATAAGGGTGGAGCACACAGACACCATGGAGATGGACCATAAGGCAGGGAGCTCAGAATTGGATTAGTTGAATTTGGAGTCTCTGACTAGATGGTGCTCTTGTGAGATTTAATTATTTTCCATGTTTCATGTTTCTCACAATACAAATAGCTTTTATTTTTTAAGATGGTAACTATGAACAGAAATTCAGCTTATAAATTCCTGGGAATTCCTAATAGGAAAATTGATGAAAAAATGGTTTTTCTTAGGCCCCCACACCTGCCTCTGCCTGGGACCTGACTTTGTCTCTGAGCCGGCGGAATCTATGATGAGGTTTTGAGTTGGGCAGTGAAATCATGGCAGGGCAGGCTGTGCTCTGGGTGCTGTGGAGGACAAGGGGACACTCCTGCAGGGTTAGTGATGCTGGGAGTTCAAGGGGAGACTCAGCATGGAGCTGCCTGTTGAGTCACCCCAGCAATCCTGTCTGGACAGTGATCATCTCACAAGTGTACTTGGATGCCAGTGGATGGCCCAAATGTGGGTTCAGGTTGGACAAGGACAAAGCTTTAGGGATGAACATATGGGGCTCATTTGATAGTCTGAAGTTTCAGCACAAGCGTAATGAATCATATGGGAAAAGAAAGGAGTCACAAGGTTGTGACTTTTCATTTGATATTAAAATATATTCCCTCTGCTCATTTTTCCCTACAGAATGTAACTACTGTTACATATTTAACCAAAGTCATTGTTTTTAATTTTCATTTTAGTAACTGACAGCCTGTGTGCAGAGTTCCTAAATAACTGGAAAGCCAGGCCGTCATTCCTATGGCTGAAGCCAGGAAGTGACTGTGGATATGAAGAAATGTGAGTTTCATGTACATGTCTCTAAAGCCACGGGCCACTGATCTGGTGGGAACCTGCAGTCATTTCACTTTCTCATACCCAGATGAGAGGACACCTTGATCTGTGTTCATCTGATGATCTGATGAACTCTAAAAACTGGACCATATTCTGAAGGTCTAGTTCACACTTCTTTTCTGTGCTAGAGGGACTCTACTCACATGTATTGTACACTCTGCATAGGACAGTCTGTGATACATACAAGTTTTTTTCTGCTAAATACTCATCAATCTTGTCATTTATGCATCTTCTATAGTTGTTACCTGACCTATGGCTATGGGGTCTTCCAAAAGAATGGGCCAGAGGTGGAGCTGTGAAACTGTAGCTGAATAAGAAGTGTAAGTGTCAAGATAGGGTAAAGAAGTGTTGATAATAATAATATTTCAAATTAGTCTGGGCTCTTGGCTGTGATTACTGGTAAGTGGGAAAGAGTCTAGGTTTGTTTTTTTTAAGTTTTATTTTAATTGATAAAGTAGCCAGGGTAAAGTGCACAAATCTTCAATGTGCAACTGAATAAAGTTTATGTGTAATTCATTGTCCAGGTGGAATGATAGAATATTTCACATACTCTTGTGCTTCCCTCATGGACAATCTTTGTCAGTTTTCGCCCCTCCCACCCAGCCATAGTAACTGTTATTCTGACATCTAACACAATCACTTAGGTTTTCCTGTCTTGAACTTCACATAAATAGCATTAAGTGTATTTTTCTCTTTTTAGCCTTGGTATTGCTCCTTACAATGTTTGAGGCCTTCATTTCTTCCAGTGGACTCAAGGTCCTGTCTGATGTCATTTCCTGGGATTCTGAAGGATTTTCTCTCAAATGTCTTATAAGACATAGCTGCTATGAATGAATGTACTTTTTTATCAAAGAAAATTTTTTTTTGCTTTTTCTTTAGATGTGAAGGTATTTTCACTGGATATAGAATTCCTAGTGACTTTTTTCTCCTTTCAGCATCTAAGTATGTCATTTCACTGCTTCTAATCTCTATTGGTCCTAATGAAAACTTAGCCAATAACAATATGTTGTTTCTGTGTATTGGTTGGGAGATGATGTTTGACAGTGATCAGTTTGTGAAGCAGAGGCTTGTGTCACAATACTTTCCACAGTACTACATTTAAAAATGGCGAATGGCCTTTCATTCTTGATGCAGTGAAGATTTTCTGTCTTTCAACATTTTAATATAATGTGTTCAGTTATTAATTTCTATTATCTAAAAGGGTTTTATTGAATTTTTTCATCTAAGAATATTTTTTATTACTTTTGAAAAGTTTTTGTCATTATTTCTCCAAGGATTTTTTTTTCAGCCACTTTCTCTGTCTCTCCTCCTTTGTGACTCTCATTATACTTTTGTTGGTATCCTTCACTCTGAGCTATAAATCTCTGACGTCTTCCTCCTTTTTTTTAAACATTTTATTTAGACTCAATAAGTTCTATTCCTTTATTTTCAAGTTAACTGATTATTCTGCCATCTCAAATTGCTATTAGACCTAGCTAATACGTATTTAAATTGGATTATTTTACTTTTCATTTCTAGAGTTCCAATTTGGTCATTTTTTATATTTTCCATATCTTTTCTTGAGGCCCTACTTGCCAAATCTTCTTAATATTTTCTTTTTTATGTCAATGATCATAGTTTTAAAAATAATTATTTGAAAATCTTTGTAGTCTTTACTAAATCCGATAATTACGGCAAGTTAGAATCAGCTTTCGTTGACTATTTTCTGTTGTCAT